>NC_000007.14:95234051-95537082 GCF_000001405.40 Homo sapiens | reverse complement strand
ACATCTAAAACCAAGAACCAAGGGTGTTCAGTGGGAAGGACTGGTATACATTGGTAGCAAAGTCTGAAAGTCTGCAAGTGAGAACTTGACTCTGCCAATGGTTTTCTGTAGGACCCAAGACAGGGTTTTTAAAACTCTTTCCTGCCTAATAGTCACTTCATGATATTTAAAAGTAAATGAAATAATCTACACAAAACGCTTTAATATTCTGGTAAAAATGCTATATAAGCAATTCCAAATGTTATCATTTAACTCATCTAAATTAATGAGAAGAAAGGAAAACTGCCACCTTTATATACTTAATTCAACTTGCCCTTAAATGGAGGAATTCCCCAAGACACTCCTTAATGCCACATATTTGATGGAAATATTAACTCTCAAACCTGCATTTTATAACCCTTTGTCTCATTGCATTTGAGTACGCTTTAAAGGCATTCTCAAAACCAACTTTTTTGTTACAATTTTCTGTACTTCTAGAGCAGTCTGGAAGTACTTGATAGTGAAAACTATTAGAAGGGAATCGATTATTTACCTCCAAGTCATCATCGGGGATAGCTCTTCTCCACTTTGTGTTCCATCTGATGTGTTCATAGGCATTGACTACAACTTCAATTGCTTTAGGACAAGAATGGCAGGCCTGTATCACCTGCAGAGGAAGCACAGAGTTTCATCTGTTTGATGCACATATATGGTTCATTCATTCTGCTCACAGAGACATCAAGAATTCACAGACCAGTGGGCATGGTAGCATGTGCCTGTAATCCCAGCTACTTGGGAGACTGAGGCAGGAGGATTGCTTGAGCCCAAGAGTTCAAAGCTATCTTGGGCAACACATCAAGACCCTATCTGTAAAAAAAAAACCAGAACCCACAGACCTATTAAGCTCCCTGGAATGCTAAAACGATTTTCAGAAGTCTCACGCCTTTGAGTATTCCAGTACACTGCCACCATGGCAAATAGATAGATTAATAAAATCAAACCAATTTCTTTCACCTTCCACGAGCAAGTGAAAAAGAGGCACTAACAAAGAAGATGAGAATTGAAGAATTACTTTGCCTTTGTACATAATTGAAGCAATTTAGAGACAGACTGGACACAGAATACATTCCCAGCTGCCTGGGAAACTCTTCCAGCTCTACAGAACATTTTATCAAAAAATTCAATGTTAGTCAATCAACTTAGATTCACTGGTGACCACGAGGTAAAGTAAACTACAGAGTAACATGCAAGTTGAGCCAAGTTATCTTCCCAGTCCAATGCCTGCAGAGGGCTGGTGTCATGTACTAAACCACACTTATTGGTATTTTACCTTTCATTAACAAATGAAAGATGACATGAAATTCAGTTAGCTCTTAGCACACTCTGTTTAATAGTTTATTAACCAACCAAAAATACTTGAAAGCTTAGTCAAGATGGCCAGAATCTCCTTCAGGAGATAGAAAGATTTAGCTTTAACATTTAGATTAAACTACATGGATGTTTATACACTTAACCAACTTTTGGTGTGGCCAGTAAAAGGCATTCCTGACTCCCAGTTTAATCATCTTTCTTTCCATTGCCACCCAACAAGCAGCTCCAGCCACAGATCTGCTCTTCTAAATTTGTTCATCATGAGTTTCGTATCAGTTCCATTTTTCCCATGAAACTTCGGAGAACATAAATCAACCTTTCTGAGGGGGTCCTCCTAAAGCCCCTTTCACTTGGTGTTAGGTGAGGCATTAGAAGAGAGGCATGCCTCTGCACTTAAACAACTTTCTCCAAAGACATTTCTTCCTAATTTCCCAGACCGTATCAACCTCAACCTATTACTGTTGAGCAAAAGATCACAAAACCGACTTTCTCTCCATAGGGAAATGTGTTGCTCGACAACCTTCCTCATAGGTGGTCTAGCATTGCCTTTTTCAGTGTAGGGTGGTAAAGACCTAATGTCTTGGGATCACAGATAAAACAGAGACAGAAAGGTTATGATCTTAATATCCAACTAAGTAAGAGTGTGCGCATGTGTGTGCATGTGCATGTGTGTGTGTGTGAGTGAGTGTGTCTGTGTGTGTTGACAGTAAAGAGGCCAACCTGGATGGAGTCAGGGCAGGGCTAAAGGTCAGAGCTGGTAAGATGAAGCCAGCTGGCAGCACATCTGGAAGTCAGCCTGAAGAGCTTGGGATTGACTTGACAGGCAAGAAGAGGCTATTATACACTCTTAACGAGAAGGGATGATATTCAACCTATCCATTCCATTAAGAAGCCTTTATTGAGCACTGGGTTTAGTACTATGACAGTAATTCTGGGAGATTTATGACCTGTTTTTTGTCTTTAAGCAGTTTACAACCTAGTTGAAGAGAAAAGACACAAATAATTTCAAAGAGTTAGAGAGCAATATAAGTCAGTAAATAATAAAAGACTAACATAAAGATCATCAGGTGATCCTTGAGCACCATCAGCAACCCACAGAGGAGAAGACAAGTGCATCGAGGGCAGAGAGTGGAGGGGAGGCTAATGGGAAGTGCACCAACCGGCTCCCAGGCTGGTGTCAGGGCTAGTGCTGGGAAGGAGGGGTGGCTGAAGCTGGGAGAAGAAACAAGTATAGGGCTTAATACTAATCAGATAGGAGGAAGAAAGAATACAACTTGGAAGCCAGAGATAGAGGACAAACAAGAGTTGCCACTGATTGACAGAAATAAGGAACATACTAATCTGGGATGGACAGATAATGAGGAGGAGGATAGTTCATCTTTTTTTTTTTTAATGGAGTTTTACGTTTTTAGCCCAGGCTGGAGTGCAATGGTGCAATCTCAGCTCACTGCAACCTCCACCTCCTGGGTTCAAGCGATTCTCCTGCCTCACCTCCCAAGTAGCTGGGATTACAAATCATGCCACAACTCCTGACTAATTTTTGCATTTTTAGCAGAGACGAGGTTTCACCATGTTGGTAAGGCTGGTGTTGAATTTATGACCTCCAGTAATCCGCCCGCCTAGGCATCTGAAAGTGCTGGGATTACAGGTGTAAGCCACCGCGCCCAGCCATTCATGTCAGCAAAAAATGTACACAATAGATGCTCCCCATTAGAAAGCTAAGATGGAGTTATTATGTGTCATCAAAGTATGTGCTGGCAGAAGCCATGAAGTTCAGTGACAGTCTAAATGGGTATAAATGGAAAAGATAGAGGATCATTACCTACAGCTTCAGAAATCCTAATAGGCACGAGAGAGGAAGAAGGGAAAATAATAGCTACCATTTTTCGAGGACTTACTATGTGCAAGGGACTGTGTTAAATCTTCATATACTTTAACTTGCTCAGCCGTTGAACAATCCTATGAGGTTGGTCCTATATTCATCCCCATTTCAGAGATTTAAGACCAAAGGCTGAGAAAATTTAACCTCTGGGTCTTTTAGCTAGGAAATGGTAGAGTCAGGATTTAAACTCAAGTCTGCATGACTCCAAAGTCAAAAAAACACCAGACATGTCAGAGTGAAAGATACCAAATGAAGAAAGCATTCAAAGTGAGATTATCAAGGGGGTCATGAAGATCAAGAGATGAAGACAGATTAAATACCAGCAGATTGAATTAGAAGGTCAAGTCACTGGGAGTTGGGTGGACTGAAACAGGTAAGGAACAGATTGTGGGGGATAAATAAAGGATAAACGAAAAGTTGTAGCTAGGGCTGCCCTGTCCTCATCTTTAAGACCCTTGGTGTCACAGCACGAAGAGTGTTAGAAGCCCAATAAGTAATTTTCCCTTTTTAGTGTAGGACCTATTAAAAAATGAAATGAAGATGACAATCAGAGATCAGAATATCATCTTTACTACTGATAAAATAGATTACATATGTTTAGTTAGGGGGCCATACACAGCTTCTAACATTCTACCCCCAAACTGAATTTATACCCTAAAATTGCAGGCCTCTCCCTGGCAGACAGAGTTTATTACTGGAAGCCTGCCACATAAATGAACAAAGAATTCAAGGATCCTCTAGACCCAAGGTTGAGCAAGCTAAGTCAATTCCTCCTCCCAACTCATCAATCTGTTAAGTGAAGTGAGAAGGTTAGGGACAGAGATTAGTGGGAGTTTTATTTTAGCAGCATTTTCCTCATGAAAACATAAGACAAAGGAAACATGAGACAGCAGACTGATGTGGACCCCAAAGGGAGAAACCACAGCCTCCTTTTGACCTTGCCAGCCCAGAAAACAGAAGATGTTCAGTAAGCTCACCTTGATGAGTCTCTGGCATCTCTTATTCTCCCTTCATGGAGGAACAATTAGACAAAAAAGTTATTTCTACTGTGGTGACTACTGAAGAGAGATTTAGACACCTCATCTCACCATCCAACCCCCAAAAGCATGGATTAATACACAATCTCTTAAAAAAGAGATTCAAGGTAAGTCTTCCTGCCTCTCTTCTCATCCAAACATCATCTGTAAGCCACTTCAGCAGAAACATTCTCAAGCTACTTCCACTCTTTTATATTGATATATATGTGTTCAGAAAGGTACTTAATGATCAAAGAGAACTGCCTACCTTCATATACAGCATTGTTCAATGGCAGAAATCATCCTTACCTCTCCCAGACCCTCGTGTTACCTTTTCCTCCTCTAGAAAAATGTCTTTCTTGCCCTACAAGAAAACCCAATCTTGGCTCCCTGGGGTGTCACTTTCTTCTGAATTACGCTGGGAGAAAAAAAAATCAAATGTCCTTTTGTACCCTGGAAAGCAATTGCAGACCCTATAATTCTTTTTTCCCCCGCTTATGTAATTTACACATTGGCTTTCAGTGAAATACACCCTCTACAAATTGGCTTTGTATTTGGAAGAAAACATCTTCAGCTCTGACCTTGTTCCTTGTAAATAAGGAAACTGAATTCCCCATCCACACAAGAACGAATCACTTTATCTTCTGGATAAATGAGTCAGTCACTTACTTGTCGTAAAGATGACTTTCTCTTTGGAAAGTCGGGCTGTGGAGTAGTTGTTCTAAATCACTTTGAAGCATCTGCATAGTAAATTGAATAGTTTTTCTTTACTTTTCCTTTGGAGGGGGGCCAGCTCTCCTACACAGTCTGTTGAGTAGCAACAAAAATGTTTGTAATACCAGCCATCTACCAGTAGCCAACTCTATCCTAAATGTCTTTAGCATACAGCCAAACTAAAGGAACTCAAAGGAGCAAAACAACTGAATAAGAAAATGCTAACCATGGACAAAGTTGGTTGGAACACAAAATTGTATGCCTACTTTACAGGCTGGTGGAGCTACCAAGAAAAGCCAGCAGGGGAGATGCTTATGCTGGACCAAGAGCACATGTTGAGAGGAGGAGAAAAGTGAACACTAGGGTTGAATGCCACTACTAGATTCCACAGCAAGTTTCAGAATACAAGTCAACATTTAGTCTCTGGGCAGGGACTCACACACATACTGTCTCTCCTGGATGGGAAGACTGCTATAGTAAAGCAGGCCCAGGAGCACCAATTCTCCTGCTCAACACATGTTTAAGAATAGTAATAGTCATAGCCATCATTTGTTTAATGGTTACCATGCCCATGGCACCGTGCTAACCACTTCTCAAATGCTATCTCATTTAATTATCAAAACAGCCTTACAAGAAGGCTATTACTATTCATGGATAAAGTGATAGAGTATGTTTCTCTGGCACCTTCATGCCCTGTGTCCCTGTCCATCCTTTTCGCTGGAGGGAAAGTAGTCTTTGAACGACAATATGCAGAAAATTATGCTTTGTGAAGTGAGCTGTATTACAGAGGTAGATGTTTTTGTCTTCTAGAGCTAACGTCATGAAGAATGACCAGCCCTTAGCAAGATGTAGGTAAGAAAAAAAGATGGAAGTAAACAAAGAGAGAGATGTGTATAGATGTAGGATAGGACTGAAGGGAGGAACTGGGAAAGAGACTCTGCTGTGACTGAAAGAAGTCCAAGAGAAAGAGGAAAGAAATGTTTGGCACCATCCTCTGAGCTTTGAGCATATTTGTGATGTGCTATGAGTAGGAATAACTTCCTTCTGGGGAAGGACTGAGTCTGCATCGCATTGCCAAGGCATAAATTCAGGGTATACTCATTCAACAGGGGAAGAAACTGAGGCCCAGAAACTTTCAGCAGTTTATTTAATCACACTCTTAAGTAAGTGACAGAATCCAAGTTTGACCCCAAAGTCCATGATTCTCACCACCTTCACTATTCCACTGTGAATCTAAGTTACCCTCATCTCTCATCTAAATTATTGCAAATTTGCCAGCCCCCCACTCAGAGTTATTCTCTGAAAGGCAGTCAAAAGGACCATTTTAGAATATAAATCAGACTTTTATTTTTCTCAACTCAAAATCTTTCAGTGACTTCCTCTCCCATGCAGAGTATAACACCAAGAACATTCCCACAGCTTACAAGGCGACATATATGGTCTGCAAACAACCCACATATATACCTCTTGGATTTATCTTCCCCTTGCTCACTCCACTTCAGCCACTGAGGCTTCCTTGCTCTCCCTCAAACATGCTTAGCCCTCTCCTACCTCAGGACCCTTGCACCTGCTTTTCCTTAGGCCTGGAATGCTCTCCCCACCTCCCCATCAGGTATTTGCATGGCTTGTTCCTCCACATCCTTATTTTTTCTTTTGGAGACAGAGTCTCGCTCTGTCACCCAGGGTGAAGTGCAGTGGCACAATCTCGGCTCACTGCAACCTCTGCCTCCCGGGTTCAAGCCATTCTCCTGCCTCAGCCTCCCAAGTAGCTGGGACTACAGGCGCACGCCACAACACCCAGCTAATTTTTTGTATTTTATTAGAGACAGGGTTTCACCGTGTTGCCCAGGCTGTCTGTCCTTGAACTCCTGAACTCAAGCAATCCGCCCGCCTCAGCCTCCCAAAGTGCTAGGATTACAGGGGTGAGCCACTGCACCCAGCCCCCCACATCCTTATTTTTTCTAATCAACTTAAAGTAGCACACATAATCTGGCATTCTCTTTTTTTTTTTTTTTGCCCTGCTTTTTCTCCATAGCACCTAACATATCAGAGTATATTTATTTGGTTGTTGTTTTGTTTGTTTCCTGTCTCCCACTAGAAAGTATCTTTCATGAAGGCCTTTGGTTCATTGCTCTACCTCCAGCAAATAGAACAGTACCTGACACTTCGGAGGTGTTAAGTAAATATTTGTTAAATAAACAAATGAGTGAACTTGACACTTACTCTGTGTGACTTTATGAAAATATATTAACACTATTAGCTTTAGCTTAGTCACCTTTTAAATGTGAGTAATGCCAGTGCCCACCTCAGAGTCCATTATAAAAATAAAATGAAATAGTCTGTATAAAACCTATTTAGAGCTCAACACAGGACAGTTACTGTAACATTATTCTTATTCTATTCCTCATCTTAATCATTTGTAGTTCCCTAAAAAACTTTTGGAAAATTCATGACATTCTGGGCTTTACATATAATTTTTTAAAAAAGAATTAGTTAATCTTCCATTAGCATCCTGATAACCAAGAGAAAATTCCTATTGAGATCACAGGATTGCTGAACCCATCAAATCTTCATTTGAAAGTTCTCTGGTTTGTCCATCTGGAATCTGCCCTGACTGAAGGCACTACCCTTAAATTCTCTAGTAGAACTTTTCTTCTAACTAAGCCTCACACTGCAGGACTTCAGACAAGTCCCTGACATTTTACCCAGGTAAGACGTAGAACTTAAGCTGTGAATTCAGAAAAACATCTGTTACTTTGCTTTCTGTGGCCTAATTAGTCAGTTGTTGTATACTTCAAACTCTTCTTGTTGTTAATTAAATTTTTAGAGCAAGGGGGAAACCTAAGTATAGTATTATTTGATTTATTTTCAGGTAAAATGCATTTTGGCCTCCAAATTAATTACTAGCTATAAAACTATGCAAAATTCACTCTCTTCCATATTTCTGTAGCACTCATTATTCTTCTACCTTGTCATTTACCACAGCATATTAAAATTACCCCTTTATTTGCTTGTCTCATCTGCTAGATTCTAAGCTTCTTGAGGATACGTCCCATGTCTTAGTCATATCAATACTGGTAGCAACTGGTCCCTACCAGCCTGTTTGAGATTATGAATGTTGTTAAGAAAAACCGTGCAGTGTGATATCATAAGAGTAGATGCTGGAACCAAAGTATCTAAGGTTGAATCCTGGCACTGGCACTGTGGGAGCTCAGGTAAGCTACTTAACTGTGCCTCAGTTTCCTCCTCTGTCAAATAGGGACAATAATAATATATACCTCGTATGATTGTTGTAAGAATTAAATGAAGACATACAAAATGCTTATAACAGTGTGCTTATTTATTATACATAATAAATATAATTTTAGTACTTAATAAACGTTAGCTTTCATTAAACTGGAAAATCGGGTGGCCCTTTCATGGCTACAAGCTAATTTCAAAGCAGGCTGAGTCATCTTTAGATCAGTCATTCTGTTTAAAAGATGGCAAATGTATGCCTGTCTAACACTATTCACCTTTCTGGCAGACTTACCTCAGTCCCTCAGGAAGCCACCAGTGCACTGGTGTTCACACAAGGCAAAACAAATTATTTGCTACTCTTTTTCTCATTCTAGCTCTCACACCCAATTTCAAGCAAACCTAGACTAGGATGAGATGAGGAGACAGCTAGGATTAGGTATGTAATGGAAGGTCAAAGAGGATCAGAGGTAGTTAGCCCAGGACTCAAGCCTCAAGCAAGCTTGAGTTACTTGGAGATTTCAGACAAGGCTGCCATTTGAATCTTCCTCAACCTGCTGACCACTGGGCAGAGCCTCACCTTATGGAACTGTGGAGGGTATATTCGGGCAGCCCCATGGTTCAACAGGAGCTGGTAGCAGATCTCAGGCTGGGCAGCAGGGCGCACGGAGGTGACCTTCAGCACGTACTGGATGGCAGCACAGCCGTTGATATCCATGAGATTGGCTTCGGCGCCAGCTTCCAGCATCATGTGCATGAGCACGTGGTCACAGTTCCAGGCTGCCTTGTGGAGGGGAGATTTAAAGTCGTCATCTCGGGCATTGACTTCGGCTTTGTAGTCAAGCAGCATGCGGCAGACCAGGTGGTGCTCCGTGCTGTACTCCTGCTCCTTAAAGCGGAGGGCCCAGTAGGCGGCGATGGCCAGGGGGGTCTCCATGTGGGCATTCACGCTGTCCACTATGGCCCCGTGTTCCACGTAGAAGGCCACCAGCTCCGAAAGGCCGAAGTGGGCAGCCGTGTGCAAGGGCGTCTCCTCATCTTGGTTGTTGGTCTTCATGTTCACATTCGCCCCTATAAAGGGAAATTGAGGAAGACAATTATTTAAACATGTTTTGTCATTATTCCTAAGGTTCATTAAACAAGACTTTTCTCACTGCTTCTCTTTTAACTTCTGACTGCCGTATATTATCCCCAACCCTCAACCCCTTTGCCCCCAGGCTCTCTTCCTGGGCCTCGTGGAAGCCATTCCCTTGAAGCAACAGTGCCATCTCCTGGACAACCAGCAAAGGTACCCAGGGGAGGAGAAGGAAGGATTTGTGCCAGAATGCTGGAGCGTTGCTGAATTTCACTTCTTACTCCCAGGTGGATTTGGAAATACCAAGAGATTTCTACAACTAAATCTTCTTAATCAACATAACAATGATATTTGCTAATATCATTAAAAACAAATGTTATGTCACAACACTTGACTCTTTAAAAATCAACTGTTTAGAATATTCCACAAAATAATACTTTTCTTCTCTTTCATAGCAGATAAACCTAAAAGTTTGATGCAAGTAAACTTTAGTGGTATGGAAACTTCCCATCCCTTTGACTGAAATTGCAGTATTAGGGCTGCCCAAGTCTGTGAGGCTTTCTTGGAACGCAGCACCACCACCACCACATATGCCTGTGCATGCACACACACACATACACATGCACACACACACACGACTTTAGTCACCAAACTAGCCTAAAGGTTATATTTTTCATCAAAAGGGGCAGAAGCTGGTATAGTAGAAATATTCATTGAAAGAGAGAAAATGATTCAGAGACTGCAAAATGTTTTATTTATGGTTGACAAAGGATGTTAGAAATAGGAATTTTTTGTACTTGGAAAGCTCCTTAGAATTACTTAATCCAACCCATTTATTTAACAGACTAGAAAACTTAAGTGAATTTTGTTTTTCTAATTAGAAATGTTAAATGTGAGAGTGGTCAACTCAAGAAGCTGAAATTTTCCTTCTCTGCCTAATTTAATGAGGTGAACCAAATGACCCTTAGGGGGCCAACTCTAATATCAGCGCTGCTGGAATTTTTTATAGCTACTTCAAGTATTAGTCTGTACAGACTTATTATTATTATTGTTATTATTATGCTAGTAACTAGTATTTATTAAGCACTTAACCATGTGAAACATTCTGGGCTAAATGCTTTTCATATATTGCCTCATTGAACCTTCCAAGTAATCCTTTGCAGTGGGTGCAGTTTTTAATCCTAATTTTATGGATGAAGAAATTTGTACTCAGAGAGGTTAATAATTGGCCAAAAGTACAACCAGCTAGTTGTCACGAGTGCAACTAGCTGGGGCCGGTGTCACAGGTGGTAAAGTAATTTACCAAGACAGTTGTAGGTAAAGAAAGGCAGATTTATTAGAGAAAGTATGTATGAAAATGCGTTGCAAAGTTGCAACCGGCAGCACAGCAGAGAAGGGGCTGTGTAGAGGCAGGGTGCAACTGCAGCGAAGTTTTATAGAGTTGTGCTGGGGGGAGCTGCTGTGCTGAAGGAGGTCATTGTGCGCACAGAACAAGGTCATTGTGCCAGGAAGAAGTCATTGCTTGTGATTTCCCATTTCTCAGAACAACTGTTCATTGTTCTTCCCCACCTGGGGCTCTCTCCCACTGGGGACCCCTTCCTCATTGTTGAACCAAGGTTTGAAAACAGACAGACTGGCTTCGAAATTCCTTATCACTGTTCTATTCCACCTCATATTACTTTTCTGAAGGAAAATTTTTCTGTAGTTTACTCTCTTTTACTATATGAAAACCAGAAAGTACTAGAAAGATAACATTGCATTTTGTTAGCTTTAAAAAAAATCCGTTTACCATGTATTGTTCCTTTATGCCCTTATTTATGGCATCTCCTGATCATATGGAACATATTTGAGAAAGCCAAAACTCCTACAAGCATGCTCAATATCCTATACAAACTCAGTCCCCAAGGAAGGTACCCAAGAGTACATTGCTCTGTAAACTCTGAGACTGTATTCCTAACTTGTAGAAGGCAGAATTGTAACCAAAGATGGTCTTTCATGAAGCCATCTGTGTTTATCAGTATTCTGCCCTAGAGAAGTTCTGGGTCAGGTCTTATTTCAGGTCAGCTCGTCTTTGCTCTGGAGTGAAATGGAACGAATGAGAATGTCTTCCCAGAAGCCATGTGCAGGGTCACTTCAGATGCTGGAGAATTTCCAGTAAGGAAGAGAATCAAAGGGTCAGGATGAAATTCTTACAGGCCAACTTGGAACAAACCACATCCTTTTTTAATGTACTTGGACATTTACGATTGATCTTTGACCTGTTGGTGCAACTAGATATGCTACATGGTTTCCTTTTCTGAATAGGAGTTCCTTATTTTTATACTTGAATTGTGTCGCCAGTGTAACTTTTCCAGGAAATATATAAAGTACAATTATTTGGCTACTTTTTTATTTTAGATTTTGTGATTTATTCAATAAATTAGAGACCAGAAACATCAACTCCTGGGAACTTTGAAATATATTTTTAATGTGAAAATACAATGTATTAGTTTCCAAGAGCTGCCCTAACAAAATACCACACACTGGGTAGCTTAAAACAACTGAAATTTATTCTCCCACACCTCTGGAGACTGGAAGTCCAAAATTAAAGTGTCTAGGGTTGGTTTCTTCCAGAGACTTTGGAGGAGAATCTGCCTCAGACCTCTCTCCTACCTTCTGGTGATGGCTGGAAGTTCTTGGCTTGTAGACCTATCACTCTAGTCTCTGCCTTCACCTTCACATGGCATTTTCTCTGTGTCTCTGTGTTGCAGGAAAATCTGGGTTCTTGTCACATGACCAGGTTAATTTAGGCACGCAGACACTTTGAAGGGTGAGTGGTTACAGAATTTATTTGGCAAAAAGGAAAAAGACTCTCAGCAAAGTAAGAGGGGTTCCTGTTAACAGGCCCCCATCTTACAGACTGGATCCCAGGTTACCACCCAGGAAAAGGAGAGGCCAGGCTGCTCCCCACTGCAAACGGCAGGAACTTCCATAGCTCCATCCCATTCTCCCAGTGCACAGGCTGGTTAGAGGGTCTCTGGGGACCCGATTATACTTGGCTGTCTCATTTGTGTCTCCACATGGTCATCTTATAAGAACACCAGTCATACTGCAATAGGGAACAACCTTACTCTAGTATGATTTTAACATAACTTAAGTAATTACATCTGCAGCAACCTTATTTCCAAATAAATTCACGTGCTGAGGTATTGGAGGTTGGAACTTGAACGTATCTTTGTGTGTGTGTGTTTTGGGGGGTGGCGCACAATTCGACCCATAACACATAACATACGTTACATAGTATATAAAATATATATGTACAGTTTTTTTTAATTATTGTAAAGCCATCACCTTCTAATCACATCCTTGGTCAAGAAATTAGACACTCTTAGCCCCAGAAAATCCTTCCATTTTCCAATTTTTGAACTTTGAATAAATGGAATCATAAACACAAATTCTTTTGACTTGCTTCTTTCACTCAATATTGTATTGGTGAAAATAATCTGTCTTGTGCTGTTTAGTTCTCATTTGTTCATTTTATTATGTCTGTCTTTTAGCACGAGTAATCCACAATTTATCCATTCAACTGTAGATGGGCATTGCCCGTGTCAGGCTATCCCAAGCACTGATGCCATGGGCATTCTTGCACATTCTTGTACTCTGGTGCTCACGTGCAGGGATTTCTCTGGGCTCTACATCTATGAGTGGAATTGCTGGGTCACTGGGTATGCATATCTTCAACTTCATTAAGTACTGTCAAATAAGCAGTTGTACCAGCTTACACTCCGATAAGCCATGGGTGAGGGTTTCTCATTGTATTACATCCTTATCAACATTGGTATTTTCCGTCTATTTAATTTTAGCCAATTTCTTGGTTGCAGAGTGATATCTCATTGCATTTGAATGGTTTCCCTAATTACCAATGAAGTTAGACACGT
The DNA here is from genome assembly GCF_000001405.40 of Homo sapiens. Taxonomy (NCBI): domain Eukaryota; kingdom Metazoa; phylum Chordata; class Mammalia; order Primates; family Hominidae; genus Homo; species Homo sapiens. The sequence goes on along the minus strand of NC_000007.14, from coordinate 95,523,891 downwards.
TAATATTTTTACTGACCAACAATGCTTTTATATTACTCTTATAAGCATTTCCATGTAATTATATAGTCATTTTAAACATAATTTAAAATAACTACATACTCCTTAGAGTAAGTTTACCCTACTGTGCTGATTTTTTCCAAAATTTTGATCTTAAAATTAATGCTACAATTAATAATTTTGTATGTAAATTTTAGGATTATTTCCTTGGAATAAATTCCCCCAAAATAGAATTATTAAGCTGAAACATTTGAACTATGTTAAGAGTCTTTATTAATAACTACCAAAAGTTATATTTTTATCTCTCTCTGTGATGCATAAGACTAATTACCTCACTAAGCAGTATATTACACACTTAAAGAGAAATTCTTGCAAAAATTCTTATTTTTTAAAATCCGAATTCATTTGATTATTAGAGTTTAGACACTTTCTCTGTAATTATTAACTAATGGTATTTCTTTTTTAGTTAATTGTCCAAATTTAGTTCATTGTCTCTTTATTAGGTGAAATCGTTCGGCTTTGTTTGCACTTTTATGAGCTCTTCATCAAGATATAAGCTTATGCTATCATAATTGCTATAAACGTTGTAACCAGTTTGATTTTTCCTAAACACAGTGATGTTGACTTTCGATTGTCAAGTTTTCCCTTGCCTTTTCCTTTGTACCAGAATGTCCTACTCCTTTCAGAAGTTGCATAACAATCTTGATTAATTATAATCTAGTTTTTATAAATGTTAAAAAAATGTTTAAAATTTGATTCGTCTGGATTTTATTTTGGTGTACATATCAATTTAGGAAGAATTGACATTCTTACAGTATGGAGTCCTTCCATGCAGACATACAGTCTGTTTCTCTAAAAAGTTTTCTTTACATTTCTATAAACTATACCCTATAAAATTTGTAGCAGTTTTCATTCTAAGTGGGCAGAGTACATTGTTTCTGGGGTAAAGTGACTTTTAATGGGAGAAGTTCCTTCATGAACCTTTTAATTTATGCAAGAGGGTCTCCAGAACTAGTCTAGAATTATAGTAAATGAGAGAGATAAAAAATTAAATTTTCTCTGCATGATAAAGAAGAGGGAATTTTCAGATTTCATCTGTGGGCAAAAGAAACACTGGTTTGTGTGCACTGAGAATGGGATGAACAGGACAGATAAGATAAGAATTTCAGCAGAGAAGATGGAGACCCCTTCCTGTCCTGATGGTCTTGATTTCTTGAAAAGCCTTTGTGTGGAAAGAGACTGGTACTAAACGGGAGGACCAACACAGATAAGTGCTTCCCAACCCTTCCAGACACTTCCTATGCTGCAGTGTAAGCCATAGAGAGTATCATCTACACATAATCTTTTAAAAATAAATACAATGCCCTGCCTAACATGTAGAGGCAAATTTATGATGGTTACAAATAATATAAATAAACTACAGTGATGTAGTGTGAAATTCAATATGTTAATATTTAGGAAAGATTATCCTAAATGATATAATGAAATATTATTTGCTTAAGCCCATGTGTAGAATTTGAACAGCTACATATTCGAACTGATAGAGGTGTTTTATATTGTAATTCAAACACCACGAGCATCATTGCCATCATGAATGGTATTCCAAAATAAAAAAAATTATTGGTAAAGTTCTAATAAATCAAAGTTCAGCCTCTCCTTGATTTATACCATAGCTGCATTTCTAGAAATGCAGCTGTAGTTATTTAAAATGCTATAGTTATTTAAAAACTCAAAATTATTTTGTGTTTATATATAAAAGAGAGAACTCTGTTGTGTTACTGCATCTAAATATCTATTATTACATCAGCACCAAATCTAAGACTTTAATGAATTATGAAATAGTCAAACATAGAGAAAATTCCAGAAAATATTGACACCTGTACACCATACCCATATTTGACTGAATTTAATTATTACCATATTTGCTTTAGTTTTCTTCTGTCCTACGAGTTTTACAGAAAACCCTAGCCCTTTTCTTTCTTCTTTCTCCCATAATTTTTTCCTCCACAGAGGTAACTACTGTTCTAAAATTGATGCTTATCATTGCTTGGTAAATTTTTGTTCTTTTTACTATTTATATGTGTATCCATTTAAAAAATATACTATTATTTTGTGTTTTAAAAAACTACGTACATTGTATCTCACTTTTGCAACCTGTTTTTATCCATCACAACATGTCTTTGAATAGAGAACTGTTTTTTTTTTTTTAATTTCAACTGCTGAACAGAATTACCTTGTATAAACCACAGTTTAGCTATTCCTTTATGAAGGATGGTAAAGTTGTTTTAGCTTTTTCCCAATAGTAAATATCTTTCAAACTGTGCAGTAGTTACTTGAGAGGAAGAAATAGAATTACTGGGAAGTAATGTATGAACATTTTCAACCATATTAAATTATATTCATCAGTGTATATATCAATGTATATGTCCATCAGTAGAGTTTAAAGGTTCAAAATCATTTCCAACATTTGATACTCTCAAACTTCTTAGTGTTTGCCAATTAAATGGTATTTTGATTTAATTTGCATTCTCCTGATTACCAGTAAAGTGTATTCTCATATGTTTACAGGCCACAGAATCTCACTTGTAAGAATTGTCTCTTCATAGCTTCTGCCCATTTTTCATTGGGTTGGGCTTTTCTTATTTATTTTTCATAATAAAGGTCATATTCAAAAAGGAAACATTTCTTTATGTATTGAAAACATAATCAGAATATATAAAGATCTACTATGAAGGAAATGATAAAATTTTTATTGAAGGCAAAAGACTCAATAAATGGAAAGTTTTACTATGTTCATAAATAGAAAGACTCATTATTGTAAAGATGGCAATTCTTTCAGAATTAATCTATAAATTCAATGCAATTCAAACATTTTTCCCCACAAAATTTGCAGAGTAAAGAGCAAAAATAAATCAATTTTGGAAAAGTGAAGTAAAAAGAATGAGAAAGAAATTTTCTTAAAATTAAAAAAGAATAAGATGGAAAGAAAAGACAGTGAATAAGGGGTACTTACCCCACCAAATATCAAAGCAAACTAATTAAAATAATGTGGTGTTGATGCATAAAGAGAAAACTGGACCAATGAAATAGAACGTAAAGCCTAGAAACAGACCTACCTACAGAAAGCATCTGTAATGACAGGTGTGGCAGTGGATAAAGAATGGACTATTAATAAAGGTATTGGAACCAAAGACTAACAATGTTGTAAAAGCACAGATTTCATCTCTAGTGTGTGTGGATGGGGATGGGGGGTGGGGAGTGGGAGTGTGTGTTTAATTTCAGATAAATTAAAAGCAAATGAAAAGCTAAATAATAAGCTTCTAAGATAAAGGTGTAGAAGTAGGGATTGGAAAAGAATGGGCAATACTCTGTATTCAGTCACTATGGTTCCAGAATACCCTCTCAACTTATTTACTTTTGATGGGCACATTTTTAGCCAAGCCTTCTATGAGATCTGAAACAACAGAGCATTATTTTTTTATTCTTCCACCAGTTGAGCTTGTTTGTATACTTTCCAATAAACCTGAGTTTGTAGACAGAGTGTTAATTGTTTTCACTTTGTTCAGTCTCTTAGTTGGCTGGAAGAGTTGGAGAGATCAGCTGAACAGCTGTTAATGGTATATTTTGTTTCTGCTCCCTTTGTCCGTAACTTCCTTAAAGATTCTGCAGTGCAGTACCCACCACCGTGTCAGAGGCACATGTGCCCCTGTTGGGGGGACACTTTCAAAATTCAGAATTCAAATTATTCCTTGACTCAGGGATATAGCATATCATTGAATATAATGCCCCAGCACTGAAATTTAATATTTTATTAAAGGTTTTTCTGGGCTTAGATGTTTTTGTTAATTTTACCAAACTGAACCTACCCATTTCATCTCCAAACAAGGCATGTTTTTTAGATGAAGATTTTTTTTATTCTACTCTGTTTTGAAACATTGTTCATATTCAAAAAGAAAACATCTCTTTATGTATTAAAAACTATAAAACCATTTTTGCTTAAAATATTCACCACCCACCAATTATCAAGTGAGTTAAAGTCAATGAAAAAAAAAATCCCCTCTCAAAATTTTTAACTCCAGTCCTCAAATGCATGACTTAAAACATAGTAAATCACTAATGGCTGCCTTTTTAACATCACCTTAAAAAATTACACTTTTCTTAGAAAAGGTATTAAGACAGGTCAGAAAGACCATGGAGAAAATATTATCATGGTTTATTCGTAAGGATTTGAGAAGGAATTCGGTTCCATTTACTATAACTTCAGGTAGAAGTCCAGAATCCTCATTAGTTGTTTATTTTATCTGAGATGTTTGATCCATGTTGGTTTACACTTGCTCTCATCACCTTGACCTGCACCTGCCTCAGTACAAAACACTGCTGGGCTGGTATAGGCTTCTGTGCAGATAAAGAACAGCACATTTGTCATGCATTCTTTTATGAAAATATTAATTGTGTCTGCTCTTTTTTGAGCACTCACTAAGAGTTTTACATATATTGTCTCGCTTACTTCTCACAGCACGAATTATTTAGAAACATCTATTATTCAAAGGTTAGATCCCTTTTATTCTATTCAGGGCTTTTCATTTTCTGCATGTTCTGGAATTATTTCTCAAGTCTGCTTCTTTGTCAAGGATGCAATTTTGTACAGTGTCGAGTATGTCATGAACTGTCGCCAAAGCATATTTTCAGTTGGTTGCTTTTTTCTAGTTTCAATTTTGCCCTTTCAGTCTACATTCTATGGCAAATATATTCTCTTGTGTCTTCCATAGTCTTGTCTCAAATGAAATCTTAAATGAAGTACCATTTCCTTTCAGTTCTCATTTATCTAACACTCACATTCTCTAGAGTCTGGGGTTGAGAACTACCTTCTTCTAGAGCAACAAGAACCATTAATTCCTCACCTGTGCACCTCATTCTTTAAGATTTATGTCATCCCGTGAAATTACTCTTTATTTCTTCTTATCTATAATCTTACTAACTCCCAGTGACTCTCCCATTTTCCCTGAAGGCACAGGTGTCTGGCTCAAGTCTTCCTTTTATCTCTGTCCTGAAGTCACCCTGCAAAACCTTTGTGGATGGCCCATCCAACACACTTGCACTTACAATTCTAAACCTTCTGGGTCAAATTGTGTGGCAATGATAAAAAATCTCATTGGTCGTTCCTGCAGTGGAATCCCTGTTAAAGATTTGTACATCATCTTGTTGGACTCAGTTTGAGTTAGTGGTTCCAGTTACCCAGTTTAATCTCTATCTTACCCTTATCTAGGTATCTAGGTCATTCAACTCTTTCTTGAGTGCCAATATAGTCTAATTTTTTTCCTTAGGTTAGGATTTAGTCAGAATAAACTTAATTATGCTGTTGTAAAGACACTCATATTTCAGTGGCTTAGAGCAACAGAAGGTTATTTCTCACTGTCACATAGTGCACTGCAGTTCCAAGGGGCAATTCAGAATCAAGGCCCTCCATTTGATTTCTCAGGGCTCCAAGCTGCCTTGGTCTTATGGCTTCGCCATCTCTACCTGAGGCTTGCCCCACTATCACAATATCATGGGGAGAAGAAGACTTTAAAAATTCCTCATGGACTTTTCATTGTCTAAGCCTGGAAGCCACTCTTATTTCTTTTGTTCATATGTCATTAGCTAGAAGAGTCATATGCCTGCTGAACTTCAAGTGGACTAGAAAGCGTGGTCTTCCATGAGCCTGGAGTGGAAGAGAACAAGATATTGGTGAAAACTAGTTATTTCTACCATTGCTGAATTGAGTTTCTGTGGGTTTTGGTAAAACAAACAGAAATGCTGACTAATTCAGCATCTTTACCTTCTCTCTATCCTTTTAGGGGAAGTAGGGTCTCTCCTCCAATTTAAGACCAACACCTTCCTCTTTGCAATTGATCATACACCCAGCAGTAGAACATTGCTCCACAAGTAATTTATCTCTATTATTTACCCAACATCTCCATTCCCATGGACTCTTTGCCCTCATTTTCTAAGCATACTTAAGCTTTTGCAACTCTTTTCTCCCTTTTAGCTAACCTCCAATTTCTTTCTATTGCTTTTTGTTTGAACTCCTTGAAAGGGTGGTCTCTGTTTTCCACATCCACTGTCTCACCACCGATACACTCCTCAGTCCATCAAACCTTGCCTCTGTCCCCACACTCCACTGGAACTGCTCAGACGAAGATCACTAGTGGCCTGTAATTGATTATCTACATTTTTCAACCTTCCAGTTACCACACCTCTCTACTATATCTAATGGTATTGATGACTCATTTCTTGAAATTCTTTTTTTTTTTCAGTTTCCTTGGGTGTGCTTTCTTCTCCCTCTCTGAAAACAAAGTCTGTGATGATTTTTCTGTGATTTCCTTTCTTCTCACTCCCTAAATTTTTGCCTCACTTTGGGCATCATCATTTGCTCCTTGCACTTCCTATTATACATAACTTCCTGGAGAAATCAAAACTACTATTTTCTCTTTATCTGTGAACAGACAGGTCCCCAAATTCTATCATCATATATATGATAAAAGACTCGTGTCTAGAATACATAAAGAACTATTAAAACTAGACCTGGCATGGTGGCTAACGTCTGTAGTCCCAGCATTTGGGGAGTCTGAGGCAGGAGGATTGCCTGAGCCCAGGAATTTGAGGTTACAGTGAGCTATGATGGCTCCACTGCACCTCAGCCTGGGCAACAGAGTGAGAACCTGTCTCCAACAATAACAACAAAAAAAATAGAACTATTACAACTCAATAGAAAAAGCCAAATAACCCAATTTAAAAATGGATAAAGTATATAAACAGACATTTCTACAAGAACAAACCATGCAAATGATCATTAACACAGGGATAGGAAACACTTTCTTTCTGGACATGGAAAGCTTGAGAGGATAACTAAACATCCAGTGGAGACAGATTATATATAGTTGGATAGATGAGTCTGGAGTTCAGAGCAGAGGCTCAAGCTAGAGATACCAAGCTGAAAGTGAACACCATTTGATGACATTTGAAGTCACAGAAGCAGATGGGATCACACAGGTTTGAGTTCAGATGGAGAAAAGGGCCTCTTAGACTGAGCCCTAGGACATGCAAATATTTAAACACAGAAAAGAGTAGCAGATCCAGCAAATAAGACTGAACAAAGACCAGTGAAGGAATAGGAAAACAGCTCGGCTTTATAAATGCTTATTAAACCAAACTTTTTGACACTTGGTCTGCTCTCATGACAAGTTTCTTCTTCTTTAACAGCTACTCGTATTTTTTAAGCCATATTGAAAACAGGAAGCAAATATCACAAACTATTTCCCCTGTCTCCTGAAGCAAATCTTTTTCATATCAAAGCTTATCTGCCAACTCCACAGAATATTGCTTCTCATCCTTTGGGAGACACATTTTTTTCATTGAACCCATGTTTATTTATCATTTTGTTTATTTTTAACTTACTCAACCTTAAAGAAAGGATATCTTTCTAGACATGCTATTGGAGAATAACCAAGATGCAGACACTGAGCTCAGTCACCCTGTATTTATTTTATTTTTTATCTTTTTAATTCCAAAAAACCATTGATTAAAATTTTGCAAAGTAACCATAGATAAGACTGAATAACTCAGACTTTGGAATATGTACCATTACTGTATTATTTTGCACTAATCTGTTGGGCTCATGAAATCAGACCATATATTATGGTCAGAAAGGTGTTTTCGTTGAAGGAAATTAATGCTGCTATTATCATTCAACTGAAAAAGAGGTTAACCCTGAGGAAGACTGATTTTTTTAGAAGATACAAGTTTGGATAAAGTGATAAGGACTTCTTCCTCCACTCAGGGACAAAATTCTGTCTGTTCTGGACTCAAAGGCAAGAGGAGGCCTGGACCAGCCCTAGGGGTAGAGGTGAATGGCCCTGGCTCATGGAGGCAGGACTGGAGTGAAACAGGGAGATAACATGGCATGAAGGAGAGTGGTACCAATGGGGCTTTGGGTTATTAGAAGCCAATTGTATGAGAAGGAATTTGTCAAGCAACAGTGAGCCTACTTTTTTGAGTGGCAGCAACAGCAGCAAAAGCAAGGGTGATGGTGCCCATCTCTGGAGCAGCCAGCATCTTTGATAATAAGTAAGGAGTCCTTTAGTCCAGGGGGAATACCAGGGTTTATTCTACAACCAGTGCCTTACAGAAAGAGCAACTGCAGCTGGGCGCAGTGGCTCACGCCTGTAGTCCCAGCACTTTGGGAGGCCAAGGTCGGGGGGATCACAAGGTCAAGAGATTGAGACCATCCTGGTCAACATGGGGAAACCCCGTCTCTATGAAAAACACAAAAATTAGCTGGGCTTGGTGGCACATGCCTATAATCCCAGCTACTCTGGAGGCTGAGGCAAGAGAATCACTTGAACACGGGATGCAGAGGTTGCAGTGAGCAGAGATCACATCACTGCACTCCAACCTAGCGACAGAATGAGACTCTGTCTTAAAAAAAAAAGAGAGAGAGAAAGGAAAAAGAAAAGAAAAGAAAAAAAAGAAAAGAAAAGAAAGAAAGAAAAGAAAGAAAGAAAAAGAAAGAAAGAAAGAAAGGAAGGAAGGAAGGAAGAAAGAAAGAAAGAAAGAAAGAAAGAAAGAAAGAAAGAAAGAAAGAAAGAGAAAGAAAGAAAGAAGGAAAGAAAGAAAGAAAGAAAAAGAAAGAAAGAAAGAAAGAAAGAAAGAAAGAAAGAAAGAAAGAAAGAAAGAAAGAAAGAAAGAGAAAGAGAAAGAAAGAAAGAAAAACAATTGCTTGGACAGAGGTTGTCTCTGCTGGGAATTCATATGAGGAAGGAGTACCTTGAAGAAACAAGATTCCCTGCTAACACAGTGTGTGGAGGACCACAGTTGTTAAACACAGGGATGCCTAGGTGTCATACTGTCTACGTCACCAGCTGGTGAAACTAGAGCTATGGCTACATAAAGGTTTAGAACAGCCCCTTAGGTGAATTGAAGAGGGAAGTTTTTTCTCCAGCTCCCTTTGCATTTCTGCCTTTATCTCAGTCCATCATCTCCTTAGGTCTCATAAAGACCAAGTCCCCTTCACACTTTGGATGGAATTAAGCAAAAGACTTCACAATTTTTGTCTGTTTCTTGCAGAAAGGCCATTTCAGAATTATCTTCCCGTGTGTAGTCAGGGTAAGGCTCCCTCTATGCTGGGCCAGAATATTTTCATGGACTCCAGGTTGCGCTTCTTTGTACCATCTTCATCACTGAGAAATGGGTAAGACAGGTAGTGACTAATCATCTGAGACTATCTTTTCAAATACCTGATAGGTTGCATGCCTGTCAGAATGATGAATTTAAAGGGAGGGAGAATTTGTGTACCCTGAAGCCAGACACTGAACATGTCAGTCAACCTCTTCCTCTAACTCTTGGAGGGGTTGTCTGTCCATTTTGTTTAAGAGGGACATCCAAATTCATTCATTTTTATGATGTAATTAATAGAAATTTCACCATTCTTTGGTTTATAGTTTGTTCATATATTTAGTTTACATAGCTATTGCTAAAGGGCTTTGGTAAGTTTTTCTGTATTTTTATAGATGATTTAATAGTAGGCAGGGAATGGTGTATTAGAGGTGTATATGGTCTGTGCTAATCTAGAAGGATTGTACTGTGGCAAAGTTATAGTGTCGGTGAGACAGAAATTCAAGTAATCAACAAGGAAGCCCAGACTGAGTAGAGAAAGAAATGACGTTAAGAGAGGGTGAGAGACCTGTATTCAAAAAGGGGCAAGGAACTGGAGTCATGAAGACATTAAAGAATTGGTGCAGTGTAACTGAGAGAGAATGATGGAAAGATAAGAAGCGAAAATACTGGAGAGCCATAAAGGACCAAGGATGAGATCATGTGAGTGCACAGCTGACCTGGAGTGAAATGCAGATTGTTAGAATTGTGGAGGTCCAGGAGTTGTGAGGGTGATTTTGGACTGGTAATTTATGCCAGCATCGAAATCCTTCGTGGATGATGGCAGAATTAGAGAAATGGACCAGAATTGACAGACAGATGACCAATTCCTCAAAAGGAAATCACTTACATTATAGCAGATAGTAATGCCTAGGATGCCTAGGGTGGGTAGGTGAGAGTCCTAGCTTCTTATTGCTGCTGTCACAAGTTACCACAAACTGGGCAGCTGAAAACAACACAAATTGATTATTTACAGTTATGCAGGTCAGAAGTCTGACACAAGTCTCAGTGGAGGTAATGGTTAATTTTATGTAACAACTTGGCTGGGCCATGCTGCTTAGCTATTTGGTCAAACAATATTCTGGATGTTTCTGTGATGTTGTTTTTCTAGATGAGATTCACATGTAAATCAGCAAACTTTGAGTTAAAAACAGATTGTTCTCCTTAATGTGGGTGGGCTTCATCCACTCCATTGAAAGTCTTCATAGAACGAAGACTAACCTCCCACAAGCAAGGAAGGGCTCTGGCAACAGACTGTATCTATTCCCTAGGTCTCCAGCCTACTGGCCTTCCCTCCAGATTTCAGACTTGCACCTCCACATTGCATGAGCCAATTCCTTAAAATAAATCATTCCATTCCCTGTCTCTGAACACACACACACACACACACACACACACACACACACACATTCTATTGGCTCGATTTCTAAAAAAAAAAAAAAAAAAAAACAAACAAAAAACAAAAAAAACCCTGACAGTGGGCTAAGATTGAAGTCAACCAGAATGTATAGAAGAGTCCATTTCCTTACCTTTTCCAGCTTCTAGAGGCTTCCCACATTTCGTGACCATGGCCTCCTTCCTCCATCTTCAAAGCTAACAATGGTGGGTAGAATCTCTTATACATCCTATCTCTCTGACCTTCCTTCTATAGCCACATTTCCTCTAACTATAGCCAAAAAAGGTCCCTGATTTTAAAGAGACATGACCAACATGGATAATCCAAGATAATCTCCTCATCTCAAAGTTCTTAATTTAATCACATCTGCAAAGTGCTTTTTTTGCCATATCAAGTAACATGTAATCACAGGCCCCAAGGATGAGGACTTAGACATCTTTGGAGGGTCGTTTTTCTTCCTAACGCACTGATAGAATCTGCCCTCAGAAGAGAAGCTGGAAAGAAGACTGACGTACACAGGGCTAAATGGAGTTCTTGCTGCACCAAATGTGAGTTCCCCTTCTAGCTATAGGCCCTAATTTCATTCTTCTAAGCCAGCATTACCCAAAGTCTGCTCTGTGGCATATTAGTATTGCAAGATGGATTAAAAATAAAAGCTCTGTGGTTAAATAAATGTGTAGATTTTATGTACCTTTGTATCTTTACAATTCACATTAGCACATGAAAGATTCTGAGAAGTTTATATTGAGGAAATCTGTCCAGTTTAACATGGATTTTCCAGGACTTATTTTTCCAAGGAATTCTCTTTTTGAAACACCTATTAACAGCTCCAGCATCATTGCTTAATACAGTGGACTTTGGGAAACGCATTTCTAGACAACATAAAGATACTTTCACAGGTCCAGGGATGGGGGAAAAGAGCCTTACATAATCCATAAAGCCTTGCTGGAGTTCCCTAGAATCAACTTGAATTATCCGTAGCCCCATTTGGTAGGTGAGGGCTAAGATTCAAAGAAGTTAAATTTTGCCCTCATGAATGGAATAGTCAAGGTCTGAACCGAGTCCGTCTTACTCCAGAACCTTCACTTTTAAGCACTGTCCTTGAGTTCCTCTTTTCATATCAAGCCATGTTCGAGCCTCCTGGCCAGCCCTTGGTTGAACACCACCCCTGGTCTAATAGGCTACAGCATGGGAGGATCAAGTGTTACAGAAGATAGCAACCTGTGCTTCCCCTTCATCAGGGGCTGGGAGCAAGGCAGTTATAGAAGAAGCTGAGGGAGTGGCAGGTTTGCTGACTGACATATACAGTCTACAGTGGAGATGAGATCCACAGAATAAGGCAAAAACAGCAAAGTCACCCAAGGCAGTCCCGAGACTAATTTACATTAGCGGCAGGACTCTAAAGTAGCAAAGGGAAGGCAGCACCACCTAGTGGACAAAACGAGAGCTCTGTATTGAGGTCACTGCAGTCAAAACCTGATTTCACTATTAAGCAATTTGTCTCAAGCTCAGTGTTTTAATCTGCAAATCTTAACCTCATAGGATAGTTGTGAGGATTAGTGAAAGCATAGACAAAGTGCCAAGCATGCAAAATAAATGCCATATCCAGCTGTTGTTATTTTTATTTATTTATTTTTTTTTTTTGAGACGGAGTTTTGCTCTTGTTGCCCAGGCTGGAGTGCAATGGCGCAATCTCGGCTCACCGCACCCTCGGCCTCCCAGGTTCAAGAGATTCTCCTGCCTCAGCCTCCCAAGTAGCTGTGATTACAGGGTTATTATTAATTATTAAGTCCAAGCCGATCTTTCTTCACGGCTCTTCCTCCTGCCCCCACCCAGGTTAATTCAACTATGCTTGCGAGAAGTGCACGTACTTCCTACTCTTACCACCCAGGTCTTTGGTTGGTGTGGCCCTCTTAATTCAAGAGTGTTGCTGAGGGCTGCCAGAATTCTGAGGCCGCAAGAAAACAAAGAAAAGGGGGCTGGAGTGATTTGCTTTCAGGGGACTCCCTAACTGGGCCTTCCCTGCAGCGTTCACTTCTTGGTGGCTCTCGGTAGGGGCGGGCTGTCAACAAAATGTTTTGTCTTGGAAAAGAGAGGGGTCCACCGTTATTCTGTCCCCATTAGCTTTCTAATTAGTAAAAACTTCAAGAAGCTGGCATGTGCTTGATTCTTAGCATCCAATTCTGAGCTTTCATCATTTCCCCTATTTGTATGTTTTCTTGGTTAGCTTAATGGAAAAACCTTCTAAAATTGTTTATATTATGTTCCATAAGTTATTACTTACAGAGATGACAAAGAAAACACTTGCATTTCTGTTTGTAAGTCTGATATCTTTTGCTAAATGGGTATTTAAAATGTTCAGAGGATAATAAGCTCCAGGCTCCCCTAAGTAAGAAACAAATTAAAGTGCTGATAGAAAATAAATAAAGAAGTACAGGCCTAAGGAAACTTCATCCTTCAATTTCCGGTTTCAGATGCTTCCAGTTATAAAACAAAGATAACACATCCAGACTGAAAACTCAAAACAGAAGACACATATGGTTTTTGATTGTAGAATTTAAAGAGAGTGGGTCAGAGAAGGAAACCTGTAATGCTAACAGGTGGGAAAGAAGGCTGTGATTACTACTTTTCCTCTGAAGCACTTGGGAATCACCTGGCTGCAGTAAGCAACCCAAACTTGAGAAAATTGACCTAAAATTGTCGTATAGGTGAGACCAAAACAATTAGTGTTTGGAGAAAAAAAGAAAAATGCTAACATCTAAGTTTAGTGACAGGGATATTTAACATACGCCTAGTTATTTCTATTATTTTAACCCTTGCTATATTACATTGTTGGAGGTAGAAATTAGAAATTGATCAAAGTGTTGTTTTTAATTAAAGAGTTTAATTTTAAGGAAAATGAATTAATGGATTTTCAATATATCTTTTTCAATCACTTATCTACACCCTTGTTGGAGCAAATCCAGAAACCAAAATAAAGGCATGATACTTAAAAGGAAAGGATCAGTTTCTGTGTTGAGAGTGTGCTTTGCAACTCCAATTCTTCATGTTAGAAAACGACAGAATGGGGATAAACGATTGCCTTGATGGGACTCATTTCGGAAGAAACATCGACAGTTTTTCATATCTTTTCATTAAACACACTTCTAATATACCCAGCTGCCTTCTCATTTTTTTTTTAAGAAAAGCCTTTAAAAAATCTTAGGATAGTTAATTTTTTAAGCTAATAGGATTCTGATATAGCATTTAAGCTTCTCTTTTAGATATTAAGTGTCACCTTAGCACAGTCTTTTCTCCTAATTTTTTAATTAGCCAAATGTCCCAGAAGGATAAGCATTATTCAATTTCCAGCAAGACACAGTGGGAGCATCACGGACCCAAAACAAATAAAATTTGATCTGCTTGAATCTGACAAGCTTTGTACTGAGGCCTGATTCAACTTATCTGAGTCTCCGATTCCTCATTTTTTAAATAAGGAGAATAATGTGCAACCTCACATGGTTGTTGCAAGGATTAAATGAAACATTTTATTTTCAAGTACCTGACATAGCCACATCATAGATGCTTAATATATATTATTTTCCTTTCAGTTTTCCCCTTCATATGCATGTATACCGGCAACATCAATTTCCTTTATATGTAGTGCCAATGCTGTTAACTTTATTAAGCTAGATTTTCCATTAAGCATTTATCCTTATTCATTAGCTAGGAGGACTGACGCACAAAGATATTAAATTATTTACTCAAGTTTAATGAATGAAATTGAAAACCCTTTTCCTCTGCTTAACATGAATGTGCCCTTTTCAGTATGCAGAGCTTTGTTGCATTTATTCAGAAGCTATTGCTAAGTGCTTAGTTTGGAATAGAGGATTAATGAGCCCGGAGACATGGCGTTGGTCACCATGGCAACCAAACTAGCTTTGCTGTGTTCCAAGCTCAAACAACGGATGTGGGATGCTTAACTCTGGCCTGTGGTATATAGCTGGGTGTTCTTTTTCATATATCTGACTCCCCATTGCTCCTTCCAATTACTCCCTAATTCTCGTGGAAAGATAAATAAAAAGAACACCCCTACTTCTTTAGGGCTTTGCTTTTTCAGCTATACCACCTAATCTCCTTCCCGAATATAATTATCTTCCCATCTGTTTCTTAAGATTTTAGCACCTAACTCACATTACTCCTCACCTCAAAAATTCCTGACATTATTTTGGGGGTCTTTAATACCACATGAATGACCCACCCAATCTCCTGGTCTCCCCGTTTCTGAATCTCATTCACTTCAGTGACTTTCTCCTACTCTGACTTGATGACTCCAACCCACAGTCATACCTGGACTGAGTCGTTATCTGAAATTTATCTGTCTCCAGAAATCACTGATTCACATATCCAATTCTCTGCCCACAATCTTCTGTCTTTGCATCTTGCTTGTTCAGTGTCCACTATAACAATTCTTGGACTCCATCAGATCCCTCTCTGTGTTCTCTTTGTCCATTAAATGTTCCTTTCTTCTCTCCTTCTCTATCCAGCTTAGTTCCATATTTTATCATTTTAATAACTCTTTTGCTGGAACTTTAAATTCCCTTCATCTCTTCATAGCATCTATCTGGGGCCATTATGAGTGACCCTAAACCTGCGTGAGCCCAATTATCTGCTGTCTCAGTGCCTGCACCCAAGCAGCTGAGTGCTGTGTGACAAAAACCACCTGTGCCACCTGTGCAAGACTAGTAGCATCATAAAGGCAAACATCAAAACTCAATTGGACCCTCCAGACTGCTCGGAAACCCAGTGTTTCTCTGTTTGACTTACTTTCCTGTTCTCTATAATTCCCTATAATAATTATTCTCTATAATTATAGAAAATATAATATTTCCTCTCTAACAATTATTTCAAACCTCTTTTTTCCTCAGATCTTTTATACTTCTTCTCTTTTCACTCTCAACTCTCTTCACTTCTTACTTTACATAAAAAATGCCCTTCAAAGGGAAGCTTCCTTAAAGCCTTCCCACCACACACATCAACTCTCATTCTCTCCTTCTCTGCCTCTGGCTACGATAGAACAGAGGTTCTCCTCTCCAAAGTCAATCCTTTTACCTGCTCTGGATCTCATTTCCCAAACTTCTCAGAATCCTCACACCAAAAATTATCCCTACTGTCTTCTTTGTCTTCAATGTCTGCCCTACTGGTGGATTTTTCCATCAGTTTTTTAAATGCTCAGGTTTCTATCATCTAAAATCTAAAAAAAAAATAAGTTCAAACCCATTTTCCTCTTCATCTACCTTCTCATCTCCTCTTCACAAATACTCCTTAAAAGGCTTGTTCACACTTTCAGACACCCTCCTTTTTAGTTCTCAATCCCCCCCACTCTGACTTCTGCATCCGTCGCTCAACTCATTGGTATAATCTTCAGTTCCATCCATGTCACTAAATCCAATAGCAGCTGTTTAACTCTCAACTTACTGGATCTCTCCGTAGTATTTAACACTTCTGACTTCTCCCTCCTTCCTGACATACTCTCTTCATATGGGAAAGAAGCAATGTGTACAACTGAGCATGATTTTACTGGTAATGATCATGAAATTGCTCTGGTTCAACTGCACTCTTTTCCCTAGTGCTAGAACTTGTTGTCAATTGAACATTCAATAAATTTTTAACAATCAACACCCAATATGTACTATGCACTGGGCTCTGCCAAGCAAAACAGTCTCTGGTCTCCTGAAACTTATGGTTTAGTGAGGGAGGCAGTTACTAATCAAAGAATTCAACAAATAAAATGTAAGTGCCACAGAGGAAAGCTACAATGTGCTATGAGAATACAGAACATAGCATTGGGACCTAATTGATTTTAAAGGAATTAAGGAAGACTGATCCTCAGAAGTGAAGTCTGAACTAAGACTTCGCACAGGAGTAGAAGTTTGCTCGGCAAAGAAGAGGAGCAGAGCATTCTAGATAGCAGATATGCTGTATTTGCATCCCCAGCCTTTTCCCCTAACTTAGCACCTGGAATAATGGCATTTAGGTCTTGACTCTCTAGAAAAAAAGCCAGTTAGATTTTTTTTCGGAGAATCTGACCAATCTCAAGGAAAAAAAAATTCATAAGAGACTATGTCAGAGATTCCTCAGATGAAAGGTGCAGCCAGATACCCTGCAGCAAAAAAACAAACAAACAAACAAAAAACCTCTACGTAGATAATTAGATTCCAAATCAGCTTTTAGTGACTCGGATCTTAAATATAGGCAGACAGCCAAGGATTATAAGACATCTGAGGAAAACCTCTAATATAGTTGACAGAGACAATAAAAACAGAGAAAAACAACCTAGAAAAGATCTCCCAGCAAGTAGAGAATAAAAAACATAAAATAGGAGAGACGAGACAATACAAGATAATTAGAGAAACAGTCCAGGGAGGTTCGATATCCAAATAATAGTAATTCAAGAAAGAGAGCATATAGAAAGCAGAAGAAAAGAACTCACCCAGGAAATAATTCAGGAACATTTTTCAGAACTGATAGACAAGCAGTTTGGAATTGAATGGACTCAGTACAAAGGATGAAGATAAACCTACCAAGACAGTTCATTGTGAAATTTTAGAACATCAAAGACCAAAAAAAAAAAAAAAAAAGAATCTAAATTCCCCAGAGAGGAAGATAAAAATTCACATAAAAAAATGAAGATGTAAATGGCTTTCAATTTTCCAGCTGCAGTACTGGAAACTAGAAGGCAATGGGGCAATGCCTTCACCATGCTAAAAGAAAATGTTTATGAATCTAGAATTCTACTCTAAGTCGGGGGTAGAATTCATGCACTGGGGTGCATGTATGGTCTCATGCACCCTTTCTCAGAAATGTACCAGAGGACATATCTAACCCAAACAGGCAACACACCAAGATTTAGGAAGACTTGTGGTCCAGAAAACAGGAGAGAGGAAAAGGGTGTCCCTGGGATGATAGGGAATGGGAATCCCAGGATGACAGTGGTTCACCAGATGCACATCAACCTGAAACTCATTGGAGCAGGTCTGAAGACTCCAGAAGGAACTTTTTCAAGAAAATAACATTGATAAAATACCCACTGAGTTTAAATATTTCAGAAAAGATTAAAACTATTGTCTGACCAGGTACAATGCCTCACACCTATAATTCCAGCACTTTGTAGGCCTAGGCAGGAGGATCACTTGAGGCCAGGAGTTGGAGACTAGCCTCATCAAAATAGCAAGACCCTGTCTCTACTAAAAATAATTTTTTAAAAATTAGCCAGGCACGGCCCATGTGCCTGTAGTCTCAGCTACTTGGGAGGCTGAGGTGGGAGGACTGCTTGAGCCTGGGAAGTCAAACCTGCAGTGAACCATGGTCATGCCACTGCATTCTAGCCTGGGTGACAGAGTGAAACCCTGTCTCTAAAAATGAATAAAGTAAAATAAAATAAAAATATTGGCAAAAGCTTTGAGGTTAAATAGCAATGAGTATGTAGAAAATTAAGCAAAAGAATGAAATAAGACAGTTTTCTACAGAGATAACAAACATTGCACAAAAAAAGAAACTATCATAGTTGACCACAAGCCTCATAGTTATAATATAACATCATAAGGGACAGGGAATGAATAAGTATTTGGGGGGGGGGGGACACGGATAGAGGAAAAGGAGCCAGATCCTCATTTTCCATTAGAATAAATCAATAGATTCTCATAAAGCTGCTTCTATTGCTACTTATTCTTTTCCACTTTTATGGATAAATAAATGGTATTTATTTAGTAATTTGGAGCTAAATACCAAACTAATCAGCTCAAGGAAGTAAAAGTGGTTGCCTCTGAAGAAGGAATAATCTAGTACTACATTTTTCATTATAAACCTTGAATATGGTATCTTCTTAATGTCTTTTAAACAATTTTCATATTTCTTCCACCTCTTTTGCTAAATATATTTTCTAGGCCCCTTAAATTTCTTGTGATATTATAAATATATCTTTTCTTACATTGCAATTTCTAGCTGCTTATTTCTGGTATACAGAAATGCAATTGATTTTTGTATATTGATCTTAAATGCACTACCTCTTCTGAACTCAGTTACTAGTTGTAACCATTTAATTGTAGATTTTCTTGGATTTTCCATGTAGACAAACATCCTGTTTTAAATAACGGCCATTTTGCTTCCTTCTTTTCAATCATCGTACATTATGTATTTTTCTCTTCTCTTTGTGCCAGTTAGGACCTCCAGGACAGGGCTGAAGAGACTGTGACGAGAGCAGAAAAGTTGTTTCATTCGTGATTCTAAAGAGATGCTTCTACAATTTCACCACTAAATAGACTATCAACTTGAAAGCACTGCTTAAGGTTGTGTTTCCTGAAGTGTGGTATGATTTTTCGTGGAACATGCTTTACGGGACTGGAGTAACTGCTGACTGACTAGGTGTGAGATAGGGACTGCAAACTCATTTCAAGTTCACTCACTCAGAGCAGAATGATTGGAGGCAAGTCTTCTGGAAAAAGCAGTGACCAGAAGACACGGCCTTTTAGAGTCATTTTCTGCCATCTGAGAACAGAGGGTCTCTGAGCAGATGGAGGTCAAGAATTTAATTGCCTTTTATTTGCTGTTACTGTTACCCTCAGTGTATGTCAAGGGATTTTGGGTTTCAATTTTTTATAGTAATATCAAGTTTCCTTTAAAATTGAATTTCATAAGTAATATCAATTTGATGACAACATTAAATTCATATTGCACAGGTGGTACTCACAATACAGCAGATGTGGCAAAAATCCTCAGGGTGGTTTGCAAATGTCTAACATGGTCAGATTTATGCTATTACAATGTATAACGCAGAAGATGAAAAGATGGAACGCGGTGAGGTGGTAAGAGCAGCGTCTGTCCAGCAGGCATATCTATTTCGGATTAAAATGAAGGCCAGTGACATCTTGCCTTACCATGTTCCACTTCATTGACCAGGGAATTTCCTAACATGTGGTTGACTTGTGTCACTGTCAGATAAAGTAGCAGGGAACAGTCTTTTAAAAGGCATGGTCCCCTTTACATTGCCCCCATGTCACTTTCTGCTAAGGAACATTTGAATTTTTATGGCTTTCCTGCAGTAACAAATTTTCCTCCTACTGTCAGGATTTGCTTCATGCAGAGTAAAGCGGGCAGCTTTCATTTTCCTCTTACGAATGGAATAGGTAGAAATAATATGCTGCTTAGCAGCCACCTAAACCTGCCCCGACTCTCTTTATTCATAGGGAAATGCAGGATTCAAGGAGAGGAGGTTTTTCAGCAGGGTAAATAAGCCTTCTCAACTGATGAACATTATTTTACTAATACCAAAGGCAACAAAGGCCAGGAGATGGGGGCATTAAGTAGAAAGGCAAACAGAAAAATAACAGACAAAATCCAGCATGGGGACAAAGCAGGCTCTGCAACACTGAAAAAATAGGGGAAAATCCTTTAAGAGAAAATTGGGTGCAATTTTTTGCCTCAATTAGCCTTTTCCACAAAGAGCACTTTTCCACAAAGAGCCCATTAAATAGCAAATGAAATTACATCGGTTTTCAGTTGCCATGGCATTGGTTCTTCCTCTAACGGACTTCTGTGGTCCTGAGCTTAATGTTAGCCTGACGTATTTTCCTCGTCTATATGTTGTCTCAATTCCCTCTGTCCAGCTACAAAGTGATGTATTTGAGTTCTCCCCCAGAGTATCTGTGACATAATCTAAGAGAGAGAAAATTTAGCCTTTGGCTATACCTCTAGAGACTGAGAGGGTAAAACTGATGAAGAGCAGCATTTCATTAACCATGAACCACACAGTTTTCATTTATTAGGTGGCAGTGGGTCCCCATCCATGCACTCAGGGCTTCTGGAGCCATTCCCAGATCTGTCAGTAATCTCAGTAACTATTTATTGAGCACTTTCTATGTGCCAAGCGCTGTCCAAGAAGCTGAGGCATAAAAATGCAAAGGAAAGAAAACAAGATGCTCACAGTCTTTTAGTTTCCAGGTTAGAAGACCTACCTGCAAAACACTTACTTTCTCCTCATGCATAAGATGGGTTGAAATTTTACCCAGTGATCTGATTCACAGGTTTGTTTTCTTATTTATATATCTGCCAGCTGCCACACTTTAAAAAAAATTATTCTAGCAGCAAGGATCTAAAATAACAGATTTGCCTTTTTGAAATTGCTTAGCTACAGTTAAACATTAGCTATAATATCAAGTTTCACTCTGATATTTTAAATATTATTTTGATATGCATAGTCACATATAATTTTCAGAAAAATACATCTATACAGTCCATACTGTCCCATAAGCTGCTTTTTACAACCTTCCCATGTGAATGGACATTCCTTTAAACATCATTTTAAATATCTGCATGGTATGGCGGTAACAACATGAAATTTTCTATTAGATATGTAAGCATTTTTCAGTTTTTCAGTAATATAAATGACTCTCTGAGGGCAAATAGGAATCAAGCAATTTTTTGAGACTCTAAATACATTTAAAAATTAAAAGTGCCTATCTATATATTTTCAATTGTGGTACATTTTAAATGTTTTTCTTAACCAATCAAAACTTCTAAGATGAAAATATAAGGTAAAATAAGTAAAATATACTCTAACTGCATTATTCTGAAAACTCTTACAGAATTAGGAGAAAGTCTCTAATTTCTAGTGTACTGCAGGTCATGTGACCAAGCACAATTCTAAGTTACATGATCAGTGTCTTTCTTTTTCTTTCTCCCCAGTTATCTCTTTGACTTTAGGTATAACCTAGTTCAGAGATAACATCTAAAGTCTGAATTTGAGGCCCTAAGTAAATGACAGCCCTGGGTAAAATGGTCTCCTGCCTAGAATTGGTCCCTAATCCTAGAGGCGAATTTTCTAAGTTACAAGAAAGTTTTAAGCTTTTGATATGTGTTATCAATTTGCCCCCCCCCCGCAGGCTGGTACCTATTTACATTCTATTAAGCGTGTGTAAGAGCACTTCCCTATGTGTTTGTCATATATGTATTATCTTTTGTATGCTTATTAACGTAACAAACAACAACAAAATAGCTAATTGTCATTTTAATTGACATGTTACTGATTACCAATGAAGGCTATCATTATGTCATATATTTATTTGCTGTTTATATGATTTTTCTTTTTTTTCCCTTAAATATTCCTGTTCTTGGTCGTTTTGTTCTTTTTCTTTTTTTACCTCTTTCTCTCTCTTTTTTTTTTAGTTGTTAGCCTCATTACTTTAATTGAAAAACTTCTGCGTATAGTAAGCCCTTTGTCATATAGTCTCAAATATTTTCCCCAGTTTTATGATTGCCTTTTAATTTTATGGTGTTTGCCCTTCTGAAGTTGAACATTTTTGCTTTCTCTAATTTATCTCTATTTTCTTTGTGAATTCGGCCTTTGATGACATGGCTTGAAAGAGTAAGTGGATCTTTAATGGACTTCTATTCTCTCTCCTTGATTCTTATAAGCCTAATTCATTAGTGTCAGCCTACAAGCATTGCCCAAGCTTCCCCCTACCTCTTTCTTCCTTCTCATCTCTAGGTAGTCTCCCTCTGTTGACAAGAACAAAAGAGATGGGGAATAACTGTACCGGCTGGGAAAGGTGACACCTCTAGGGAGTGAAAGGTTGGCCACTCTGTCAGTTTGTGGTTGATGAAGTCACATGAAAAGGCCACAATGTAAAAAGTTAACAAAGTTTCAGTTACACCGGATGATGAATAAGTTCTGAAGATCTAATGTATAGCAGGATGACTATAGTTAGTAACACTGCATTGTTTACTGGAAATTTGTTGAAAGTAGATCTTAAGTGTTCTTATTTATGATTAAGATGAAAAGATGGAATGCGGTGAGGTGGTAAGAGCAGCGTCTGTCCAGCAGGCCTATCTATTTCGGATTAAAATGAAGGCCAGTGACATCTTGCCTTACCATGTTCCACTTCATTGACCAGGGAATTTCCTAACATGTGGTTGACTTGTGTCACTGTCAGATAAAGTAGCAGGGAACAGTCTTTTAAAAGGCATGGCCCCCTTTACATTGCCCCCATGCTACATTCTGCTAAGAAACATTTGAATTTTTATGGCTTTCCTGCAGTAACAAATTTTCCTCCTACTGTCAGGATTTGCTTCATGCAGAGTAAAGTGGGCAGCTTTCATTTTCATTTCATTATTACGAAAAGTGAGACAAAAAATGTTTTAATTAGAAAGTTAATGATTAAATTAATATATAATTTCTAAAATTCCTTAAACTCTTAAAAATAAAAAGCTTGCATGTTTAAACTAATTAAATTTAAAAATCAATAAAGATAAAAACTAAATCTAAACATAAATGAATGAGTAAATGTGAAGAGTGGTGATGGCTACACATAGAAAATGTGAGTAAGCTCCAAATTATGCCTAACCTTGTCCCTGTAGCTTCCTTCCTAAGTGGGAGGCTGCAAAAGCGAAGAAGAGCACAATTGCTGGAGGGAGGTCACAGGTCACTATTATCTACAGTTGGAGATCAGAGGAAAACCTTGTGTGCCAAAGTAAGTGATTCATAGAAATAACAGTTGAAGATGTATGAGACAGGATAACTGAAAGGTTCCAGTCTTTCAGAAGTTGAGATGAGATGAAATCCAGAGAATATGGGATACAGCCTCATTTTTAACAAGTGAACCAAAGAAGAAGGAGAATATGCTGGGCTGAATTTTTTCTTCCCCTTCATTTCCGCAGGTTGAAAAGATCATGGCTTTTTTTTTTTTTTTTTTTTTTTTTTTTGAGACAGATCTTGCTCTGTCACACAGGCTGGTGTGCAGTGGTCCAATAATAGCTCACAGCAGCCAGCCTCAAACTCGTGAGCTCAAGCAATTCTCCTGCCTCAGCCTTTCGAGTAGCTAGGAATACAGATGCACCACCATGCCTGGTTAATTTATTTTTCCTTTAGTAAAGATGTGGTCTCACTATGTTGCCCAGTCTGATCTCAAACTCCTGGCCTCAAAAGGTCCTCCTGCCTCAGCCTCCCCAAAGTTCTGGGATTACAAGCATAAGCCACGGCTCCTAGCCACATGGCATCTTTTATAAGTCCAGTAATCCTACTACATTTCTCTAGTAAGTTTCTTCTCCCATTTTTTTTCTCCCGAACCTCCCATTCCTTCTCCATTCTTATGAAAATGTCTATGCTTTCTGCTCTCCTCTCATTTTTTGGCTGGTGACTTTGACACATTGTTGAGGGGAAAAACCATCCGAACTCCCTCATCGTAGCACCATCAAATCTATAAATATTCTGGCATTTAAAACCATCTTTTACTTTGTCCCGCTTCTTAAAAATGAGGATGCTCCCAGCTACTTGGGAGGCTGAGGCAGGAGAATGGCGTGAACCCGGGAGGCAGAGCTTGCAGTGAGCCGAGATCGCACCACTGCACTCCAGCCCAGGCGACAAAGCGAGACTCCGTCTCAAAAAAAAAAAAAAAAAAAAAAAAAAGAGGATGTATCCCGTAGTCTCTGGATTTAATCTCATCTCAACTTCTGAAGGACTTTCAGTTATCCTGTCTCGTGCATCTTCAGCTGTTTTCTTTCTATGAATCATTTCCTTTAGCACACAAGCTTTTTCTTTGATCTCCAACTGTAGGTAAGTCTTGCCTGTGACCTCCCTCCAGCCCCCTCCAGCAATCATGCTCTTCTTATGTTCACTTCTGCAGCCTCACTTCTTTTTACCAATTGTTTACCTGTGGCATCTCTGGTTTCTTACCACCCATTTGCACTTTATACCATTCAAATCTGGCTTTTAACACTGTTTCACCAAAACTATTTTTGTCAGTGATAACTCTGTCACCTAATCTAATGAACATCTAATTAACCCTGGGTAGCTATCACTATAGCTGGCCACTCTCTGCTTCTGGAACCTACTACCTCTTTCTTTGTCCTTGTGTTGCCAAAATACTCTTGGTTTTCTCCAATTTTACTTATCAGTATATCTTACTCTCCTTTACTGGTTTCTCCTCATCCTTCTAACATTGAAATGTTAGAATTCATTGGGGCTTTTTCATAGATTCACTTTTCTCTATATATACTCTTTATCCAGGCGATTCCATTGATTTCCTTGACTTCAAATACAATCTATAGGCCAACAATTCTGAAATTATACCTTTAGTCCAGGGCTCTGTTCTGAAATCTATACTTTTATATAAAGTGCATCCTTGACATTTTCACTGAAGTTTCAAAGAGATATGAAAACTCTCATACTTAAAACTGATCTAGGAGGACTCACTCTATCTGATTTCAAGACTTGATACAAACCTGTGGCAATCAAGTCAGTGGAGCATTAGGGAAAAAAATAAAAAGATATATAGGTCAATGGAATAGGCTGGAGTCCAGAAATAAACCCATACATATATTGCCAATTGATTTTTGACAAAAATACTAAGGCAGTTTGATGGTGAAAGAATATTCTTTTCAACAAATGGTGTTGAAACAACTGGGCATCCATATAAAAAAAGACGAACCTAACCCATAACTTATACCATATAAAAAAATTAACTCAAAATGAATCCTACACCTAAAAGTAAAATCTGAAATGACAAAACCTCTAGAAATAAACATATGAAACAAATTTTTTGCTAGGAGGAAAAAAATTGGTAAATTGAATTTATCAGAACTAAATACTTCTTCTCTTTGAAAGATACTGTTAGGAAAATGAAAAGAAAAGCCACAGAATGAAGAGAAATACGTGCAAACTATGTATCTGATAAATGACTAGTATTCGGAATATATATCAAGAACTCTCTCAAATCAATAAGAATACAGGCAACCCATTTCTTTAAAGGAGTAAAAGTTACAGACATTTCACCAAAGTAAATAATATACAGATGGCAAATCAATACATGAAAACATGTTCAACATCCTTAGTCATCAGAGAAATTCAAATTAAAACAATGAGATACCATTACAAACATATTTAGAATGGCTAACATTCTAATGATCTACCCCCCAGTAGAGGGACATTTAGAATGTTAGCCAATATGTTAGCTATTCTAATATGTTTGTAATGATTGCAAACTGATGTTGCCCACGCTGAACTCAAACTCCTAGACCCAAGCAGTTCTCCCACCTTGGCCTCCCAAAATACTGATATTATAGGTGTGAGCCACCGTGCCCAGCCTAATTTTTTTTATCTCACATTATCAAGTTCTGCCAAGCAACTGGAATTCTCATACATTGCTGATAGAAATACGAAATGACAGAACTACTTTGGAAAACAGTGTTGCAGTTTCTTATAAATTTACCACATAGCCATCATCCCACTCCTAGGTATTTATATAAGAGAAATAAAAAGTCCACATAAAAACCTGTATGCAAATGTTTATATCAGCCTTTCTTTGAAAACTGACAAAACCTAAGGACATTCCAAATGTCCCTCTACTGGGGGGTAGATCAATTTTGTTATGTGTATACAATGGAATACTACTCAGCAATAAAAAGGTCTAATTTATTGGTCCATGCAACCATATGGATGGATCTCAAATGTATTATGCTAAGTGAGAGAAACCAGACTCAGAAGCCTACATATTTTATATTTTAATGTATATGACATTCTGAAAACAGGCAAAATTATAGGGACAGAAAACATCAGTGGTTGTCTGTAGATGTAGAGGGGGAGAGGACTAACTACAAAGGGCATCAGGAAACTTTTTAAGATGATTGGCATGATAGTTTCACAAAAACAATATTTCTCAAAATGTTAAATTGTACTGTTAATTTTGCTGAGTGAAAATTATACCTCCATAAACTGACTTTTTAAAAAATGGATTTAATGATTATCCCTACATAGGTGCCTCTTCCTCAAGTTTCTTTACCTCAAAAAATGGCATCACTATCTGCCTATTTACTAAAACCTGAAACCAGGCAATGATACTTGGGACTTCCTTTTTCCTTCACACCCCACCCACATCCAATCCATCTCTGAATCCCAACAATTCTACTTCCAAAATGTATTGCAAACCCATCTCCTAAACTTCCTATCTGAGCTTGCCCCTGGTGCAAGCCACCATCTTCTCTCACCTAGACTATTACAATAGCTTCCCTACTGGTCTCCCTGCTTCCATTCTTGTCTACCTCCAATCTATTTTCTGCATAGCTCCAGAATAATGACTTTAAAGGAAAATTAAATCATGTCACTGTCTTACTGAAAACTTTTTTGTGGCTCCATTTCAGAGCCCTACACTTTGACCCTCAAAGGCCCTGTAGGATCTAACACATCCAATGTCATCTTGTAACACTCCCCTCTACCCTCTTGTCCTTCCCACCCTACCCCACACCCATGATACTCTGGTCATAGTAGCCCTCTTCTATCTGTTTAATATTCCAAGTTTTATTGCTCTCTTAGCAATTTTGCTCAAGCTATTTCCTATAGCTAGACCCCTCTTCCTCTCGGCGTTCTTTTTTAATGGCTGTCTCCTTCCCATTTGTTTTTTGTTTGTTTTTGTTCTTTGTTTTTTGTTTTGAGACAGGGTCTCACTCTGTCAGTCAGGCTGGAGTGCAGTGGCATAATCACAAGTCACTGCAGCCTTGACCTCTTGGGATCAAGTGACCCTCCTACCTCAGTCTCCTGAGTAGCTGGGACCACAGGTGCATGCCACCATGCCCGGCTAATTTTTTTTGCTTTTTGTAGAGATGGGGTCTCCCTATGTTGCCGAGACTGGTCTCGAACTCCTGGGCTCAAGTGATCCTCTCACCTTAGCCTCCAAAACTTCTGGTACCACAAGCATGAGCCACAGCACCTGGCCGTCCTTTTCATTCTTAAAATTTCAGCCTACCTAGCATAATATCCTTAGAGAAGACTTTATACATTTTATAGTAATTCACTTCTGACATCCTCATTCATAACTCCTGTTTTCTCCTTCAAAACACTGTCCCAATTTATAATTATATATTTATGAATTTATTTTGTTAATATTTGTCTCCCTTATTAGAATATACTTTCTTTGAGGGCAGGAGTATTTTCTCTTTTTCATTGACTTAGTGCATTACCTGATGCATAATAGGAGCTAAATAAATATTTGTTAAGTAAATGAGTAAATGAATGAACTTCCTGCTATTAGATAATAAGATTTTAATGTGATCATCATTGAATTACCTGAATCAACAGAACTATGTATTTTTTAGGGCCTTCTGTACTAGGCATAATTGCATCTTTATGCTTACTACATCATCTGGGGTAGGTAGGGGTCACAAAGTCTTGAAACCATGAGTGTACAAGCAGACAACAATGTTGGCCACCCAGAAAGGCTTACCTCTCCAAACCAATTGCTTGGCACAGAGAATGGAACTTGGAGTTGTACAAAAGTGCAAAGCTGTGTGTCCACTTAAGGAGTAGCAATTGAGCTTTGCCCCACGATCACAGAGGATCTTAACACAATCCACATTGGCCATTTCACAAGCCACGTGAAGAGGGGTTTTCCCATTGGGTCTACAGTTGATTGTAGCATTGTGGTCCAGTAGCACCAGAAGACATTCCACATGGCCAAACAAGACAGAGAGATGGAGGCCTGTGGCCCAGGAAGACTTCAATTTATAGCTAGGCAACCAGTAACCTGAAAAAAAAAAAAAAAAGGAAAAGGAAAGTTTAACTTCTTGACCTAGGCTTTCTCCCTGTTTTGTGAGGATTTTTACAAGTATTTTATTTTGGCCACATTTATAAAAGTGGGGTGGAGAGGGGATGACAGAGGTTTTAAACTAATAGCTAATGGGTCTGCAAGCGTTTTGTTAAATAGCATATTCTGATATTCATCAGGGGAACAGGCTTTCTCAAGCTCTCACTGTCTCTACTGTTTCTTATTACTGTGTCTTGTTCCTTTATTTACTTTACCTTTCTAGGTCTTGAAGGCATTTAAGTTTGGGATCTTCATTTATGTAATTGTATTTTATTTTGCATGCTGAGTTATTTGAGATGCTTCAAGGATATTTTTTTAAAAAACTTTCAATCATTGAGAGTTTGTCTTGAATGATTCCAAGGCTGTCAGTTGCAAGCTTATAATTTTTATTCTATCCAAAATCTTTTTTCCTATAGTTGTTGTCAATCCAACATATGAATATATTTAATCTTTTTAAAAAAATTATCACTCCAAGATTTTATTTGCCTGCCTGTTGATTTATGCAATATCGCTTTCCAAAGACGAATTTAAGGCAACTCTCAACTTTCACACACTTAAAGATTTTTTAAACGATTTAGAAAATAAGGGCAAAATAAAAAAGTAGGAAAATAAAAATGTCAAAAGTAAGACAAATACATACACAAAATATAAACTGTATCCTATACACTAGAATGGCATTGCAAATTTGCCTTTGAATTTCCTAGCAGCCAAAATAAACAGGAAAATAAGATATGTTGCATAATTAACTATGTCTACAAGCCATACATAAATGATTGGGCAGGGGAAGCATAGATGTGCCTAGAACTGAGATCTTCAATAATTTTTCCCATTGGTTTTTGGAAATGTGCATTCTCTCTCTCTGCCTCTCTCTCTCTCTTTTCTCCCACTGATCTCTGACTTCTATACGCTGAGCTGGTCTTTTTTCTATAAATCTGCAACTATTGCCACATTTGACAAGCTATAACTATGATGACTTTATAAACCTTCTTTCTATGTCAATGCCAATAGCCATAGCATTTAAGCTTTTATGAATGGAGAACGGAAAATAGGTACAGAAAGAAAAAATACTGAGGGCAAGAAGATGAAGAGATAGTTCTTCAACAGTCACAGCGTAGAAGTTACTTTAGGGCTGAAACAACAAAATAAATTTTAACATGGATAAATCAAAAGTTTGCTTATAGATTATAAAAATTCCACTTACAAGTACAAAGTAAGCAGAATATGATTTAATGGTCATTTATTTGAGAAACAACCTAGGGATTTGAGCTGTAATCTCAAAATAAGCCAACAGTGGGATGGTACTGCCAAAAAACTAATACAATCTGAAACTACATTAATAAAAGTGTAGTGTCCAGAACAAGAGAAGTAAACATTGTATTCTTCACTGATTAGATAAGGTCATAAGAAATCTAGAATATTACGATGACTGCTGGGCATTGCCCCTTACAAGAAATGATGAACTACTAGAGGGTGCTCTGAGGATGATGACCACATTAAAAGTGGGCCTGGTGATCAGGTATTAAATTTCTCTCATTTAAGTGAAAAACACTAGAGACATGCCACTCCTGGGTATTTATCCTATAAGCATAAACACCCATGTGAAATGTCCTAAAGGACCACTGTATTGCACAACTCCACAAAAAACAACATTTGCATTGTACTCTGTGAAATGTGCTCCTGGACTTAGGAATCTTGACAACCTGGTCTACATACAAGAACATGCACTACACTACAGCATTGTTCGAATGGTTAAACAACCTCCATGTTAATTGATAGGAGATTGCTTAAATAAATTATGATACATCCGTCAATCAAATACTATACAACCATTAAAAAAAGGGGCAGTTCTATATAGACTGAAATGGAAAGATCTCAAGATATATTACTGAATGAGAGAAGCAGGGAGCCAAACAGTATACAAACTATGCTATCATATGCAAATACATTTGTAAACACTGAGAACACGAAACTGGTTATAGTGGTGGCCTCCAAGAAGAACTGGGGGGTTGGGGGATCAGGACAGAAATGCACTTGTTCTTGTTACAAGGAGGTAACATACCAAGTTACCTCCTTGGCAACTTCTAAATTTAGTATCCTGTGCATGTATTGCTTTTTAACAAAAATAAATAAAATCAAAATAAGCTATTGTCTCTCTGTCCAGAGGGGAAAAAATAATTTAATTTAAAGAAGCTATTTACAAGGTTGTGCACAGTGATTAATCCCACAGGAATGAATGAACTCAACCCAAAGTTTGTCTGTCTTTCTGTAATGTATCCTCCAACCTAGCTATACACACACACACACATACACACACACACACACACACACACACACACTTTCATCTCTTTTTTACTCCATTCAGAATTCTAGAGCCATCTTGCTTTCTCTCTCTCCCACCTTTCCCTTTATCCAAATCTCCTCTTTAAAAAGAAATCCAGTTATTTCACATTAAGGTCTAATGGACTGAGGATTGTTTAAAGTATGATCACTCTGAGGATTATCTGAATTTATAGAAGAATCTATATTCAGCTAATAGAATTAAATTCTAATATATTACTTTGAGATTCCAGACACTGGGAAGAGATGGTGTTGGATTATATGGACTTTCCATGGCAGAACTAAGTAGTGTCATAGACAGTCTGGGCTGGGGAGCATCAACTCCACGCCTCGTGTGTATGTGTGTGCAAATTGATATGCACACACAATGTATGTACATATAGATTCATTTATACATTTCTATTGAGTTATGTACATTGAATCTCTGTTCCGAGCAGAGTTCCTAAGCTGTATGTCATGCAGCTTGCTTTTGATGATGAACGAATCACATTAACTTCAATACTTAATCAGTCATTTTAATACTCAAATTTCCTCAAAAAGCAACTGGCAAAAACAGTCTTTCCTAACTGCCTAAGAAGTTGGTTCCAGGTCTGAAAACCAGGATGTGTTTTGCCTGCTGATTAACAGCAAAAATTAGGCAGCTCTCTGTGACAACTGATTGGAAATTTGCGCCTGCTTCTGCAATGGGAAGAAAAATGATCCCAGAAAGGAAGCAGCAGAGAGCTGATTAAGAAAACACCATTTTGATGTAAAATCAAAGAAACACAGAATGTTAGCGCTGGAGGGAAGATTATCCAGTCCAAGCCTTTCATTTTCCAGATGAGAAAACTGCCACTTTTTCAGCCTGCTAGAGCCATGAGTTGCCTGCCTCAATCCAAACTCATGGACTCAGAATACCCGCAATGCAGTTTTCATCTGTCTTTGTCTTTGTGGAAGCAGAATAGAATTACCTCCAAGCCTGCTTCACAAATCACAAGGAAAGGAAGAAGATCCTCAATTCATCTGTAATATTTCACATCTCTGATATGGAAATGCATTTGCTAGTTGAATTTTTTTCCTCCTCCTAACTTCCAGGTAGCACCTAAAGACTCTATCCTGTTCGTGTATTATGTGAGTCAGTCATCCTTGGCCTCTCAGTCAGTTTCTTCTGCATCTCCTGTAATCATAAACATTATCTGGTCAATCAGGCTCACAGACTACAAGGTCCTGGAATTCAGCCAACTCCCAGAATGGAGTTGTGGTTACAACTCACCTCTCCTAAGATAGGAATGTGTGTAGGTAGGTGGTAACAAGACACCTTAGCTGCTGCCTCTGGGGAGCTGAAGTGGAGAAATGGCAAGAGGACAGTTTGCAGGCTATAGCTTAGGGTATACTGAAGTGTATCTGGAAGCTGTGTTGCAAAACTTTGGTGGTAATGTGGGGCTAGGGATTTTTGAATAATTCAGCCCTGAGCATATCAGGAAAGTCTGCTGCTTTGAGCAGAGAAAAGAGCAGCCCCTGGCAAAAGGGCCATCAGCGTACAATCATCACTTTAAAATGAGGCTGGGCCTACAGGTCACTGTGTAGCAAGTGTGGAAGTAAATACACTTACTGTCATGGAGGACCAAACCCCAGGTAAAGCTATCTTCAAAAACTACAGATGAGGCTGTGCCTATTCACAATCTTCTGCTGATGCTGATATGTCAAGAGATCAGAATTTGTCCCCCAAAATATAACCACCAATGACCACAGCATGCTAGAAACACAATTAACTGATGAGGCAGATTCATTTTTTACACACTCCCTTCTTCCCACAGCAAAATTTTTCCAGGGCTTCGAAACCTAGAATGTGATTTATTCCTAGTATTTGTCTTTCAAAAGCCCCCCTCTGCTCACCTCTGCAGACTTCAGGCTGCCCTTTTACTATGTGTTTAGACTTCACAAAGGACAGAGGTGAGGGAGAACCGGGGAACCAAGCCCATGGGAGCTAGGGGTGGGAGGTGAAGCAGCGGCTGCCTCCCTCTAATGTAAACCACTCACACGCTACCCCATGTCTAGAGTCTGTGTGCAGTGACAGCTCCTTGCAGAAGAGTTCTGTTTGAATAAGAAGCTCCACTAAGAAGAAAAGAAAAATAGAGATTATTTCCCCTGTGTACAAAACCCACAGGAACTCCCAAATACAGGCCATGCCCATGTGGCTTTGACCATGATACATAATCTGTTTACATAGTTTCACCTTCATAATGTGATTAATTATCTGCATGCCAGAATCTGAACTTAGAGAGGGTCTTGTCAAAGCTTCCATTTTACAAATGAAGATAATTAGTCTGGAAGAGGTTAAGTAGTATAAAGTGTCCATGTTCATATAACAAGTACCCACAGAATCAACTCTAACTCTCAAACTCCATTGCCCCCAAATCTTTAAATAGCCGTCTATGATCCGAAGGCTACATGCAGTTTACCTCCAAACTGATATCACTTGTAGCTAAAAGTTCTAAAGGAATTTGAGAAGTTTTATCCCTGAAAAGAAAATATGCAGACTAATCGTGTGTGTGTGCACGCGTGCGCGTGTGTGTTTAATTTAAATCTGAAACCAAAGAGATATGCCCCAATAGCTGGGTAGAAAGCTGCCTAGAAATATAGCAAGGAGCAAAGTGTTTGGGCCTTCTTTTGGAAGAGGGGATTGGTTCTGCTCCAGCGTTTGGAGAGGATGTACACATTTCTGGTAAACCTTCAGCTAAGCCTGGGCTCTGCAACAGTTATCAACTATAATGTTATCTGAGTCAAAAGAACCCCACACATGAGAAGCCTCTGTTATTACAGCCAAAGGTTACACACACTGCTCGTGGCTGGATTAGCAGACATTTGCTCTGCCTGTGTCCATGTATTTACACAGTCCTGAAGGATTACAGACTGAAGCACAATTCTTGGCTATTTTTTAATAGCTAATATTTTCCAGATAACTCAAAGTTCCCCTGGGAAGGGGGGATAAAAGCAAGTTTGAAGTGTAAAATGTAAAAGAAAAAAGTTTGAACATCGAAGAAAGGAAAAGAACCCTAGGATGGAAATGGGAAAGCAGGAGAGTGAATTTCTGGCAAAGAGGAAAATTAGGTGATAAAGAAATTATTCATTCAGAGAGTGGAAATAAGAGCTTTCACAATATTGGGATATAAGTTGCTACTTAGTAAAGGAAACAGAGTACCTGCCAGAAAGTTTTTTAAGTGAAATCATTCATTGGTTATTTTAATTAAAAATATGACTACCAACCAAGGAATCAGTGGCTATGGGCCATAAACGAAGTACTTAAAGTGCATTACCCTGATTAATAAAAGGACTCTGATTAACCTTGCTGACTAGGGAATTTCATACCAAAGAGATAAGTATGAAATTCTGCCTGTATCATTTATGAGCAAAAGCTCATACATCTGAAGGAAGATCAAGTTGGTAAAGCCTTTGGAAACAGTTTTATGGACAGTCCTTCGTCTTTCCAGTATGGAAGTAACCAGTGAAAACCAATAGAAGGGACATTTGTGTTTTCTTTAAAGATTTCTTCTGTGCTTGACTTCACTCTAAATACTCAGTGGTTGGCTCATAATTAATGTTATATCACTGACATCCCTTGACTTTCAATGACTTATTGCATTTGGCAGTTAGAAAGTCATTCTTTATGTTTTCTTTATATCGTTTTTATTTTAAAGTGATCATCTGGTAAACGCAATTTTGGCTTACTTGTTTTTGCTTTTAAGACCCATTATCTCCGCCATTCCCAGGGAGGTCTCTCAAATGCCAACCAGCACATTTTAAATGTTTGCTTTACAAAATGTGAGAAAAGTTTCTTTAAATTAATAAAACATGATTTCATCTGCAGATTTTATTATGAAGCTTAAAATAACTTAGAAAAGTAAAGTGAGAGCTCTCTAACTTTAAGAATCATGATTAGGTGCTGGAGAAAGACAGGATCCACAGTTTGAACATGAACTCTGGAGGCTGGCTTCTAAATCTGTTCTCTGCCAAATTGGTAAGAGAAGCTATTCAATGAGATGGGCCCAGTGCTACAGAGGAAAGCAGAAATGAGCTTCCAGACTTATTTGTAATCCAATAGCTTTATTCTGTCTTCCTCACAAAATACACATTTCATATTTGCTTATGAGCTAAACTTTTGATTACTGGTGTGCCCAGTAGATTGTAAATTTGGGAAGCACTATTTAGATTTTAGGTGATTTATTTGCCAGCAGAGTTCTGAGTTCCCTTTTCAAAAATTATACACTGACTTTCATATAGGCTTAGATGGACTATATTTAGGGATAAAATTTAGTTACTTCTTAAATCCTATAAAAATGCTGTATGTTCTAAATAAATAAGAATGGTTTAGAATTGATTGTACTACTTTTCACTTTCTATAGGACTATCAAATGTTGAATATAGAATTTTAGTATTGATTACACAAGGAAATTTAAGAGTAGCATGAGATTCGTTATAGGTTTTGTGCATTGTCTTTCTTATTAAGCCAAAAATAACTGAAACCTGAAGATTCCCACACTTTAAAAGTAAACAGGAATGCTCTGTTTCCTCATCTGGATGCTGGTTACATAGGTTTGTTATTTTGTGAAAAGTAATCAAGCTGCACACTTATTTATGCACTTTTGCGGAGAGCTTTTCAAAAGTGCTTTAAAAAAATCAAAGAGCAGTGTGTAGCAGTTCAACAGCGTCCAAGGTCCAAAACTTCTCCTTTGATTTAATAAAGTCTCACAAACTTTAATCCAGCCACATACCTTTTAAGGCCACACAGAAATGGGTCCTATTCCTTTGAACTATTTAGAAAAGAACTAACTAACCACTGTAGACTGCTCAGCTCCACGCTGTTGCCTGACAATGACTTTATGACTTAAGAAATTGATATAACCACTTAGATCTACTAGCAGCTAGGATTCTATTTGTCATTTCCATTCCTAACTTTCCATTCCTAAGTTTAAAAGGATCGATGATAAGGTTGGAAGCATGTGAAAAAAATTGGAAGAAACTTCTTTTTTTTTTTCTTTTTGAGACGGAGTCTCCCTGTGTCACCCAGGCTGGAGTGCAGTGGCGCCATCTGGGCTCACTGCAAGCTCCGCCTCCCGGGTTCACACCATTCTCCTGTCTCAGCCTCGGGAGTAGCTGGGACTACAGGCGGCCGCCACCGCGCCTGGCTAATTTTTTGTATTTTTAGTAGAAATGGGGTTTCACCGTGTTAGGCAGGATGGTCTCTATCTCCTGACCTCGTGATCAGCCCACCTCGGCCTCTCAAAGTGCTGGGATTACAGGCGTGAGCCACCACTCCCGGCCTGAAGAAACTTTTAAGAAAGATGAAGTTTTAACCTGGGTTTAAGACTAAAGAGACAGGTCCTTGTGCCCATGTGCGTATTAAACAGAGTAGTGGAGAAGTGTGTTTCAAGTGTGTTTCTTTCTACACATGAGTGCAGACACAAATTTCCTGCATAAACCCTAAAAGTAAGACCACAAATTTTACTAGTTCTGTGCAAGCATCCACTTGGCATACATAAGAATGGAACTGTTCTTTTCCTTTTCCAGAGGGTGTAATTTGCTATCTCCCTAATTGAAAGCCACATCCCACAGTCCTAACACTATGAAAACACCTCAATTCGTGGGAATGAAAATTTAGCTCTATGAGGACCATAGGAGTCAGCTCATATTGACAAGAAGAATTTAAAATGTATTTTCTTTTCCTTCAAGGAAGATGACACCGGTGGAAGTAGGAGAACCAACCCCACCTCTCCCCTCCACTTCCCTAGAGCCTGCACCTAAAACTTGGTTTCTTATATCCTCAGAAACTTCCCACAATCTGTGCAACTTGGCCTGCTCAGATGAGAGAAGACAGTCTTTGCAACTCAGGGTCAAATAACTTACCCACTGACTTGAACCTGAGTTATTTCACCCTAGGCACAAATATAAGCTTTTTAAAAACATCTTAAAAATTAGTTTAGCATTCAGACATTCTATCACTGAACAAAATTATAAGATGAAAGCAATCTGATTATATAGTATACAAATTTTCTAACAGACCCCATAAACTTTTTAAAAAATAGATCCCTTCTTTGTCTTCCCATCAAAATATTAATGCCATTAATGCCAAAATATTATAAAGCCCTTGAGTAAAAATCATAAACATAGTAACTAGCCTGAGCTCTTCTATATGTCCCTCAGAACTGACAATCGGAGGACAGTAAATTAATGAAGAAATATATACTGTACCATTAGCATTTGTATCTGGAAATGTATTATACTGATGATTTATAGATGGCCAGAAATCATTTTTAAACATTAAAATAATGACTGTCTCTAAATGCTATACACAAGACCTTAGCATCTATATTGTATTAAACATTAGTGATGTTGAGCAGCATGTTTGCAGTATGCTCGCCAGATGATCTAACTACTCACGTTCCCCCAATTAACCAGTTGATTTGGGAAATCAGAATCAGTGGAACTCTAATTCATTTCTGATTTATTAAGCATGGGTTCCAGAAAATTCCTTGGTAAAAAAAAATTGGTCTAATTTTTGTTTTCCTTAGGTCGTTATAAGACAGATATTCTGTATTAAACACATCTACAATTTTGAACAATTATTGTAGTCCAGGAAAAAAGTTAACTTTTTGGTTTTGCTGAATTCAGCTTTTGTGCCTGAACTGAAAACTCATTAAAATGAAGAAGACCATGAAGGTGCCTGTGGCACCGCTTTATCCATTTATTAACCCTCCAAATGTTGGGGAGATTCCTCTTTTTCATCCACATGGACATAGAGAGGATATATCTTTAAGTAGCTGTTAATGGAGAATTAGCAGCGTGTTCTTAAACCAGGTACATTGTCTAAGATAGGGTTTCAACAATCTGCTTAGCCATAATCTAAAAATGTTTTCTTCCTTCTATATCATCATAGTCAGAAGAAAAGTTAAAAACAGAGAGAGTGCATTGCTAAAAATGATTGTCTGGGATTTCAAGTCCTAGGCCCAAGGGTGGGAAAAGAAAAGGAGAGACACGACTTATACATATATATCAGCCCACAATGTGTTTTAGTTTAAAAAGAAAGAAAATATCAATTTAGAAATATTTTTTAAATGAATACTTAAAGAAACAATAAAAACTACTGTTTAGAGTGGATAACTGACACTGTGCATTTTTTTAAATCATTTTCTAACAGTTCTACAATAACACCTATATGTTTTTACCTTGTTTATAAGATGCCAAAACCATATTCTCATCTTCGACTTCAAAAACAGTGTCCACATCTATTTGCCTTTGGATCAAAATAGCCTTCAATTTTCCGAAGTCATTGGACTTTAGCGCCTCAAGGAAATTTCTCTTAACTAACTTGGCAGCTCCAGATTTAGTGACAGGGGCAGTGGTGCCGTCCATCCTTCCTCTCCCTCTGGAAGCTTTGTTGTGATTTATCGAGAGAACAGCACCGAGCAAACAGGCGCATGCTGGAGAGTCCACAAACTGTCGGCTAATTTTATCCCAAAGTTATGCTGATCCGTTCTATTTATATAGGGATCATTTCAAACTTCAAAATATCCTTCTTGGCTGTCACTACATTTTCAGGTCCTTTAAACTGGTTATATATTAACTGATCCATTCAGTAATATATAGTGTCAATATGAACGAAAGCCCCCGTGATACATTTCCAGGCATGAAATGTCACAATTATTTCTTATATGATCAAAGTAATAATATAAGATTTAAAAGCTCTTAATGCTCTTTTTTTCCCCTCAATAAAAACATCTGGTGCCTGGCTGGAGATCCAGCGTCTTGCTCTGACAAGCCAATATCCAAAAATGAAAATCTGTTACAGTTGTGGATACATTTGCTTCTAAAAACCTGTAATAATTTTGCAATATGAGCTTGTAAAATCAACCATTGTCATACATATCTGAAGACAAACAGGAGGTTTTCAAGTGACCTAGACTTGAAAAATTTTAATATGAAAAGCTGGGAAGGGAGGAGGTGGGGAGACGGTCCGGGGCAGGGACTCTTTTAGGTAAAAAAGAAACTGAAGAGATAAAACATTTAAATGCAACATGTGAATGAACTTTATTGAATCCTGTTTTTTAATCAGCTAGAAAAGACAGTATTGTGGAACTATAAATGTGGACTAGATATTACTTGACAATATAGAAGTGTAATGATAAATGTGGTTATGTAAAAAAAATTCTTACTCTTAAGTGATACATTAAGGGATAAATTGTCATGATGTCTAAAACTTCTTTAAAAATAGCTCAGAAATGCAGACAGATAAATAGATGTGTGTGTATGTGTATATACATATATATACATATATACACATATATATACATATATACATATATACACATATATACACACACATATATACATATATACACATATATACATATATACACACATATATATATGTGTGTGTAAATAGAAACAGAGAGATAGCAAGTGTGGCAAAAACTTAAAGACTTGGTGAATCTAGTAAGGGATATATTGGTATCCATTACATTATTCTTTCAGCTTTTCTGTAAGTTTGAAATTTTTCAAATAAAAAGTTGGAGAGAAAAGTATACACTTAATTTTTCTTACATAAAATCATTAAAAATTAGGAAAATTATAATAGCAAGTTCTAAAGAGAATGCAAATAAATTGCATTTTTATATGTCGTTTGTGGAAGTCAAAACTGGTGCAAACTTTCTGCAGAATAATTAAAAACATGA
Source organism: Homo sapiens (assembly GCF_000001405.40). NCBI lineage: Eukaryota > Metazoa > Chordata > Mammalia > Primates > Hominidae > Homo > Homo sapiens. Next base: position 95,484,652 of record NC_000007.14, on the reverse strand, counting down.
ATTTTTAAAAACTTACAATGATACTATTTGATTCTTAGAATTTACTTAAGCATGTAAATGATGCAAATCACAACATAATTTTAAACTTATTTTATTGATGTGTAATATAAATGCAAGAAATTGGCAAGTTACAGGTATACAGCTTGTCAAATTTTTAGTGAACAAACTCATGTAATCAACATTGAGGTTAAACCATAGACTAGTTCAAGTTTACCTGAAGCCCCCTTTATGTCCTCTTCTAATCAAAACACCTGCCTCAAAGAGATAACAATAAATCTTAACTTCTAATACTATAGATTAGTTTTGTTTGTTATTTTTTTTTGAGACAGGATCTCACTCTGTCACCAGACTGGAGCACAGTGGTGTGATCTGGGCTCACTGCAACCTTTGCCTCTCAGGCTCAAGCCATCCTCCCACCTCAGCCTCTGGAGTAGTTAGGACTATAGGCATGCAACCAGCACATCTGGCTAAATTTTGTGTGTTTTTTTGAAGAGACAGGGTTTTGCCATGTTCCCCCGGCTGATCTCCGACTCCTAAGTTTAAGCGAACCTCCTGCCTCAGCCATCCAAAGCGCTGGGATTACAGCCATGAGCCACTATGCCTGACAATTTTTTTTTTTTTTTTTTACTTTTTAATGTTAAACATTTTACAATTTTTGAAGATTTTAAATTATATAATTTTTGAAAAATAGCAACAACAAAAAGAGCCATATATGGAAATACTTCCTCAACCAAGGGATTGGCTCCCAACTGACTCTCTGTGACACACTGCTTTTGTTGAAATTGTATTGGCATTTTTAGGGAGCACTTTGCAAGTCTGTTTTATGCTATTGTTATGATTCTTTCCACAAATACCCATCGAGTATCTACCATTTGTCAGACACTTATTCTGGGCACTGCAGATACAGCAGTGAACAAACACAGAAATCCCTGCCCGTGTGTAACTTAGCTCACTAACAGATTTAAGTGGCGATGGGAATCCCTAGATCGCCTCCATTTCCCATACACTAGAATTTGTCACAAAGCTGCAAATATACTAAATTTCATACAAAAATAATATAGTTTGTTTATATCTAATCATTTGATCTGATCCCCCATTATGGGTCTCCCCACCTAACTCAGTGGCAAAAAGAAGGACAATTTAATTTTGTCCAACCTGATGTGTTAATCTGATCCAAATATTTAGCAGTCTCTTTAGGTAAATGATCAGTCTCTTTGAATAAAATTCTCTGTGTTTGAGAGTTCAGGCTTTCCCTCTAAGAGAGCTTCAGGGAATATGGGATACATGGAGGAACAATATTCACAATGCTAATATTTAACAACTGGTATTAACTAGAAGAGACTTTTGTCATAAATTACCAGTATGGCCAGACCACGTGTATCAAGTGAATAGCAGTCAGCAGTAAGAGTGCAGCTTACGAGACCTCATGGTGACTGAAAGAAAAGGGGGTCCTCAGATGGACTCATTGTCCTCTGGACCCTCCCTGATATCTCCGTGGCAGAATGGGTCGTCACTTACTTGGTCCTATCTGGCTACTAGAGTGTGTGATTCTGATCATTTGACTCCAGTTTTGATGTTCTCAAACGCTGCAGCCCGTCGGCTGACAAGGACGATGAAGAACAAGTCATCTTCTATTGTGCCATCTTCTTAGGGCCAGAATAGACATGAACCTAAGCTAAGGAATGGAGTTCCCAAGGGGTCTACATTCTCTCTAATGCTGAGCCGCTAACCTCAGTGTCCTCGAACTTCCTCAGGCATATCTGGTTGTTTCTAAACCACCCCCCATCCCATCAAAGTTCAACCCCGGAAGAAGTGTGTGAGGAGGGCTGAGTACATGCCATCTGACCCCTGGATCAGGCTATATATCCTCTCATAATCCATCAAGACTTCTAGCCTTCCTAGCTACAAGGGTCCAGTTGGACAATTTACTGCCTCTCTAGCTTTTCTTTTTCTCCCTACGTCAGCAAGCCTATTGATCTCCCTCCAGAGGTGGAATGGTTATCATCTTTGCCTTGTGAAAGAAACCCTATGACGTGAGTCCTTCAGGCGTGGTCCTTGAAATGCTAAATAAGGAGATAAGGTGATTTAGAAATATCCTCATTTCCTAATCCTTGAGTCTCACAACGGCTGTCTTTGTAAGTGTCTGCATTGAGACTTAAAGCTGATCAATGGACAGATTGTCCTTCAGTCCTTTCCTCAGGTTGGCAAACTTCAAAACTTGGCCCTCAAGGTCAAAGGCCACAGGGAACATGACTTCAGAATGAAATTTTAAAGCATTGCTTTAATATCTGGATGCAAATTTAAAATTTTAGCCTAAAGAGATGGCTATAATTTTTCCCACAGAAGCTATTTCAGTCTTGTCCCATAGCTATATAAATAAATACTGTATCTAAACTTCGTGGAATAATCCAAGAAAACAAACAAAGCAAATTTTCATTTAAAAAATGTATCAAGTTGAAAATGTTATCTATATAATTCTGCTAAAAATCAATTGATTATTTTACCTGAGCAGCAAAGGATAAAACTTACAGATTATTTGCACCTACAAAGCAAATAGCAGCTTAATTAAATTGCCCATCAAAGTCCTTCTAACATAGGAAGCAATGCCACCAATGCTAATAGCAGGTGTGAGACCTGCCTCCACTATCCAAGCCACCGCTTCAACTCACCTCAGGAGGTCAAATTACACAGTGGTCATGTTTCACACTGTCTAGTCAGGCCTGTCAGAAATTCCTGTCTCCTCAGCTCTTAAAAATGAAAACTCTCCATTCTATAAGATGAGCTTTTTATTACTGTTTCATTACATGTCCAGAACAGTGTCCTTTGCTCTTGAAATAGTATGAAGACCTTTCTGACAAGGCAATGATGTGGCAAGTGGCCCGTAAGACCCTGGTGTACTCTCTGGGGACCCATGGCTGAGACAGCAGGCACAAAGTCCCAGATGCTTGTCTGTGTACAACATAATCTGTCTACTTGGAATATCTTCTCTGGAACACAAATGGCTCCTTGGTTTATCATGGCATTTAAACATGAATTTGATGCTACTAAGCCACAATCACTTATCAAATGCAACCATAGGGAAGAAATTTGAAGCCAGCTAGAATTGGAAACTAGAATTTCTGTGGCAACAGAACCCCTTGGGCCTCCTGACTTTCTCAGCAGCTGAATTAGATGTCCTTGCTATTACAGAAATGGATGATTAAGTGGTCTGACATCCCTTTCTTCTCATCTGTTATACTTCTGTAATATGTAGCATCTTACTTATTACACGTCATCTTGTTGTTTTTTTTTCCTTTTTTTGCTATTCTTTTATAGGTTAGTGTTAATGCTTAGCATAAAGATGCCTTTGTTTGTAAGTAACACCAGCAACTGGAACTGAACCAGTAAAGATTTATTGGTTCCTATAATGGAAAATTCCAGTTGTAGTGTTTGGGTTTCAGCAGAGGTCTGATCCAGAAGTTCTCAATGTCAACAAGGCTCTTCCAGGCAGGAGGTATTATTTGTGGTAAAATTTTAATTGTTATCATTATTTCTAGTTTACAGATCAGGTAAACTAAGAATCAAAGACTATAAATGAATTATACAAGGTCAGATAGCAAATAAGCAGCAGATATAACACTCAAGCCTAGATCTTGACACTCCCAACCAATGTTCCTATTGCTCAAATGGATTTTTATATGGTTTTTTTCAGGTTAATTAGATATTCTATTTGATCACTGAGTAATCTAGTAAGAAATCAGCTCACATTTAGCCCTTCATTCAATAAATATTTTTTGGGAACTTACTATGAGCCAGACACTGTATTAGTTATCTTTTGCTGCATAGCAAATAACCTCAAAATGTATTGGCTTAAAGCAACAGTCATCATTTATTATCTCTCATGGTTTCTGTGGATCAGGACACAGTGGGAAAGGCTTGTCTCTGCTCTATGATGTCTGTGGCCTCAAACTAAAGACACAAAGGTCGGGGGTTAGACAATCCCCTTTAAAAGTGGCTCAGTCACTTAGCTAACAAGTTGATGCTGGTTATGTGGTTTGTGTCCATGTAGTTCTCTCCATTGGCTGCTTGAGTATCCTCACAACATGGTAACTGATTTCTCCCAGAATGAAAGATCCAAGAGAGCCAGTTGGAAGCTGCAACATCTTTTGTGACCTAACCTAGGAAGTCATATACCACTGTTTCTATCATATCCTATGGTCACACTGACTAGCACTGATTCAGAGTGAGAGAGGATTTTGTTAAAGGTGTGAAAACCAGGAAGTGAGAATCAATGGGGTCCATCTTAGCTACCACCTGTACTTTTTATAAGTACTGCAGATACACAAAGAAAGCATGTTAAAATCTTTACCTTTATGGAGCTTTTATACCAGTGGAGGGGCTACAAGGGAACAGACAAAAAAACAGACAGTAAGATATATAGTTTGTCACATGGTAATATGTGCTACCAAGAAAAGTAAACTGGGTAAGGTCTAGGATTGCAGCCACACCATAAGCCACCCTTGTATAGATCAGAACAAGGTGTGCTCCTGTGGACCAACAAGTAAGAAAAGTCTCCTCCACTTCCAGGTTGGTCCTGGGAAGGTGTTATGGCCCTGGAAAGCACTGCAAATTCAAATAAATGGTCAGAGAAGTATTCACTTGCCTTGAACAAAAACTTGAATTGCGGGAATAAGCTATGCTGATATTTAGGGAAAGAGATTTCTAGGCCATGGGAGCAGCAGATTCTAAGACCCTGAGACAAGAAACAGGAAGGGACACCAGGAAGCCATCCTATTCAGATGCCTGCACCTCTTTTCAGATATTTTTGAAGCTCAATGAAGCTTAGGAGTATAACTGATGAATATGCATTTATTTCCTTTCTTCTACTTCTTGAACCCAAGTCCAATTCTCTCAAAGCTAAACCCACAACAGCATCCTCATATCTGCTGTGTTCTAGGCCTGATACATAGTAGGTTCTCCAAAATGGCTTATAATTGATGATAGTTTTGTTTCTTCTGTAGACAAGCAATAAAGTGCATATTTTATCAGTGGATATTCAATATTTAACACAAAAAAGTGGGGCAAACACACAAAAAATTTTCAAACCACATTAGGATTTCAATGATCTATTCCCAGAGGCCATCTTGATTTGGGGGCATGGCCACAATATTATAATAAAGAGCCAGCAAGCTAGTACAATTAAAACTATACTTTTATAACAATACAGATCAATTCTGTGGACTAAGCATACTATTTCATAAGAATAATTACCAGGGTTGTAAAAATCACATGAAACAACGTATATAAACGTACTTTGCATATTGTGAAGCATTATAGGAGAGTTACATATTATTACTGTTGTTCATATCAGTGGACTAATAGAACATCACAATTTTTCCTGAGAAATACTAAGTGGTGTTATGGTGAAAGACCGTCAGACTGAGACACCTGGATCGTATTCCCAGCTCTGGTGGTCATAAGCTGTGTGTTTCAAATAATTCAAAATACCTCTCAGTGACTTCTTTTCCTGTAAGTAAAATGAGACCTACTAGACACACTCCTCAGCCTTTAGGGCTTTTTTCTCCCTTATGGAACACAGTGTCCTGGACATTGGCAAAGATTAATACCATTTTGCAAGGGCAGAAGACCTTGCTGAGATTTTTTGAAAGTCTTCCCTGTGGCAGCCATGTTATGGGCTGCCCTTGTCCACAGACTGATTCAGGTTCTGTCTTCAAGCAGTTGGGGGCGCTGGAAGAACTGCTAAGATGCTTCAGCGCTAAAGTTCGGCGTATTCATTCTCAATTGTAATTACATACTGGGAGCATGTGTGTTTAACATAAAATCTGTTCAACAATCCTCACAAATGGCAGAAATGATTGCTTTGTAAACGGGAGGGTCCAAAGTCCTACGCAAGCACATCTTCGCTTGGAACTCTATTTGTGGCCTGGCATCCCTCTCTTTGGAATGCTGAAGTAATTATTTAGCCGCTACTGCCCACTTCTTGGATCCCATATCAGCGAACAAACCAGCTGCCTTTCATGTAAGAGTATTTAAAGAATTCGTAGCTAATTACCCTGAGTGTTTCCGGAGAATCTTGGTCGCTGGCACGATGCTAGATTGTTCCGTTTCAGCGACTCTCTTTACAGGTGGTGGATGTCAGAATGGCTGGATTGACATAAGCAGTAACCAAGCACTGGCCCACCTGAATTTTGACAGACTATTCATTTCACGTCATCTTTGACTGTGAAAGACAAGGTTTTTTCAGATCAAACATCCCTGCCCCACAGAGGGGGCATTAGCTCTGTGTTCCAGGTCTCCTAGCAACTGACCTGCATTTACACGCCGTCCAGCACAGTTTAAACATCAACACCAGCTTGTATTTCCATCCCTCACCCAGTTACACACTTCACAACATCAACTCGAGGGAATAATTTACCATAATTTTGTCTCTTCAGAACATTTACCTCACAATTGTACTCCAGGCAGCATTTGCATCCTCTTTTTACTTTTGACAAATTTATGATGCAGAGGTGCAGTAAGAAAAAAAAATTATCCTTCCCTTTTAAGGGGTAAAGAAATTGGACTGTCCTCTGTAACGTTCTTTTTACACCCACAGTTGTCAGAAGCCAATAAGTTGTTTACCAATTGCAAAGATTCATCAGTTTTATTTTATACTATGGAAGTATCTAATTCATGAAGGAGCAATCCTCAACACAACACCAAAACTATGGGATATTGCAGGAAAAAAAAAATTGCACAACAAATTTGCAGACAAAGCTGCAGTTAGGAATGGGAAAGAGGAGTGGAGAGAAAGGGGGCACATATTTTCAGAAAACCATAGAAAAATAGTATACCTAAAGAGAAACAACACTCTTGCTTTTTAAAAGAACTTAATTTTGCTTGTAGAATCACAGAATTATAGCAAAAAAAAAAAAAAAGGTTCTTGTTAAGGGTATCAAATCTTCTCATTTAAGAAAAAAAGTACTGAGGCCATCTCACTTACATGTTTGCACAAAATTGCATAATTAATTAGTCGCAAAGCGAAGTCTCCAACCTAATGTCAAGCTTCATACTTTAGTTTTTGAACTACACAACGCTGCCTTTCTGTAGTTTTCTATAGTTTTGCATCTCCTCTCCCTAAACTGATAGTGTAAAGAAAAAATAAGCAGCCACACTAGTGTATATAAGCAAAGCATTCCACTCTTTTTACAGTAGATAAATTTGTGAAAACTTGACAAATTTATAAAATGAGCAATGTTCAATTATTATTTTATATATTTTTTGATGTGATAACTATATACTTGAGAAATTCAAAAGGTGACGTAGAGTTGACCCTTTGGCAAATATTTTAAGGATGCCATTTCAGAAAGGTATTAACAAACACAGCTTCAAATAACGAAGCACATTTTAAAGCCACAAACGTTTTTCTAGAGAGAGAATCAAAATTAAAACCGTGCTGCTAGTTGTCTTTTAGGGACTGTGTTAACACGTCAGGCCACATGATGGCAGTGTTCCTCGATAAATGAACCCGGAAGAACAGCTGCAGTATCCTGGGGAAAAAAAAAAAATCCAAGCCAATGCGGATAAAACGTGATCCAGGTTAAACCACAAATATGGATTTTAAAAATTTTGTTTTAATCCACGTAAACCATATCTTTCCTGATCATATTTTCCTACAATGAATTTCTCTACTGAGAATTTGCTATTGGTTTATGATTTCATAAAATAAATTTCAATATGTATCTAACAAATACATAAATTAAACATTGTTTGGAGGAGGAGTGGGTTGTCCCTTTATTGTTTGTTTTTGCTACAATGGTATTAAGAAGAACATTCAAAATAATAAGCTAAAAATGTTTCATACCATGTGTCTCCAGATTCTTTACAGACCGTTGTCTTATGAGTCTCTGTCTTTGGGTGTGGGAAAGCAAGACAAGCTTGCTTCTCATGCTCACAATTTTTCTCCTAGGCTGAAAATATTCCCTATAAGACCAGAGTGTGATTTCCTGAGTCCTTTCTAAAAAGGCGTGAAGCCACAGATGGAGGTTAAAGCAGCAGCTACTGTCAGTCAAGGCCCCAGGCAAGACTGTGAAATCAAAGATATTGTTCCCGTTTCCCAGCCCTGGTCTTTTCTAGTGTCTGTAGCTGCCCCTTGATTGCTCCAGGGGGTAAAAGAGCTAGGCTTGTCCTCTAGATCTTCCTTCCATTTCTTGATTTCTCATAGGTGAATTTTGTATTTTAAACATGGGCTGTGAGCTTTCTATAAATTTTTTTTTAAATATAAAAAAGAATGTCAGTCACCTGCAAGAGAATATTTTGGGACAAGCATGCAATACGCACCTACCTCACACAGCTAACAGCCTTGGCTGAAAGCTATCCGATGACTCTGGGCTGGGCTGGAAGCCTTGCCGCTGCATACCACAATTTGAACACTATTGACTGAGTTATTATTAGGTGTCTGACACTGTGATAGGTGTAGTAGGGACCGACAGATGTGTAGGATTCAGCCCCAATCTCAAGAACTTATAGACGAATGAAATTAGACCATACTGGTTATACAATAAGGCAGACCAGAATCTACTGTGCCAGAAATACGAAACACAGGGAGCTGGCATTATAAAAAGGAAAGATCACACCATTCGGTTTGAGGAATCAAGAAAGATTTCACAGAGGAAATGGTATTTGAAATAGGATCTTGGGATCTTGATATATAGAGACCGAAAAGTTCAGGTGATTTGATTTCTTTGTTTACACTGTGATGCCATTTAGGAAGGCACCCCATAAATCTTAACTAAGTAAAGATTCTTCACAACCTTGCCAGCTCATGGCAAGGATTAGAGATGGGGGAGAGAATGGCCATCTAATTTTACTAAAAGATAAAGAATATGAGCAGGAAAAATAGAAGATGACACTGGAATACATGATTTGGTTTTATAAAGACAGAAGACCTTGAATGCAAGTAGAGCAATTTAGCTATTAAATAAATTCAAGGCCGGGCACGGTGGCTCATGCCTGTAATCTCAGCACTTTGGGAAGCTGAGGTGGGTGGATCACCTGAGGTCAGGAGTTTGAGACCAGCCTGGCCAACATGGTGAAACCCCATCTCTACTAAAAATACAAAACTTAGCCAGGTGTGGTGGCACGCACCTGTAGTCCCAGCTACTCGGGAGGCTGAGGCAGGAGAATTGCTTGAACCTGGGAAGTGGAGGTTGCAGTGAGCCAAGATTGAGCCACTGCACTCCAGCCTGGGTGACAAAGCCAGTCTCCATCTCAAAAAATAATTAATTAATTAAATTCAACCTGCAATGGGGAGTCACTGACCACTGCCAATATTCTAGGTTGTGATTTTACTTCTAAATTCTACATCCAGGTGGGCGTGGGGAGGGACTATGTAAGGAAAGATGGTCATTGGCTATAGTGTAGTGAGTGTATAGTATATGACCCTACCTATTCTATTGACAGCCTGGATTATGACAGCACTTCTCAAATTTTTCGGTACTTCAGAGTCCTCTGGTGGGCTTGTTACAACACAGACTGCTGGGTCACACCTGACAGAGTATGAGTGAGATCTGAGTTCTTGTTAAATGCCAGTGTTGCTGGTCTAGGCACTATACATAAAAAACAGCTTGTCTATAGGCTCTACAGAACATTTGCCAGGGTATAGAAAGCCACCTCATCCTAAGGATCATATTGCAAAAGTATCTCCTGAATCCCTCCTCCTTAATTACTGTTTCTAAATCTCAATGATCAGTAACATCAGATAATTTTTACCTTAACTACATGCCTATTTGGGGTAAAACCATTTTACTGTTGAAAACATGGTATGCATAATGATATAAAAACTAATTTTTAGATGAGGCATGGTGGCTCATGCCATAATTCCAGCACTTTGGAAAGCTGAGGCAGGACTGCTTGAGCCCCAAGAGTTCATGACCAGCCTAGACAACATGGTGACACCCATCTCTAAAAAAAATTTTTTTTTAAATTAGCCTGGCATGGTGGCATGTGCCCGTAGTTTCAGCTACTCACGAGGCTGAGGTAGAAGGATTGCTTGAGCCCAGGAGGTTAAGGCTGCAGTGAGCCGTGATTGCACCACTGCACTCCAGCCTGGATGACAGAATGAGACCCTGTCTCAAAAAGAAAAACAAAAACTAAGTTTTAAAATAGGATTTTAAACTGCACATTCTGCAATCATAACCAGGTGTCCAGTTGTCAGGGTCTGGAATAACTTAAAAGATATGTACAAAAACAGAGATATAAAAAAAACAAATTGATAAGTGAGCAAGATCCCTTTTGGTAAATTTTGGTTCTTTAAAAAATCAAAGCACACAAGTTATTATCAACTGCTACAGTCCATGTATATCCTATTTTTATATTTGACCTCCCCAAAAGGAAAATATAAATAGCCAAGAAAAATAAATGTGTAAAATGGCAGAGACAATTATTAAACTGAATGTTCAAGAAAAGGAAAAGACTAAAGTTCAGCACATATGCATATTCGCTAATTTGAAGTCAGAAAAGTCTTTCGACCTGATTTAATGTGATCTTCATGTGATCTATAGTCTGGGCCAGATCAAGTAAGGGTGCGCCCCAACTTTTAGCAAATACCACACATAAAAATCTAGCTTTACAGAAAAGATCGAGATTCATTGAATGTTAAGGCTGAAAGAGTTCTGGAGGTAACTTATGGCTTTATTTTCAGTTAAGGAAGGTGAAGCCTAAAGATTAAGAAATGTCCCCAAAGCCATCCGGTTCCTTCTTTCCATCCCCCTTCTGACCTAACTCCACAGCCAGTGAGTAAATCCTCTTCCCTGCTCTCATTTTCCACACCATTCGTGGGTAAAGACCACAGGGCGGCATTGGCTTAAATCAGGCCTGGAGTCCCTGACCATTGTTCCCCATCTGTTGGTTCTGTCTCTCCAGCAATGATTGCAAATGCCTCAAAAACAGGAACCGCTTCTTCAATCCTCTCCTGAATTCCCTATGGATACATGAAGAGGCTGATTATTCCGTTGATTAAAAAAAAAAAAAAAGGAATCTCCAAATTACAAAAGCATTCACAATGGCATCTGTATTCTATAGGCTCTTTCAGGTTGCAAGAGCAAGGGAGACCAATCGTGCTTCCCTCATTAATGGGGATTTATTGTAAGGACAAACAGTACGAGGTCTAGCAGCTGCACACCCAGCCAGGCTCCGCTGGGAACTCATCACTGCTTGTTATTGTCCTGGATAAACCTGTGGCTCTCACAGCCAGGCAGCTGCTCTCCTGACTTAACTGCTTACCCTCTCTGTGCCTTGGGTCCTTCACGTCTAAAATGGAGATAATAATAATACCTCATTGGGTTCTTGTGAGGATTAACTAAGTTGACATGTGTAAAGCCCTTACAAGGGTATCTAGGGCATAGTAAATGCTAGAAGATGTTAGCTATCATGATTAATTCAGTGCAATCCGACAGGTCTCCTTGAATGGGAAAGCTCTGACTCCTCTGACGGATAGAGGTGAGAAATTCCCTTTTTGTCTTCTTTGAGAATTTGACTTTTTTTCTCTCCTAGTTTCTGCTCATTAGGATCATTACTTCCCTGGTGGAGAAAATCAGCTCACTGCCCGTCCCTTCAGAAAAGATATTAGGAGCTACCGACTCCATGGAAACTTGCCACTGGTGAGCAATCATTTATTCTACTGCCAAACTGCTGGAGCGTGGAGAGAGGAAATAGAGGATTTAGCAGTTTGGTTTCCTTGTACTGAGACAGTTTGATTTTTCTCTACAAGTTTTGGCAAATCTTAACTATAGCATGCCTAAATTATGCAAACACCGTGGGATGGGAAGTGCACGTTTCTGGGTGGACCAGAGCTGAAATGTTATACATAGACCTGTGTTGCTCCTGAGGAGTGCTCCTTGGGGCTAGCTGCAAATCCAGCTGAGGTTAACCGCGTTTTATCATACTGCAAAGAAGCTCCCTTGTAGTTAACCCTGCTGTGGAATTCAGAGCCTGTCCTGAGCCTTTTTGCTTGAGGCTATGCACGTGGACCTTGGCAGAGCATCATTAAAACCCCTATTAGTGAGAGTAGACTGCTTTTCCCTGTGAGGAAAAGTATTACATTGCAGTAAAATGCAAATCCACTAACAGGCAACTGCAGATTTATAGCACTGCAGTTCCACAGGAATCACAGGGAGATAGAACCTTGTTTCCCCCGGCAGATTGGAGTTACTAGTGTGTACAAATTGCCCAGAATTCCACACAGGACCAGGTACATAATTTGCAGGGCCCAGTGCAAAATGTTCAAATATTATTGAGATTTGTTCAAATAGTATTGAGATTTTCAAGATGGCGGCAACAGATCATTCGTCTAAGCATCTGGTCATTCTGAACACAGGGTCCTGTGCTACTGCCCAGATTCTATGTGTCATTGAAAAATGGCACTTTCAATTTTGGACACATTTTTGGGGAAAGAATGTAAGTGCAGATATAAACCTTGTTAACCCAATTCCTTCAGCCTGGGGACACCCACACATTGGTAGATAATCAAAATGGCATGAGCTACTGAGCCCCCACCTAGTGTCATTATTGATATTGTAAGTCCCCTCCCACCACCACACACACCCACTGACCTCCTTTTGCTGTGAGTATGAGGACACTCACACTCCTCCTCTGATCCTTATGTTTTTTTGCTTTGTATTCAGTAAGAAATGGAATAGCACAATACTTAAGCGTATAGACTCAATACTACTAGTAGTTGTGCACCCTTGGGCAAGTTATTTAACCTCTGTGTGGCTCGGTTTCTTCATCTGTTAAAAAAAGCAGATAATAATAGTACCTGCCTAAGAAAGCATAGTGTTAGCACACATAAAATACTTAGCATTGTCCCTGGCACATGGCAAATGCTCTGGAGGTGTTAGCTGGTATTAACCTGCTACCTTTGCCCCAGCTGCAGTCAACTCCACTGTTGCCACCACTGCTGTCCTCTAAAGTCCTAATGTTCATGTAAGGGCATTCCTTTATGAGAAAAGAGGGCATTAAGCTAGGACCTCAATTAAGGGCCAAAATTAGACAATTATTGTTTATTTCCAAATGAGTTTAGATACATACTGTCACAGAAGTACACTGACAGTGTTGGAAGAGCCTTCAACTCTCATACAAATATAATTGCTAATAGGTGTAAACATTTTAACTACAACAGAAACCTATTTTGACATGTCTTCATTTTAAAATATACCTGGAGTCTGGAAAAATAGAGGTGGCCTTAGCAGTGTGGAAGGTCCCTGAAGCAACCACTCTTGATCATCCTCATTTTTCCTTTAATTATAAGGGCAAGAACAGAATTCACATTGTTTTGCAAATGAGGAAGCGTGCAGGAAAGAGGACAATAGCAATGGCCCTGGAGCTCTGGGGAAGCAAACCTGACTCAGACACCAACTCTGTTTTCCATGGGGCAAGCCACATCATTTGAAGGGGACGTGCGTCTTTTTTCCTGTAGAATGCAGTTCATAATGAGGGTCCTCCCTAGGTCATGGTGCTGCTGGCAATTGTGCAGGATATGGACATTAGAAAACACACTTAGAAATGAGCCAAGGGGACAGAAAAATGAGAAACATTTTGAGGAAGCAAACAAGAACGAAATCAATATGGCATCAACTAAATCATTTCAGGCATCAAGGATGACTGAAAATGGAAATATGGAATAAAGTAGGAGTTGAATTTAGGGCTCTGAAGGAAAACAAAGTAAAAGTTAAACTTACTTTGTAAACAGGGAACCACCCGGAGAGTTATTATGTTAATTTCTTTCTCTTCTTTGGTGGTGGCTTAAAAGAATTTTGAATAAAACATGTAAGTATCTTTCCTAATGGGGGGAAAAAAGAAAACCCTACCTTTCATTTCAAATGAGTTAATGGATGGGACAGTGCCTTGAAAAGTCCTATTATGAAACCAGCCAGAGCATTATCAGCCTTTCTTCTTAGATTCAGTCGCCACAGCTGCCAGGCCTGTCCAAACAGCAAACAGGAAATGAGAAAGGATCTGACACCACAGCTTCAGAGAGTTCTTACCGACCTCCTGGAGGTGTGGGGGCGGACAGAGAATCTTGAGCAAATATGTGTACTTTCCACTTTATTGATAAAAATATACTTTTATTGCACAAGATTTATCAAAGTGGCCCTGTCTACAAGTGTTTGTTCATTCTTTTAAAACATTTTTAATGGAAAAATTGCATTTTATTTGCTTAGATCTATGGATTAAGAGTTTTTTTTAAAAAAAGCATAAAAGTTCCTATTGCAGCAAATGATCAAAGAGAGCTGATTTCCTCCCATAGCTGTTCCTTCAGGTGTTTTTTATTCTGAAAGGTTATTTTCCTCTTCTTTTCAAAATGGTGCTCAGAATGAAAAGGCAATCTGTATTTAAATGTTTGCTTTATATTTCCTTTGTTATTCAAGAAATTGTGTGTGCCTGGACATTTAGTGTTCACATTACACTTATAAGAAAACTGGAACAAGTACTCTGAAACTGTATATCTGTAATTTGGGAGAATGTGTTTAAATTTAAAAAATAAAACTTTTTCCAGGAAGAGGCTCTATGCACAGTATCAGGATGGGGCTACTCCATTCAGAATCTGTTGCCATGGTGACCGACCTGGGAGCCTCGTGGGCTCTGTACAGGAGGCATGTGTGGTAATTATATAAGCTGAAGTGCTGTTGAATAACCCCAGGAAGGCAGGACTGCCACAGTGCAATTTCTCGGAAACCACTATTTAAAAATTCATACATCATAATGCCTTCTTCTTTTATATGAAAATCCGCCATTTAAGTATTTTTCTTACATCAATCTGATAAGACTGATATAACGGAAAATAGAACTTACTCAATTCTGAGCGTATAAAGTATGCCAAATGAGCTGCATTATATACTAACGAATTTATTTCCAATAACTTTATTTTTTATGAACGAGCAATGAACCAACAATTAAATGCATTACTGTTGTTCTCATAATAAGCCATATGACTTACTCCTTTTCTTTAATATGTAATATATAATAATTATAAAAGTATAAGTAGGCAATTGATTGAAACAATAAATCAATGCCATTTTTAATTGAATAAACAAGTGAAATTAGTTAAGCATGAAGTGCAATCAATACATATTTTCCGATAAAAAATGGAAAATTTTCTCATTCCTGTTCACATTTAACATTTTACATTGTCACATGTAGGTCACAGGCCACACTTGTAGGAGACAGATCATTACCTGACACATAGGAAATTGGTTTCTGGTGATGATGTAATGTTATTCTTTCATTCAACAAATTGTTATTGAATGAGGAAAACTAAATGTTTGATCTTAGCAAGTCTTTTTGCCTCCTCAGGCCTTCAGTTTCCTCATCTGAGGGCCTTTTGACCTCAAAAATTCTATCATTCCAGAACTCACAAGATAAAATTGTCTGCATGTCAGTTGTTTTATAATTTTACTTTGAAGCAACAGAACAACTGTTATGTACTGAGTGTATTCTAACACTGTGACAGACATTTAACTGATATTACCTGTAGCACTGTAAGGTAGACACTGCTTTCCCATTTAACAAATGAAGACACAACTTATATAATTTAAATCTGCCCAGCTCCAAACAAATGGAATGAACTTTGTATTGCCCCATGCTGCCCATACACTGGTGAAGAAACTTCAACTCTCTTACAGATAAATTATTTTTTGTACTGATAAAGAAATGGAAAGTATGATTGTACAACATGTTCAAAAACTCTAAGAGCACTGATTTTTTAAAATTTTTAAAGAACCCTGGAATCAAAGCAACAAAAGACTAAATTGAACTGTCACAAAACAGGGATTTCCAGATTCATCCAAAGGCAATGAGATGCAGAAAGTGGATGCTACTTATTGTAAGAACAATGCTAAAAACAGGACTTGGACATGCGTTTACTGCTCATTAGTACCCACTTACGTCTAGTCATACACAAGTGATTAATCATGGCTCTATGTCTGATCAATTGAATTTTGTACAAAATTAAATGACGGTTAAAAATAATCATTGTAATGAGCACTTAAAATGACAGATATGACTTAGTGCAGGGTTTCTTCATTAACTTGAGTGTTTTTCCTACTACTCTTCTGAAAGTGCTTTCTCTCTCCCTGTATTTGAAGATGTGGCTGATAATGATGTTACCATTCAGGTGTCCACATTTATTTGTGAAACCATTGTGCGTTCCACAAGCTCCCTCCATTACATGCATGGTCTTCTGTTCAGTGGTTTTACATACTTTTTACTGAATTAGTACTGGCCCTTTCCTGTTCTGTTCATAGAAGAGGCCCCCCCACATGCTTTACAAGTCAATGAATGCAATTTCTGCCTCTTTATCCTGGAGACTTTTTTGCCTCAAGTCTCAGTGTTATACCCCATCTTGGTTTTTGTTGTGTAAAAGAGTGGACTGATGACAGATTTCATTTCCCAGAATTTATTACCTATTGTGTATATTGCAGTTCATTCACAATGACTCCATCTGCATTTAGGTTGAATGGGGCCCCCCCCAACCCAATTTAATAAAAAAATAATGAGGCCACTCAAAGCTCATAGATGTGTCAGCACTATGAAAAGGCTCTATAATCAATGCAAATGTGATGTTTTCCTGCTTTGTGGAGCACAGAGGTTTGACACCCATCTCTTTTGCTGGATCAAATCAGGCTCCCTCTTTGCTTTGAGAATCTAATGAAAGGTATGGGCTCTCTTCTTCCCTCAAAAAAAAATGTATGTGGCTGCATAATTTATTGAAATGTTAATTGGTGAGTTGTTTCATGCTGGAGTTTTCCTCTCTCCTGCTCCAAGAATGTGGTCAAGCCTCTTGAGATGTGAATGGTGACCCTAAGGTTGTGCAGAGCATAGACTACAATCCATTTATGCAAGCCCCGCTGGAAAGTTCAGGAACCTTTGCACTGCCCACAGGTGGGGCTAGGAGAGTATCAGCAATGACTGAGCTTAGATTTTCTCCCATCCAAGACACAACGGTGGCTTGAGATCAAGTTAAATTTGATTTAAAATGTATTAAGTAATATGTTTTTGCACATGTGTGTAGGTGTAAGTTCACATCTTCTGTATAGGTCTATAAACACATACATACACACACACACACACACACACACAATTTTACAATGTTTCTGAGGACTTGTGATCTCTGTCCTCTAGCATACCCTATCCCACTCCCTGACGCCAATAGTAAGAAATTTAACATTTATCAAGTGCTTACTACTGAGTTTTCTTTTTTTCCCCACACCCCACCCATCCACTACTGAGCTTTCACAAAAAGTAATTCATCTATTTTCGTGAAAAGGAATAAGGGTTCGGAAATTAAGTAACTTTCTCAGGGTCACACAAGCTGTGTTGGTGGAGTCAGGATTTGTATCCAGATATGAAGAGGGTAGCAGTAGGCTATACTATTGCCACAAAAACCACTGCCTCTAACATTAATAAATGCTGTATTAATGGATGCATATATTTTTGTTGAAATTAGTATTTCTTTGCATATGATTTTATATTCTCAATAAGCATGATTTGTTAAATGAGTTTTAAGTAACTTAATTTTTACATTTGGTAAGCTGTTTACGTATATATAAGTTCACAGAAAAAAATCATTATTTTGTGGTTCTAGAAAAATAACTTATTGTTGGCTGATATGGTTTGGCTGTGTCCCCACCCAAATCTCATCTTGAATTGTAGCTCCCATAATCCCCACGTGTCATGGGAGGGACCCGGTGGGAGGTAATTGAATCATGGGTGCAGGTTTTTCCATGCTGTTCTCATGATAGTGAATAAGTCTCACAATATCTGATAGTTTTATAAAGAGAGTTCCCCTGCACCATGCTCTCTTGCCTGCCTCCATGTAAGACTTGCCTTTGTTCTTCCTTTGTCTTCTGCCATGATTGTGAGGCCTCCCCAGCCATGTGGAATTGTTAGTCCATTAAACCTCTTTTTCTTTATAAATTTCCCAGTCTTGGGTATTTCTTCATAGCAGTATGAAAATGGACTAATACACTGGCAATAAACATAAAATGTCTTCTTTTTTTAGTTTGTATAAATTGACTTCTTTATAAGTTAAGGGTGGTAAGATAAAAATGTCTTCCTTTGCACAACCATAGTATTTTGAACATATTTCACTGTTGTTTTTGGATTCCATAAAAATTATGTTTACAAATATCCATTTTCCCAAACTAGACTTAGGACTCCTCAGGACTGGATTTGGTTTCTTTCATTTTTCTTAGCTTCCTAAAAATATATTTGAATAGTCCATAAATCTAAACTTGGTCATAATGTACCCATTCCCTACACAGTGATCACGCACTATAAACATTCTATCATGTTAAAGGGTCCCTGCTGTACGCCCTCACCTTTTAAACCCAACTCCCCATCTCATTACCTCACCTCTTAGAACTGTGTGGCTTTGACTGGCTATTTTATCTCTTGAAACTCCAAAATCTTTATAAGTAGAATAGGGATGATAAGAATACTGATGACATGAGATTGTTGTATGAATTATATAAAAAGCAGGGGACATTAAATACTTGGCATAACCAAGGTGGCTGGATAGCTCAGTTGATTAAAGCATGGTGGTAATACTTGATATAGGGCCTAGGACATGATAAGAGTCCAGTAAATGGCAGCTTATTATCATACTTAAATTGCACTATTCTAATTGGGAAGACTTGCATTCAGTTGTCTTTTTGTTTGTTTGTTTGTTTGTTTCAGAAACAGGGTATCATTATGTTGCCTAGGCTGGAGTACAGTGGTTACTCATAGTTGCAATTGTAGTGCACTGCAGCCTTGAACTCCTGGGCTCAAGCAATCCTCTTACTCCAATCTCCCGAGTAGCTAGGACTACAGGTAAGTGCCACTGCACCTGGCCTTGGTTGTCTTTAAAAGCAAACAAGCAAGGTGGGAGGATCACTTGAGAACAGGATTTCAAGACCAGCCTCGTCAACATAGTGAGACTCCATCTCTAAAAAAATTTTTAAAAATTAGCCAGGCATAGTGGCATGTGCCTGTAGTCCCAGCCACTCAGGAGGCTAAGGAGGGAGGATTGCTTGAAGCCAGGAGTTCAAGGCTGCAGTGAGCTATGACCATGCCACCGCACTCCAGCCTGGGCAGCAGAGCAAGACCCTGTCTCAGAAATTTTTTTTTTTTAAGTGAACAAGACCATGAGTCTGGGATGATTCCTCTGGACTTCTAAACTCTTCTTTTGCACTACCATAGTATTTTGAACATATTTCTCTGTCATTTTTTAGATTCCATAGAAATTAGTTTTACTTATATACATTTTCCCTAACTAAACTGAGCATATCATATCGATCTTTGACATCTCAGTATCTAGCCTGGGAGCCAGAGGCTCCAGAGGATGCCATTTATATTTCTTATAAGTAGCATCCACACCAGCCCCAGTTGTGCCTTGCTGCACTCTGGGTAAGCCTAGAATAAAATATGGCTATAATAAGGATAATTCTGTATGTTGAAATGCTAGGTATAAAGTCATATTTGGAAAGAAATAGAAAAGGGCCAAGTGTGTTATTTTCAACTATTTCATCCTTTAGTATTAATCTTTTCCTGATTCTTCTGAGGTGTCATTTAATTTTCCCCTATAACAGAAAATTCAGAAGGTAGCAGTATTCCTAAAGACATCCAGCCATAAAGTAGACTAAAGATTTTGTTAGATGTTCTTTATAGGATTTCATTTAGAATTTAATATTGAGAAAAATAACTTATTGTTGTCAATAAACATAAAATGTCTTACCTTTCCCTAGTTTGTAGAAATTGAGATATTTGTAAGTCAAGATTGGTAACATAAAAATGTCTTCCAAGCTGGTGCACAGAACTTCTGCACCAGTCATTTAAATGAGTTCTGAATGCATTTAAAAGAATCTTGATTTCATTCAACCTTACTATTGATGTGTCTCATGGGGAAAAAGGTTAACTGTAACAAAATCGTCAGACTTGAGTGAAGGTTTCAGGAGGATAAAATTAAAAGTGTTAAGAATGTAAAAGATAAATCAAGCTTTTCACTTTAGAACAGAATATAATTCAGGCTAGACTAATTTTAAATTTATGATAATTTCATTAACCGCAGAGAAGCTGCCTTAATCCAATCTATGAAAGAGTAGTTTGCTAATTAATAATTACAAAATATGGGCGATGTTTAAGCATTATTTTCAAGCACTATTTGCATTTGTTGTTTTCAAGCATCATTTACTCACAAGCTGCTAATTGTCACTTTAATTTATTTATCAATCTAGGTCTAACAGAATCTCTAGTAATGTTTTACTAGTCATTCCCAATGTTATTGTAATTACTAAAAAATTATATAAATGTATTTATGTTCAAATAATGTAACTCAGAATTTTTAAAGTAATTAAACTTCACCTAATGGTGCAGGCTATGTGTTAGCTTTCAACTTACTCAAAAAGATTTAACAGACAATTTCTAAGTTCATATGCTCAACTGTATAGTCAAGGGTGAAGAAAGTAAATAAACCAATTCATCTTAGAAATTTATTAGAAAATTGGAAAATGACTGTTGGAAACCTGTCAGAATGATTTTTTTTTTTTACTAAGCTACAAAATTTTTATCTATCTGTCTAAAACTCACAATCATCAGATAAAATAATTTGTCTCAACTACTTAATGCACTAGGGCATCTTTTCCACTTTAGTTAAAATCCTTACATCTCCACAGCTGTCATAATTTATTTTTCTTTCTCAAGCTGTCCATGTTCATTTCAGTGGCAAAATGATAACTTATAGTAATTATTCTAACAGATGATTAGATTGAAGACAACCTGTATAAATCCAGGAGTGCTTTTCAAAATGATTCAATTCTTTCTATATCAAAAGTAATATGGAAGTCACAGTATTAGTCTGTTCCCACACTGCTATAAAGAAATACCTGAGACTAGGTAATTTATAAAGAAAAGAGGTTTAAGTGGCTCACAGTTCCACAGGCTGCGCAGGAAGCATGGCTGGAGAGGCCTCAGGAAACTTACAATCATGGTGGAGGGGGAAGGGGAAGTGAGCACATCTTCACATGGCCAGAGCAGGAGGAAGGGAGAGAGAAAGGGGCTGCTACACACTTTTAAACAACCAGATTTTGTAAGAACTCTACCGCAAGAGCAGCACTAAGGGGATGGTGCTAAACCATTAGAAACTGCTCCCATGAACCAATCACCTCCAACCAGGCCCAACCTCCAACATTGGGGATTACAACTGGACATGACATTTGGGTGGGAACACAGATTCAAACCATAGCAATCACAGATCCTCCAGTGTTCCTCTTAAATCTGTGACAAATCTTAGAAGTTCTCCTGGCTGGGCACAGAGGCTCATGCCTGTAATCCCAGTACTTTGGGAAGCAGAGGCAGGAGGGTCACTTGAGGCCAGGAGGTAGCAACTAGCCTGGGCAACATAGCAAGACCTCCACTCTACAAAAATTTAAAAAATAGGCCAGGTGTGGTGGTGTGCACTTGTGGGCCCTACTGAGGCAAGAGGATTGCTTGAGCCCAGGAGTTCAAGGTTCCAGTGAGCTATGATCATGCCACTGTACTCCACCCAAGGTGACAGAGCAAGACCTTGTCTCTTAAAAAAAAAAAAAAAAAAAAAAAAGACAAGAACTTGTCTCTTAAGAAAAAGAAAAAAAGAAAGTCTCCCTGAGACTTCCCTTATTTCTCTTTTCTCTGGGTTTCCCTTAGGATTCTCACCTAAATTTTTTTCCTTTCTCTTTCTCATTCACCTTTTGTATAATCTCAACTATTGCTATGGAGTCAACCATTATAATAGTTCCCAAATCAATAGCTGTCTAATTTCTCACAAGCAGCTCAATCCAATAGCTCAATTTGTGTTTGTGGTATGTCTTTATATATGCAAAACCAGAATAATCCCAGTTTTAGTTATTCAAATGCTAATACTACTTGATGCATACATTTTTGCTAAAATTAGTATTTTTTGCATATAATTTCATAATTATCAGTAAGCGTGATTTGTTAAATGAGTTCCATGTTATGTAAGCCTTTTACGTGTAAATAAGGTCACAGGAAAAACATTCATTATCTTCTCGTTCTAGATGACAGACTAGGCCCATGTAGAAGTCTCTTGTTTTAATACTAAATAACTAGAAATAACAGAAAGATAAGCCATTTGAAAATTTACTGTCACAGAGGTAATTTTTTTTTTAAAGGAAGTAAATATGAGGGGGGGAAATCCTGCTAAAATATAAATAGGTGCTATAACAAGATGTCTTAGAAAAAAAAAGAACTTTTTTAAATAAAAGAGCATAAATAGGAAAAAGCTATTACAAAGGGGGCTGCTCTGGAGATTTCTGGTTCCAGATAAGATGGAGTAAACACATTCCATTTTATTCCTCCCACTAATCACAGGAAAGAATCCTGGACCAAAAATATATATATTTATATCACAGAGAAGACTTTGAAAGGAGGAACAAACAAGATAAAATGGCTGGAAACCTCAGAACTTGAGAAACAACCTGGAAGTGAGCTTCCTGAGTATTTTGTTGCCTCATAAATACCTTGGCCTGGGTGCTAGAGAAGGCCACTATATTAGTCCATTCTCATGCTGCTATGAAGAAATACCCAAGACTGGGTAATTTATAAAGGAAAGAGGGTCAATTGACTAACAGTTCCACATGGCACGGGAGGCCTCAGGAAACTTATAATCATGGCAGAAGGAGAAGGAAACATGTCCCTCTTCACATGGCAGCAGGAGAGAGAAGTGCCAAGCAAAAAGGGGAAAAGCCCCTTTTAAGCCCCACTTAGTTGATGGTTTTAACATCAAATCTTGTGAGAACTCACTCACTATTACAAGAACAGCATGAGGATCACCCCCATGATTCAATTACCTCCCACCAGCTTCCTTCCATGACACGTGGGGTTTATGAGAACTACAATTCAAGATGAAATTTGAGTGGGGACACAACCAAACCATATCATTCCACCCTGGTCCCTCCCAAATCTCATGTACTCACATTTCAAAACACAATCATGCCCTTCCAACAGTCCCCAAAGTCTTAAATCATTCCAGCATTACCTCAAAAGTCTGCAATCCAAAGTCTCATCTGAAACAAGGCAAGTCTCTTCTGCCTATGAGCCTGTTAAATCAAAAGCAAGTTAGTTACTTCCTAGATACAATGGGGGTATAGGCATTGGGTAAATACACTCATTCCAAATGGGAGAAATTGGCCAAAACAAAGGGGCTACAGGTCCCATGCAAGTCCGAAATCCAATAGGGCAGTCGTTAAATCTTAACGTTCCAAAATGATCTCCTTTGACTCCATGTTTACATCCAGGGCATGCTGATGCAAGAGGTGGGCCCCCACAGCCTTAGGCAGCTTCACCTCTGTGGCTTTGCAGGGTACAACTTCCATCCTGGCTGTTTTCATGGGCTGGCATTGAGTGTCTGTGGCTTTTCCAGGCACACAGTGCAAGCTGTCAGCAGATCTATCATTGTGGAGTCTGGAGGATAGTGGCCTTCTTCTCACAGATCCACTAGGCAGTGCCCCAGTGGGGACTCTGTGAGGGGTCTCCACCCCCCACATTTCCCTTTTGCACTGCCCTAGCAGATGTTCTCCATGAGGACTTTGCCCCTGCAGCACACCTCTGCCTGGACATCCTCCACACGTAAGCTGCCAAGGCTTGGGGCTTGCACCCTCTGAAGCAATGGCCTGAGCTGCACATTGGCCCCTATTAGCCATGGCTGGAGCTTCAGCAGCTGGGATGCAGGGCACCATGTCTCTAGGCTGCACAGAGCACGGGGGCCCTGGACACAGCCCAGGAAACCATTTTTCCCTCCTAGGCCTCTGGGCCTGTGATGAGAGGGGCTACTTTGAAGGTCTCTGACATACCCTGGAGACATTTTCCCCATTGTCTTGGTGATTAACATTTGGCTCCTCATTACTTGTGCAACTTTCTGCAGCTGGCTTGAATTTCTCCCCAGAAAATGGGTTTTTCTTTTCTACTGTATTGTAAAGCTGCAAATTTTCCAAACTTTTATGATCTGCTTCCTCTTGAATGCTTTGCCACTTAGAAATTTCTTCCACCAGATACCCTAAATCATCTCTGTCAATTTCAAAGCTCCACAGATCTCTAGGGCAAGGGCAAAATGCTGCCAGTCTCTTTGCATAGCAAGAATCACCTTTATTTCAGTTCCCAAGTTCCTCATCTCCACCTGAGGCCACCTCAGCCTGGACTTCATTGTCCATATCACTATCAGCATTTTGGTCAAAGCCATTCACTAAGTGTCTAAGAAGTTCCAAACTTTCCCATATTTTCCTGTCTTCTGAGCCCTCCAAGTTGCTAGGAAGTTCCAAACTTTCCCATATTTTCCTGTCTTCTTCTGAGCCCTCCAAACTGTTCCAACCTCTTCCTGTTACCCAGTTCCAAAGTTGCTTTCACATTTTGAGGTATCTTTACAGCAGCATCCCACTCTCTGTGGTACCAATTTACTGTACTAGTCCATTCTCATGCTACTGTGAAGAAATACCCAAGGCTGGGTAATTTATAAAGGAAAGAGGTTCAATTGACCTACAATTCCACATGGCTGGGGGAGGCCTCAGGAAACTTACAATCATGGTGGACAAATACATCCTTCTTCACAAGGTATCAGGAGAGAAGAGTACCAAGCAAAAGAGGGAAAAGCCCCTTATAAAACCATCAGATCTCACGAGAA
Organism: Homo sapiens; assembly: GCF_000001405.40. Classification (NCBI taxonomy): domain Eukaryota; kingdom Metazoa; phylum Chordata; class Mammalia; order Primates; family Hominidae; genus Homo; species Homo sapiens. The sequence continues at coordinate 95,459,961 of NC_000007.14, read as the reverse complement.
CTCACCATCACGAGAACAACATAAGGGTAATCGCCCCCATGATTCAATTACCTGCCACTGGGTCCCTCCCACAACATGTGGGGATTATGAGAACTACAATTCAAAATGAGATTTGGGTGGGACACAGCTAAACCATATCAGCCACAATCTAGAAACACCAGTAGTCACCGACAGAAAATAGCCCCCAAGAAAAGTCAGCTTTCTCTAGCCAGAGGATGAGGAAAGAGGCAGCCCAAAGACAAAAACCCTTTAATCATATCTGCCTGTTCTTTGGTTGAATACCAAGCAAACACCATATGTCTCCCCCACCACAATGGCACTGCAGTGGCAGAACCAGTGGGCAGAGCATCGTATTCTGCCCTGCTCTTCACAGTAACAAGAAGGTGCTCCTTCCTCCAGGGTCTGTGGGCAGAACTCTGACTTCTACATGTCCTTTGAAGGAATGGGCATGACTCCTCCCTGCATAATCTTTGGGAATAACTATGACTTCAAGCCTTTTCCTGGAGGTGAAAGGAAGATGCTGCTTGCCCACAGAGTCTATGTGTAGAGCTCTAACTTATAATCCCCACTTCAGTAATGTGGAGGTAACCATCACCAGCTGAATCAGTAGGTAAAATCTTGTCTTCTAAAGTCTTCCAGGTAGTAAAGAGTGGCACCCCTCCAACTATCCAGCTAGTGCTAAAAGACTGTGGGATGCAGTGCTGTCATCTGGGTAACACAGAAATGGAGGAGATCAGAAGTGTAGCATGGTAAAGTCTTACTAAATTAGGCTAATATTTGCACTGCAACTCACAAAAAGAGTGTCAGGATATGCATTTTGAACCTCGACAGTTTGCTAAAGTAGAATATTTAATAGGAACCAGAGTCTTAAAACAACATTCAAAATGTCCAGGATACATTCCAAATTACTGGTCATACCAAGAACTAAGAAAATCTAAATTCAAATGAGAAAAGATGATCAATAGACGCTAATGCCAAGATGACACAGATATTGTAATTGTCTGAATGTGGTTTTCAAGAAGCTGTCAAAAAGTGTTTTAACAAGCAATTATGAAAACTTTTGGAACAAAAGAAAAATTAAAAAATATCATCAAAGAAATAGAAGATGTGGTAGGGCATGGTGGCTCATGCCTATAATCCTAACACTTTGTGAAGCCAAGGCAGGAGGATCATTTGAGTTCTGGAGTTTAAGATGAGCCTTGGCAACATAGTGAGACCTCATCTCTATAAAATTTTTTAAAAATTAGCCAGATATGGTGGCATGTGTCTGTGGTTTCAGATACCTGGGAGGCTGAGGTGGGAGGACTGCTTGAGCCTGGGAGTCAGAGGCTACAGTGAGCTATGATTGCACCACTGCACTCCAGCCTGGATGACATATGCGAGACCATGTCACAAAAAAAGAAAAAAAAAGATATAAAGAAGAATAAAATGTAAATTTTATAACTGAAAAATACAATAACCTAAATTTAAAAACATTTACTAGGTGGGCACAATAGCAGACTAGAGATGGCCAGGAAAGAATCAGTGAACCTGGGAGCCCCTCTGAATATATCCTGGTTTTGGAGCTGCCCAGTGGAAAAAAAAAAGAATCAGTGAACTTTAAGACAAATAAACAGGAAGTGTTCAATTTAAAAAACAGGAAGAAAATGAATTGAACCCTATACACCAATGAGATAATAACAATTCATCTAACATTTCTGTCATCAAAGTTCTAGAAGAAGGGAAAAAAGAATGCAAGACTGAAAAATACCTAAAGAAATAATGGCTAAAAACTTCCTAAATGTGATGAAAGTCACAAACTTACATATTCCAGAAGCTGAGAAAACCCCAAACACAGTAAACCCAAAGAGATCAACACCCAAATACATCACTGTCAAAACTGTGAAAACTTAAGACAAAAGAAAAAATCTTGAAAGCAGTTAGAAGAAAATGACAATACCTACAGGGCAACAATGATTCAAATAATAGCAGATTACCCATCAGAAATCACAGGGCCAAAGGAAGTGGTACAACATTTTTAAGTGATGAAAGAAAAGAATCGTCAACCCAGAATTCTATATCCAGTGAAAATATCCTTCAAGAATAAGAAGAATCAATGCATTTGAAGACTTAAAACAACAAAACAACAACTAAGGGTATTTATCACCGGCAGAATAAAAGAATAGCTAGAAGAAATAGTTTGTACAGAAAGAAAATGATAACAGAACTAAGAACTTAGTTCTGTTGCAACTAAGAACATCAGATATGAAGAAAGATGTAAAGAATAAATATAAGTTTAATAAATAATTTTTTCCTTGTGATTTAAAAAATGTGTTTAATAGTTAAAAGCAAAACTTATGATAATGTCTGCTTTGGTTCTCAATGAATGTAGAATATTTTCAGACAACTATAAAGGGAGAGAGTAAAATGACCTAAATTGTGGTGATGCATCCATATTCCACAGGAAGTAGGAAAATCTTGATAGTAGTAGACTATTAATTGTAACCCCTAGAACAACGGCTTAAAAAAAAACTGTGAAGCAACACACTCAAGAGTTATATTGTAGATAAATCAGAAAACTAAAGTAGTGCTCAAGTAGTCCACAAGAAGACTGGAAAGGAGAAACAGAGAAATAAAAAAAAGAAGAAGCAAACAAAATAAGTTAAAAAATGGCATCCATAAATTATAAAATATTAATCATTACCTTAAATCTAAATGGTCCAAAAACACCAATTAAAAGACAACAATTGATAAAAGGATTTTTAAAAAATGACCAACTATATGCTGTCTACAAAACTCACTTTAAGCATAGCAATAGAGGTATGTTAGAGGTGAAAGGAATAGAAAAATTATACCATGCAAACAACTAATCAAAAGAAAGTTGAAGAGGCTATGTTAATACTAGATGAAGTGGACTTCAGAACAAAGAAAATTACCAGGGACAAAACAAGGCATTACATAACGATAAAAGGGTCAACTCATGAACAGAATATAACAATCTTAAATGTATATGTACCAACGCACACTGGGCTTCAAAATACATGAAGCAAAAACTCACAGGAATGAAAGGATAAATAAACAAATCTACAATTATAATTGAGGACTTCAACAACCCTTTGCTAAAAATTGGTAGAAACACTAGACAAAATGTCAGCAAGGACTTAAAAGAATTGAACAATATCAATTAATAAAATCTAATTGATATTCATAAGAACACTTCACCCAACAACAGCTGAATACACATTCTTTTTAAGTATGCATGAGATATTCACAAGATTCCAGGTCTTAGATTATAAAATAAACCTTAACAAATTCAAAATAATTGAGATCATAAAAAGTATATTCTCTGATCATAATGGAATCAAACTAGAATACCACAATAGAAAGATATCAGAAAAGTCTCCAAACACTTGAAAATCAAGCACCCTATGTCTAAATAATTTACATGTCAAAGAGAAAGAGGTTAGGGAAAGGGGAGATGAGAGGATGGTGGGTTGGTTATAAAAGGGCAACAGAAGGGTTCTCTGTGGTATTGGAACTGTTCGGTATCTTGACTGTGATGGTGGATACAGGAACCTACAAAGGTGACAAAATTGTTTAATATTTAATACACACACACAAGTACACATGCAATGAGTACAAGTAAAACCAGAAAAATCTACATAATATCAATGGGTTTTATTAATGTCAATATCATGGTTGTAAAATTATACTATGTTTTGGAGAATATTATCACTGGGGGGAATCTGGGCAAAGTATATAAGGGCTATATCTCTCTGTATTATTTCTTAACCACTGCATGTAAATCTGTGGGATATAGCTAAAGCACTGCTTAGGGGAGATTTATAGCAATAAAAAGCTCATCCTTTAACCCAAGTTGCCACTAATTTTTGCTCAGAAAGCTCTGACTGCAAAACTATGAAAATATTAGCTGTATTAGTCGTATTCTAGACAAATAGATCATAGATTTAAATGTGAAATGTAAAATGATACAACTTTTAGAAGAAAACAGGTGAAACTTTTGGTGATCTAGGGTTAGGTGACCAGTTAGACATGACATCAAAAGCATGAGTCATAAAAGAAATAATGAATTATAGTAGGTCAAAATTTAAAATGTTTGTCTGCAAAATACACTACAAAGAGGATGAAAAAACAAGCCAAACACTGGGAGAAAATATTTGCAAATTATATATCCAATAAAGCCCTCGAATCCAGAATACGTAAAGAAAATTCTAAACTCAACAGTGACTCAAACAAGCCAATTAGTAATTGTGTAATTAGAAGGATGTGGACAGGCACTTTACCAAAGGAGATATGTGGGTGGCAAATAAATACATCAAAAGCTATTTAACAGCATTATTATACTGGGCAGAATAATGGTCTCCAAAAGATTTCCACCCCTTAGTTCCTGGAGCCTGTGAATACGTTGTCTTACTTAGCAAAAGAGACTTTAGAGATGTGATTGAGGTTAAGATGATCCCAGTCTAATCATATGAGTCCTTAAAAGGTGACAACTTTTCCTGGCTGCAGTCAGACATATGTGAAAACAGAAGAAGGGTCACAGAGATGTGATATTGCTGGCTTTGAAGATGGACGAAGGGGAGCCACAAAGCAAGGAATGCTGGGAGCCTCTAGAAGCTAGAAAAGGCAAGGAAAGATTTTCCCCTAGATACTCCAGAAAAAAACACAGCCTTGCCTATGCTGTGATATCATCACAGTGAGACTTGTATCAGACTTCTGACCTACAGAACTGTAAAATAATAAATCTGTGCTCCTTTAAACTGCTAAAGTTGTGGTAATTTGTTATTGCAGAAATACAAAACTAACACAATTAGTCATTACAGAAATCAAATAAAACCATGATGAGATACTACTACATGCCTATTAGAATAGCTGAAATAAAAATTACTGACAGTTCCAAACACTGGAGAGGATGCAGAGAAACTGGATCTTCATAAATTGCTGGTAAGAATGTAAAATTATAGGCTATGAGAAATAGTTTTGCAGTTTCTTAAAAAGACTAAACATGCAACAATCACAAGACCCAGCAAGTGCACTCCTGGGCATTTATCCTAGAGAAATGAAAACAAATGTTTACACAAAAACTTACAAAGAATGTTTATAACAGCTTTATTTGGAATAGTTGCAAACTGGAAACAATCCAAATGTCCTTCAATGGATAAATAAACTGTGGTATATTCGTACTATGGAATACTTCTCAGCAATGAATAGAAACAAAATATAAATATATGCAACAACTTGGATGGATCTCAAGAGTATTATTCTGAGCAGAGAAAGTCAGTCTCAAGGGAGTTAAAGACTCCCTTGAGATTCCATTTGCATAACATTCTCAAAGTGACAAACTAAGGGTATGGCGAACAGATCAGTGGTTTCCAGTGGTTACAGTAGGGGGAAATGTGTGACTATTAAGGAGTAACATGAAGAAATTTATTTGTGTTGATGGAACAGTTCTGTATCATAGTTGTGGTAATAGTTATTTGAATCTATATGATAAAATATTATAGCACTGCCTCCCCATAAAAGTATATCCAGCATTATACATAATACCCAAAAAGTAGAAACAACCCAAATATCCATCAACTGATGAATGGATACCCAAGTGTGGTATATCAATACAATTAAATGTTATTTGACAATTTAAAAAATTGTTCATCCATGTTGTGTATGAAAAGAAAAAGAAAAAAATGAAGTACTGATATGTGCTACAACATGGATGAAAACATTAGGCAAATCTATGGAGACAGAAGGTAAATTAGCAATTGCCTAGGGCTGGATGGTGTGGAATCAAGACTAACCACCATTGGGTACTGGTCTTCTTTTGGAGTTGATGAAAATGTTCTAAAATTAAATTGTATTGGTGATTGCACAACTTTGTGGATATACTAAAAATTATTGAATCATACACTTTAAATGGATTAATTCAGTGGTATATGAATTGTATGGCATATGTATATGAATCACATCTCAATAAAGCAGGAGTTTTTTTTAAGAGAATGTATATAAAAATTGATGGAGAGCCAGGTGCAGTGGCACATGCCTGCAGTCTCAGCTACTCAGAAGACTGAGGTGGGAGGATCCATCAAGCCCAGGAATTCAAGTCCAGCCTGGGCAATATAGTGAAAACCTCATCTGGGAAAAAAAAAAAAAGGAAAGAGAAAAGAGAGAGGAAGGGAGGATAGGGGAGGAGAGGGGAGGATAGTGGAGGGGAAGGGAGGGGAAGGGAGGGGAGGGGAGGAGAGGGGAAGGAAGAGAAGGGAAGAATAAGGGAAGATGGGAGAAAAGGGTTAAAGGGAAGAAGGGAAGAAGGGAAGAGAAGGGAAGAAGGGAAAGGAGAAACCCTGGTGGAACCTGAATAAAGTTTGTACCTGGGCCGGGCGCGGTGGCTCATGCCTGTAATCCCAGCACTTCGGGAAGCCAAGGCAGGCAGATTGCTTGAGGCCAGGGGTTTGAGACAAGCCTGGCCAACATGGCGAAACCCCGTCTCTACTAAAAATACAAAAATTAACCAGGTATGGTGGTGCACGCCTGTAATCCCAGCTATTCGAGAGGTTGAGGCACAAGAATCGCTTGAACCCGGGAGGCGGAGGTTGCAGTGAGCTGAGATCGTGCTACTGCACTCCAACCTGGGCAATAGAGTGAAATCTGTCTCCAAAAAACAAAAAAAAAGTCTGTACCTGAATTAATAGTATTGTACCAACATGAGTTTTCTGGAGAGTACGTAGAAATTCTCTGTACTATTTTGTTGCTTCCTGCAAATCTTAAGCTATATCAAAATAAAAATGTTATTTTTAAGAAAATGGTACTGCTCGATGCACATAAGTAAAGATATTTGAAGTAGGATGGCAACTTGGAGGCTTAGGACAGTGAATAGAAAGATAGTGTGGTTATTAGAGTAGGAACAGACAAGTAGGTCAACCGCCCCATGCTTCCTTCTGCATAAAGCATCAAGCAAAAGTGGTACCTGCCTTTAGGCAGCAGTAACAAATGTAGGGGCCTCAATTGGAAAGGAAGGACTAGGGCCTTTAGAATAATGGTCACTGTCAGGACAATGAGGAGTATCTAGCCCAGAGACTAGCTATAGGTACACCCCAACCAGCAGCCTATTCTGCCTCTCCCCAAAAGCAGCTAGCGGCAGTCTGCTGGTCCACTCCAGCATGACTTTAAGAGTTTCTTCCATAAGCAGACTGGAGTGATTAAATTGAGCTTTCTTAGGATGGCCTGGCAGGGCCTCCCAAATACAAAAATGCACACATGAATAATTGAAGTAAGCCAGCATCATGAGACAGAGGCACCAAATATGGAAGAATGAACACACAAACAAAGTTAATAGAGTAGGCAGCACTGGACTTTAGAAACACCATCATCACTTCATTCAACACATATTTCTTGAGCCTCTCTAATGTGTACCGGACACTCTTAATTTTGAGGGACACTGCAGTAAACAAAACAGGCAAGGTCTCTACCATCACAGACATTGCAGTTTACTGATTGAGACAGGCAATGAAAAAATAAGCAAAACAAAATATCTGTAGGCAAAAAGTATTTTGGACAAAAATAAAGCACAGTAAGTAAGCGGTGGGGGAAAGAGAATACATATGAGGATATGAAGTGCCACTTTGGGTAAGGTAGCCAGGGAATCCCTCTCTGCTGAGGAAATGACTGTTAAACAGAGACCTGAATAATGTGCCAGAGCAAGCTCCTATCATCCAGGGGGAGACCACAGCAGCAGGGCTAGGAACAAGTGTATGTGCTTAGAGCTTTGAAATGTTGACAACAGCAGGGAGGCCAAAATGTTTGGAGCAGAATGGGAATGAGGGGAAAAGGTCAGAGAATGCACAGGGGGCCCTGTCATATAGGCCATTCTAGGCCATTAGATTTTTTATTTTATTCTAATGTAGGCCATTCTAGGCCATTAGACTTTTGATTTTATTCTAAGTTTAATTAATACAGTATGTTCCAAGAGATACAAGAGAGTATTTTCACCAGCAATTCTTTTAAAAGAATCAACCAGCAGGCCAGGCACGGTAGCTTATGCCTGTAATCCCAGCACTTTGGGAGGCCGAGGTGGGTGGATTACCTGAGGTTGGGAGCTCAAGACCCACCTGGCTAACATGGTGAAACCCCGTCTCTATCACAAAATTAGCTGGGTGTGGTGGCAGTTGCCTGTAATCCCAGCTACTCGGGAGGCTGAGGCAGGAGAATCACTTGAACCCGGGAGGTAGAGGTTGCAGTGAGCCAGGATGGAGCCATTGCACTCCAGCCTGGGCAACAGAGTGGGACTCCATCTCAGAAAAAAAAAAAAAAAAAAAAAAAAAGATCAACAAGCAATCACGTAAAGGTTTCATTTTTGAAATGGATCATTCAATAGATGAGTAGAATAGCAGATGGGACACCAAAAAAAGAGCAAATTAGTGAGCTGTACAAAAAAAAAAAATTTTTTTCTCAGAATACAGGACACACACAGAAAAAGATGTAAAGGAAGAAAAGGAAGACTTAAATGACCCATCCAGGAGATCCAAATTTATTTAATACAAGTGTTGAAAGAGACTATTAGAAAAGTCCATTTAGGAAAAATGAAGATGGAGCAACAATATTCAAAACAATATAAATATAAACATATGCTTGAATTTTTATTAAAATCTTTAATTTATAGGAAACAGAAGAACTCCATATCTAATAAAGATACAAATACTTATCAAATAACCATTCATTATAAAATTTGGTCATATACTATACCACAAAAGAGATCTCAACATTTTCAGAGAACAGTCATGATACCAATCATGGTTTTGGACCTTATTGCAATAAAATTTCAAACAAATAAATTGATTCCTTTTTTAAATTCCATGAATTTATAAATAAAATATATTCTAAATAGTTTGAGTTAACAAAATCAAATACCATTTTACATCCACCAGAATGGAAAAGGGGTAAAAAAAAGACAATACCAAGTATTAAAGAGTGTGGAGGTGCCAGACGCGGTGGCTCACGCCTGTAATCCCAGCACTTTGGTAAGCCGAGGCAGGCAGATCACAAGATCAGAAGTTCGAGACCAGTCTGGCCAACATGGTGAAACCCTGTCTCTACTAAAAATACAAAAATTAGCCGGGTGTGGTGGTGTACCTTAGTTGGGGGAAAAACTGAGAAGCGCTGGTTAAGTGCACAGGCTCACCAGAAGACTCAGACTGTAAAACCATTTTCCGCCCCCAATACCTTACCGCCAGATCACTAAAGGTAGAACGGGATGACTAGACTAGAGCTGTCACTGGGTATTTTTCTTCCCTAAGGTAGGTTAGGCTCTGATGAAACCCTAGTAGGTTAGGTTTTTGTGAAACAGTTTCTTCTGAGGTCACACCTTGTTAAGAAGAGTAGAATGCAATGAAGTATTTCAGAATACTTTTTCCCTCCCTCTACCAAAAGCAGGAGGGGATTTTTCTCTGACACTCACTATGAAGACTTGTCAGAGCTCCTGGAAGTAAAATTCAGAAAAGCATGGGAATCTCCCTATGACTGGCTTTCCCTGGGGTTCGTAAACTGTCAGACTTGACCTCACTGCACCACCAGCAGTTGTAATTCAGGTGTTCCTTCCCTGGCATTGGATGGTCTGGAGATTTCTGCTCTTGGGTTTCTGCTCCTGTAAGTTGTGGTGATTCTTTGTAGTTGCCTATTTCTCTAATTTGGGGGGTGGTAGATTGCCCTGTGACCTCACTTCTCTGATGGATCTAAGAAGAGTTGCTGATTTTTCAGTTTGTTCAGATTTTTATTAATACTTGTTGTTAGAACACAGTGGCAACTTCTAAGCTTATATGCCCTATATTTTATCTTCTTAAATAGTCTTAGCACAGTAAGTATATAAGGAAACTTCTTTAACTTGAAAAAAGGTATCTATCAAAAACTTAGGCCAGGCATGGTGGTGCACACCTGTAATCCCAAGACTTTGAAAGGCCAAGATGGGAGGATTGCTTGAGCCCAGGAGCTTGAGACCAGACTGGGGAACATAAGGAGAGCCCATCTTTCCAAAAAAAAAAAAAATTAGCTTGGCATGGTGGCACACACATATGGTCCCAGTTTGAGCCCCAGAGGTTGAGTCTGTAGTGAGCTATAATTGCGCCACTGCACTCCAGCCAGAGCAACAGAGCCTAGATGTATAATTTACATGTAAAAATTAATATCTTTTCTATATTACATTAATTAGTGACCAGTTAGAATATATGTCAGAAAAAAAGTTATTTCCTAATTGTAATGTCCCCTGAAATTCATGTTTACTCAGAACCTCAAAATGTGACTTTATTGGGAAATAGAGTCTTTGCACATGTAATTATTCAAGGATCTCGAGATAAAATCATCTGGGATTTAGGATAAGCCCTAAATCCAGTGACTGGTATCTCTGCAGGAGAAAAGACATGAAAATTTTAGGGACACAGGGAGGAAGGCCATGTGAAGATGAAAGCGGAGATTGGAGTTATGCAGCCACAAACCAAGGAATATGAGGAGCCAGCAGAAACTGAACAGGGCAAGGAAGAATCCACTTCTAGAGCCACTGGAGGGAGTGTAGCCCTACCTATACCTTGATTTTTAACCTTTGGCCATCAGAACTATGAGAAAATAAATTTCTGTTCTTTTAAGCCACTGATTTTGTGGTAATTTTGTTGTTGTTTTGAGACAGGGTCTCATTCTATTACCCAGGCTGGAGTGTAGTAGCACAATCATGGCTCACTGCAGCCTCAAACTCCTGGGCTCAAGCAATTCTCCTGTCTCAGCCGCCTGAATAGCTGGGACTACAAGCATGCACAATCATACCTGGCTAATAGTTTTATTTTGTAGAGACAGGGATCTCACTTTGTTGCCCAGTTAGGGCTCAAACTCCTGGGCTCAAGCGATCCTCCAGCCTTGGCCTCCCAAAGTGTTGGGATTACAGGTGTGAGCCACCATGCCTGGCCTGTGGTAATTTTTTATGTCAGCCCTGGGAAACTAGTATGCCATGATATCACAAAAAAACTATAAATTACCTAGGAATAAATAAATATGCACAATACTTGTGAAAAAAATAACATTTTTTACAGACAAAAAGAAGAACTAAATAAATGAATAAATACCAAGTCCAAGGATGGGAACATCCACCATTTAAAAAAATGTCAATTCTCCAAAAATTAATCTATAAATTCAGTGTACAACATGCCTAAGGTCAAAATGATTTTTCATACCTTTACCTGGTGATTATAAAATTATATGAAACTGTACATTTTTAAGAATAACCAAGATTTAAAAAAAAAAAAATTGGGCTAGAACAATAAACTCATTCAACCTAATGTGAAGTTGTATTATAAATCTATAGTGATTAAAATAGTGAGCTATTGATACGATAAGTAAAACAGCTCAATACACAAAAGGATAAAGATTCCAGAAACAGATATATATATATCTGTTTCTATATAAGAAAGCCAATTGCAGAATATATAATATATAAGAATATATAAGAAAGCCAATTGCAGAATTATAAATGGCAAATGAATATCCAAAAAGTTACTTAGCTTCACAAGAATTCAGAAGAATGCAAATAAAAAGGAAAATAAAATACTCTTTTTTAATGCAAGTCTGGCAAAATATAAAATTTTTAAATTATATCTACTGGTAAGAATGAGGGGAAGAGGTATTTTCATATTGCTTATGTATTAAATTAGTATAACTACTCTGGAGGGCAATTGGCAGTATAGTCATTGATTAAAATTAATATGTGCACCCCAGCAAATCTAATTCTAAGCATTTATTCTATAGAAACACCTGTACTGTTGTATAAGAAACCACATCCAGGATTATTTATTGAAGAATTATTTATGGTAGCAAAAATTAGAAACAATCTGAATGACTATTCATATAAGAATGTAAACTATAAGATACATCTATAATATTTTATCAGTAAAACAAACTATGGTACACCCATTCAATGAACTATTATGCATCAAAAAATAAAGTACTATTAATACTTTATTATATTTATATATTATATTAATAAAGTACTTTAATAATACTATTTAATCAAAGAACAAAGTACCATTAAAGTACTTTGTACCATTAAGTAAATTACCAAATACGTTTTAACACTTAGTATTAGTATTTTAAAGTACTATTAAAGTACTTTGTACTATTAAGTACAAACAAAGTACTATTATGCATCAAAGAATAAAGTACTAATAAAGAATTAGAACCAACAAGGATAGTATGCATACGTGACCACCTGCTCAGAGATAATACTTAAATATTTGTAACAGTTTTATATGGTCTTAATGATAGACAGTATTGATAGACAGTATAATAAAAGAGTTCAGGTAGGTTTTATGCAAGTTCAAAAGTCTTAATGGTTACATGGAAATACATTTACTTAAAATTTTTTTTTGAAACAGGGTCTCACTCTGTCACCCAGGCTAATGTGCAGTGGTACAATCATGGCTCACTGCAGCCTCCACCTCCCAAGGTCCAAGCAATCTTCCTACCTTGGCCTCCTGAGTAGCTGGGACTGCAGGTGTGCACCACCATACCCAGCTAATTTTTAAATTATTTGTAGAGATGGCGTTTCCTGTGTTGCCCAGGCTGTTCTCAAACTTCTGAACTTTAGTGATCCTCCTACCTTGGCCTCCCATGCACTGGCATTATAGGTGTGAGCCACTGCTCCTGGCCAGATTTTCTTATTTTAGCCATAGAAACACAAAATTTAATCAAGTGATGTTGCCAACTGGGTGAGGAGTTCACATTCTAATCTGATTTAAATTATGAGTAACTGTAATGATCAATTTTATATGTCAACTTGGTTAGGCCAGTATGCTCAGATAGTTGGTCAAATGTTATTCTGGATGTTTCTGTGAAGGCGTTTTTTGGATAAGATTAACACTGAAATTCGTGGAGTTTACGTAAAGCAAATTACTCTTCATAATGTAGGTAGGCCTCATCCAATCAACTGAAGGTCTTAATAGAACAAAGACTGACCTTTCCCAAGGGAGAAGGAATGCTGATAGTAGACTGCCTTTAGATTGAGACAGTACCTCTTCCCTGAGTCGCCAGCGTGCAAGCCTTCCTTGCAGATTTCGGACTTACAAAGCCTCTGTAATTGCATGAGCAAGGTCTTCAAAATAAACCTCTCTTTCTATGTATAAATACTCTGTTACTTCTGTTTCTCTAGATAACCCAATGCAGTGATGATATGGCTAAAATCCAGGGATGTAAGATAGGTATGTGGCTAGCTCACTCTTGAGATTGGTGCATATCATCATGGTCACAGTGGTTCACTCATATAACAGTTTATATCCTCTGTTTGCTAGGAAACACCATCAAGCAAAGAAAGCAACCTCAAAATTATATAGCAAAATAAGCTCAAAAATCATGTGAGATAACGTAAGTTTTCTTTAGTAGGTAAGCATTTTTCAACCCCAAGAATATTTGAAATTAAGTATATAAATGTCAAGATAAATCTGTATTATCAACAATTTAGTATTAAGAATTTTACACATATTTATTGTCTATATACCTGTAATAATTTAGATTTGGTCTAGTAGAAGAATAGCTTATTTGAACAACAGTCTTGTGATTCTAATTTTAAATGTATTATTAAGTAATTTATTTAGACTTGTGAGTTTAATTTAGTATCATTTCTTTATAAACATTAATGGAGCGGAACATTAAGAAAACTTAAGAATCACCTCTTTGGCCAGGCTTGGAGGCTCATACCTGTAATCTCAGCACATTGGGAGGTTAAGATAAGAGAATGACTTGATCCCAGGAGTTCCAGACCAGCCTGGGCAATATAGTGAGACCTCGTCTCTACAAATATAAAAAAATTAGCCAGGCCTGGTGACACATGCCTGTAGTCCCACCTACTCGGGAGACTGAGGTGGGAGGACTACTTGATTTTTTGAGCTCAGGAAGTCGAGGCTACAGTGAACCATGATTGCACCACTGTACTTCAGCCTGGGCAACAGAGAGAAAGACCTTGTTTAAAAAAAAGAAAAGAATCAATTTATTTGATATATGAGTTATTTAAGTACTCAAAAAATTTTGTTAAATCACACAATGTAGAGCTTAAAAAGGAAAAAGAATATGTCAGTTTTTGTGAATACAGCTTGACATAAAGAAGTCTAGGTAACTACATTTATAAATTGGACTTCACATTAATCAAAGACCTCTTACAAGTGATTGCTAAAATTTGGTTTCATAGCCTATACCTTTAATAAACTGCTAATTTTTAAAACCAAAGATAACCTTTGAAAAGTATTTTCTTTTCTTTTCTTTTTTTTTTTTTAATTTTGAGACAGTTTCATTCTGTCACCCAGGCTGGAGTGCAGTGGCATGATCTTGGCTCACTGCAATATCTGCCTCCTGGGTTCAAGCGATTCCCCTGATTCAGCCTCCCGAGGCATGTAGCTGGGATTACAGGCATGCACCACCACATCCGGCTAATTTTTATATTTTTAGTAGAGACAGGGTTTCACAGTGTTGGCCAAGCTAGTCTCAAACTCCTGACCTCAGGTGATCTGCCTGCCTTGGCCTCCCAAAGTGTTGGGATTACAGGTGTGGGCCACTGCACCTGGATGGTAGAGTATTTTCTATGGCAAAAAAAAGTCATGCTTGGGGCACCAAAAAATTAGTTGACAATATTGCTGAATATATACACACACACACACACACACACACACACACACAATAGTACCATATGTTTCTACAGGAACTTTTTTTTTAATTACACATATGAAAATAAGAGAATGATAATAAGTAAGAAAATAAGATGATGATAAGAAAGGCATACATCTTAAGCTGAAAATAGTGTTTTCTTCTAGAAGAAAGCCAGGGAGACTATAATTTTACCAGTAACCTTTGAATATTTTGCAATGCAAGAGCATTCATGTATTGCCTGTGTATGGAAAAATAAAGAAAGCCCTTTATCAAGTTATGTGTACCTATTTTGGGTTCAATAATCTGGGTCAACATACTTCTGACCCTCTATCTTGTCTCAAAATGAGTCTGTGTCAAGGGGGTTAACCTTGCTCTTTTTATTAGCAACAGAAAGCTAATCTCCTAGCACTACATTTTCCAACCACCTTTCTGCTTGAGGAGCTTCACATAACGGGCAAAACTAAAAAATACAAACTATATTCAGAATGCAATTTTGGCACTAACGTTGAGAGTTTAGTTTTATTTGATAATATGACCGTGGCAAGGAGTGAAACATCTTCTAATGGTTTAGGGAATATTAATGAGAGAAGCAAAAAAGCATGCTTGAAAAGAGTCACTGGGGTGGGAAGCTATTGTCAATAGAGACCATATTTTCCAAATATAACCAGGAGAAAACACTTGTTATTTTCAAAGGACTAAAGGTAGAAATCTTCTTGAGGAACTAAGACTCTTGTTTGTTTGCTATATGTTGGTGCAAAAGTAATTGGGGTTCTTGCCATTACTTTTAATAGCAAAAGAACATGCAGGCAGGTTCCGTGTGAAGTAATAGCCTTTGAGGCATGGTCTGGAAGAGAAGGCAGAACAGAGAGAAAGCTGAAATCCTTGGCATAAAGCTTTCATCCTAGGGCAAAACTGGGAGGATCCTAATATTGAAGCTGAGTGTTCTTTTTTAGAGACGGAGTCTCACTCTTGTTGCCCAGGCTGGAGTACAATGGCGCAATCTCAGCCCACTGCAACCTCTGCCTCCTGAGTTCAAGCAATTCTCCTGCCTCAGCCTCCCAAGTAGCTGGAATTACAGACATGTGCCACCACGCCTGGCTAATTTTGTATTTTTAGTAGAGATGGGGTTTCGCCATGTTGGTCAGGCTGGTCTCGAACTCCTGACCTCATGTGATCCACCTGCCTTGGCCTCCCAAAGTGCTGGGACTACAGGCATGATCTTTTTAAAATTATCCTTTTTGATTTTGTCTTGAAGAAAAAATAGGCAAAATAAAGTGGCATTACTAGAGCTTGTATACAAAGGTTTGAGGAAGATGGAATATTTAATTAAAATTACAGCTACCTGTTGAAAACCTGTGCTTACAAAATTCTATTAGGTTATAAAATCATGAGGTTTTAATTTTATTTATTATTTTTTCTTAAGAAATAGATCAGTGATGCATATTGTCTTCCTTGATAACGCTTTAGTAATTATCTGTTAAGATTACCACCTTGTTGAAATTATTATTATTATTATTTTTTTTTTTGAGACAGGCTCTTACTCTGTCAGCCAGGCTGGAGTGCAGTGTCACGAACACAGCTCACTACAGCCTTGACCTCCCATCTGGGCTCCAGTTATCCTCTCACCTCAGCGTCCTGAGTAGCTGGATCTACAGGCATGTACAACCACACCCGTCTAATTTTTTTTTTTGGTAGAGACAGGGTCTCGCAATGTTGCCCAGGCTGGTCTCAAACTCCTGGGCTCAAGTGATCCTCCTGTTTTAGCCTCCCAAAGTGCTGGGACTACAGGCATGAGCCACTGTGCCCAGCTCCTTGCTGAAATTCTGTGTGAAAACTTGCCCAGCATAGGAGACAGCCCCACTTTGAGCTGGAAACCAGAGCCTGTTGCTGAAAGTTCTGATCCAACCTTCCTTTTCTCCCATGTGTTAAGCCTCAGAAGAACAAGAATCTCAGGCTTTCCAGGTGAGATACCCAACTGCTAAGCAGAGCTGAACTCTGCAGGACCCTCCAGGTGAGCATCAGCTCTCCTCTCCATGGCCCACCAGTGTCTCAGTGTGGCTGCAACCAAGATCATTTATTTTTCCACATAGTCAGGATGTTAGGTACAATTAATCAAGCAAAGACCAATTGGGATTATTTACAGAGAAACATTTTTCAGTGCTTTTCTGGAACAATAAGTAAATGGAAAGGATTTTGGATTTGCCCTTTGGAGACCAAAGAGGGGGAAAAAGGTGCTGGAGAAATGGATTGAGCACGAGGTTTCGGTGAGGACACAAATCCAAACCATGTCAGTATACTTACAGTGTACTATCTCCAGAATTTTACTAAAAACCCATATTATAAAGAATCAGCATAGGCTGGGTGTGGTGGCTCATGCCTGTAATCCCAGCACTTTGGGAGGCCAAGGTGGGCGGATCACCTGAGGTTGGGAGTTCGAGACCAGCCTGACCAGCACGGAGAAAGCCTGTCTCTACTAAAAATACAAAATTAGCCGAGTGTGGTGGCGCATGCCTATAAACTCAACCACTTAGAAGACTGAGACAGGAGAATTGCTTGAACCCGAGAAGCGGAGGTTGCAGTGAGCCAAGATCACACCATTGCACTCCAGCCTGGGCAACAAGAGCGAAACTCCTTCTCAAAAAAAAAAAAAAAAAAGAATCACCCAGCACTTTGGGAGGCCGAGGCGGGTGGATCACGAGGTCAGGAGATTGAGACCATCCTGGCTAACACGGTGAAACCCCATTTCTACTAAAAAATACAAAAAATTAGCCAGGCCTGGTGGTGGAAGCCTGTAGTCCCAGCTACTCGGGAGGCTGAGGAAGGAGAATGGCGTGAACCCAGGAGGGAGAGCTTGCAGTCAGCCGAGATCGTGCCACTGCACTCCAGCCTGGGCGACAGAGTGAGACTCTGCCTCAAAAAAAAAAAAACAACAAAAAAGAATCAGCACTGGACAAAGTAGAATAAAATGGAGTATGTGTGTAGTGAGAGGCAATAGTTCTAGCAGTCAGACATCAAAGCGGGGTCAAAAAGTTTCAAACGTGGAGTACAAGAGGGAATGAGCTAAAAAAAACAAGAGGTGGTGATTGGAAGATGAGATCTTAAAATTGTGATTTTGGAGGTGTTGTCATTACCAGTAATGGAAAAGTCTTCAAGTATAACCACAGGAGTAGGTGTCAAAGTGGAGTAGAGACAAGGTCATTGGAAGAGAGGAGATTATGGAACTGAAAAGTTAGGTATGAAAAGGTTACACATGGATGCTAAAATCACCAGGAATTTTGATGGTGTGTTATAAAAGAGAATGACTGTGAACCAGGAGCTAGAACCTTTTGGAACAGGTGGGAAAATGTCCTGGCATTGGGGGTCAGTAGATAACATGAAAGTATTGAAGAGACTATTTAGAGATATTGTGAATATAAGGGATTTTGCTAATGATTGACTATGATTTCCAGGGGACATAAGGAAGGAGTTTGGGGAGTTGGGGGTGAATTGGGAGATGGAGAAAAGTACCCAACCACATAGGGAAGAGAGTCTGGAAGATGAGGGTTGCTGGGGGAACCGCAACTTCTTTTGGGGACTGAAGAAATCTAGATCAAGGGATACCACAAATATTGGAAGTGAGGCAGTAAGCGCTGAAGAAGAGAGCGATCTTGCCAGAAGCACACTCCAGGGCTTGCTAGTCACTCCTGCTGCTGGGGGTGTAGAAAGCAGGAGACAGGCTGTCTTATGTCAAGCAAAACTAATAGGAGATTTCTTTCCAACCTCCTATCCCCATCCGCTTCTTCCAGTTGGTTTCCAGGCTCTGTGGAGGGATAGCAAATAAGGTTTCATTCTCCATAGACACAGAATGACTGCCTGGAGCCAGTATGAATTTCAAGGTCACATATACAGATTCAGGGGAAAGAGAAAAGGACACCTTTATGTCAGCATCTGCTTTCCTTGGTTTAAGGTGATCCCTAAAGCTCAAATCAATTTCTAATTCTCCATTCTATTTCTCTGCCTTTCCCCATCTCCTAGCCACCTGCATACTGATAAAGCTGTTAGGAATTCTACTTACACCACTTCAGGCTACAGCCTCAAACCTTCCTGTAAGTCATTTACTCAGATTGCTACACTCTCGGTTAATGATTCCCAAGTCTCCATCTCCAGACAAGATCTCATTCCTGAGCAGCAGAAACTTAGCTGCAAATGTTTACTGGGCCTTGAGCGCATCAAATGTGCTATGTCCCAGGCCGTACTCACTATTTTGTCCTATCCCTGCCACCCCAAACTGTTCATCCCCCATCCCAGTTAATATGCTCCCATTCACTCATTTCCTTCCATGTTTTTTCTCTTTTTAAAAAAACTCTAATCCCATAACAGATTACACCCGCATTAAAAAAAAAAAAAAAGAGTCTCATTATGTTGCTGAAACTGGACTGGAACTCCTGGGCTCAAGTGATCCTCCCACCTCAGCCTGCAGAAGAGTCTCTGCCCACCCCCATTTTATTAGCCATTTATATCCATTCAACCTTCAAAATTCATTAAATCTGCTCCTCTCCACCATCCCCATACCTCTGCCTTGTACACATCTGTATCTTCTCTTGAATAGACTCCAGTCCACCTTCTCAATATCCCCAGAGCCATCATAGTGACCTTTGAAAACACAAATGTGCCTCCCTTCCTAAAAAGTCATTAGTGGTTTTACATCATACACAGAATAGAGATCAAAGTTCTGAGCCCCTGTTACAACATTGCATGTTTGTCCAACTGCCTAGACTCTGACCGCCACCAAGGCAGGGAAGGTCTGCCTCCGTTATCTTTGAATTCCCAGTAACTGCTTGGATACACAGAATATCATCAATATTAAGTGAATTACTGAAAGCAGGCAGAGGAAAAGTATAAAAAGCAACCTAGTTTTAAACTCTCCCTCATGCAAGTTTATATGATGCAATTTTCTACAACTCTCACTACCAGCTCATTCATCTCTGCTCTGACCATGAATAGCAAAGAAATAGAAATCATATTTTATTTGACAATTAACAAAAGACATATCAAGGTGGGTATGTGGTCTCAGTATAAATTTTTTTATACTAGGTCCTGACCCTACCATTTCCAGGTGTATAACCCTGGGTCAGAGACTTAATCTCTGGCCTCAATTTCATCATTTATGAATTGGGGATAATAATAGTACCTAATTCAAATGGTTGTTAAATGAGGCAGTGTGTGGAATAAGAAGTGCTCAATAAATTATACCTGTAGTTGTTACTTCAGCAGACCCCTTCATTAAGCCTGTTTCATTAAGGCTTCTAAAAGGAGTAGAACGTACGGTTCATTCATGGAGAACTACAAACAATGCTGCTTTGGACAATGGAAAACGTGCATGCATTTCCTAGAAGAGGATGTAACATGTCTTTACTTTTTCCATAGAGTTCAGCCCATCCAAAGTCAGCCTCACATGGAGGTTGGGGAGTTTTTGTATCTTTCTCTTCCTGCTCCCCTCTTTTCTCCCAGTGTTTTCTTCCTCTCTGTCCTCTTCCCCAGGGTTCAATGGCTCCTGGAAGAGAGGCAGCAAAGCCTATAGCTCTCCAAATAAATAGGCTTGGGTCTCATGGGGACAGGCAAGCCAACTGGCCTAGACGTGAAGTTTACAAAGAGCCCTAAATGTTGACTTTCAACATTATCTCACAATTCATTTATTCATACATCACAAAGATACAGTGACACAACTGAAAAAACTCATTCATTTTAAACTTGAGTTCCATGACTGGACCACTCTTCCTATAGCAAACCAGGAATAAATATTTTTTATGAATTGCATAATTATTTTGTAACTAGCACATTACATTGTATTTTATCTCTGTTTATGAATTTGACCTCTACAAACAAGTTAATATCATTCAACCTATTATTTGAAGATGTTAATTTGTTGAACATAAATATTAAAAAAAAACTTTATGTTTCTGTTATGCCATTTCTTCACTTTTTAATATGTTGGAATTCTCAGAAAACGGCCTGGCTGTGGGGAGGTTTCCTTTACTCTTTGAGAAGCCACGGAGTGAGGCATCTACAAGGCAAATCTTTCTTTTGCTGATAATAACCATCTTTGATAGCATCCCTTCAATGCATTTTTGTTCCCTTTTTAAAACAGAAGTAAGGAGAAGAAGGGATAAAAGGAATATGGAGGGCCGAACTCCCTGTCACATATTATATAAAATTACAATAATCACGAGTCACCTATTTCACAAATTACTGTGAGCGTTACAATTAAGAATACACTGCAAAGAACTTTAAAGAGTTAAAAGTACAATTATGAAAGGCAGTGTGCTCCAGGGACCATTTCAGTCTGTGAACTCTTTGTTTCTGGTCCATGGCTAGTTAAGTATAAAAAATTGAAAGTAAGCATTTAGAAACTGTTACAGAAATTTGACAAAGTAATTTTATGTCTGTTGAACCAAATAATAAAAGATTTGGGCTTGTATTTTGTATGTCTGGTTTTTTTACTTCCTCTTCCAGTAAGTCATTTTCATTGCATTTTACAAAGGCCAAGAAAAACCTGTCCTTCACTGCACATAGTTTGAGAAGCACTGATAAAAGGTATTATTATTTCTGAAATTTTGCTTAAAAAACCACTTAATAACCACTAAATAAGTCAGAAGTCATTATTTGAGAAATACTGTTTCATACCAAGTATAAGGAGTTGCCAGCACACAAGCAAGTTCCAGAACAAGTTTGTTTTGTATTGAGTAACTTGGTTATTTGGTAGTCAGAAACCACTTTCCCCAGGAAACAAACGTAAACCAGGGGTTATGTTCTTGGTGTGGCCTATACATCCTAGTTATCTCAAAAGACAGCTAAACTATACTATACAATGTAACAACCACTATAACATTCTTACAATGGTTTCTGATTTCCAAATTAGAAAATACGTCTCATCTCCATCCCCATGTGAGGAATGACAATTCCAGCCCTAGCATGGTGGTGGGGCTGGGGGTAAAGATGGATACTACTTCTGCAAAAGTTGCTTCAACCGCAACATTCAGAAAGAGAAAGAATATGGGGGTAGAAGATTCCTCACACAGATTATTGGGGGAACTCACTGGTCATGTTAATAAAGTTAAAATAAGGTTTCCATTTCTCTTGATTCTCTGAGGGTGAGCTTAGGTAGGTTTTGGTGGACTTGAAAGTCCTGGCTCATTATCACAAATGCTTCCATGCTAAATCCCAAGGTGTTGTTCCTCCTGACCACCCAGCACCAAGATGGCAAACAGGTTTCATCCTGAACTGAAATCTGTTCCCTAGCTCAGGGATTCTTATTTCCCTTTCGTTGTTGTTTTAAAAAATTGTGAGGACAAGTCTGGGTGTGATGAGACACTTTGCCAAAATCAATTAGTGACGCCTACCATGGGCCAGGGAAGAAAGGAAAGTCAGCACAAAAGCTGGTTTTGGTTGTTGTTGTTGTTTTTGCTATCCTGAGACTAGCCTAAAAGATGTAGACCTCCAACCCTTTAATGTCACCTGGAACCAGGTTGAAGAACATGACTATTAAGAACATGACTTTTTTCTTTTTAAAAAATTGGGAATAGCAAAAGGGAAATAGACAGAGAATAGCATATACTTGGATATTCTTATTTGCCATCTATGTGGTTTCCTCATTTTGCGGAACTTGTGGAAAGACACGGTAGCCTGGCTCCTGACCCAGAATCCATGAGGCATAGTTGTATGTACTTCCCTTGGGGCCTAAGAGATTAAGAGAGAAGCCCAGACAATAGTCCAAGGCCCTCTGCTTTAGGTCTTTCTTCTAAATTCTGATTCTTTAATTTTTTTTTTTTGTTAATTTTAATTTTTTTTTTGTAGAGATGGGTTCTCCCTATGTTGCCCACAATGGTCTTGAACTCCCCGCTTCAAGTGATCCTCCCACCTGGGCCTTTCAAAGTGCTGAGATTATAGGCAAGAGCTACCTTGCCAGGCCTAAATTCTGATTTTGTATCTGAGGCTCTTCTCTTCCTCAATAATTGACACCAAAAATAGTCCTAGAAAGGAGATTCCACCCTTCTCTAAACAGTCATAGCCTTAGCCTATGTCAGAGTTCTTAACCCAGTGGTCCATTGATAGTTCAGAGGAATTAATGACCTTGGATAAGAAAAAAAAAATCTTGATTTCAAATGGAATTTAGCATTTTCTTCAATTACAAAACTAGCAGACAAACCTCAGAAGCATTTGCAGTACTTGTGACTGTTACTAATGGAAATAACAGTTATTTTCATTATTTCATTATAGTTGTTTTCAGTATCATGAAAGAACATTTGCACTCCTCTTTATTTAAAAGAATGTTGCTAGATCTTGTTATTTAATATGTTAAATAATGTTGCACACATTACATTACCACATTACTATAGCAAAAAATTATGTTTTAGATATTTTAACAATTACATTTCAATTGTTGACCTTTAATTTTAAAGCTAAGGCAAAATTAATGTAAGTAGAGAGTTTATTTGGGCCAAGTTTGAGTACTGCAACCCAGGAGTATAGATTCAAGTTTCCCTAAATATACACTCTGATTAGCAGCAGTTACACATAGATTTTTAAGGGGAAGGAAGAGGCAGTTCCTAAATTCCTTGCGTTAAAATAACATAAGCTGTGGATTGGTTATACTTTGTTCTTTGTATCATAAATTCCAGGAATATGAAGATAATGGGTGGGACAGCTACTCGGGAACAAAATGTCTTTAAACAACTGTCCCCAGGCATGGGTATTGGGGCGTGACTGAAGTCCCATACTCATGTCGCTCTGGGCCTGATAAATTTTGCATACCTCACAAAGCTCAGACTGCTCTCAGCTATTTTTTTTCCTTACAATGTAATTGATTTTCTTTGCAATCTATACATTTTATTCATTTATTTAAAATTTTTTTTTCTTCTTTCTTTTTTTCATGAACCGCACAGAGAAAATTTATGCATTTTATTGTAAGCATTTATAAACATTATTCTAAGAAGTTATCCACAGGCTCACCACTGCCAGAAGGGTCCACGACACAAAAAAGGTAATGCCTCATGGGCTTTCAAAGGACAACTTTTTACTTCTCTTTCTACCATCCAGTATAATCCAATATCCTTAGGACTGAAGCAGAGATACACACACACACAGGGAGAGAGGTGTTTGTGCTTTTTTTTTTTTTTTTTTTTTTTGGTGAGAGGCAGGTGGGAAATTGGCATCCACTTTTATTTACTGGTTCTTTATAAAACTGATATTTGTTGAAAATTGTCAAGTGTGACCATTTCTGCCTACATATTGTAGGGTGGCAATTAAATACCGAAAACCATTAGAAGCTTATTTCAGATGTACTCATTTATTGTAATGGTATCAATCTTGATGGGTAAATTTCATTTTACTTTTAAAATTGTATTTTAAATTATTCCTTCATGTTACGGTTGTTAGAGTAAAAACGGAAAAGAAAAAAACTACACTTCTTCCCTTTGAGTTTGGATGAAAAAGACGTGTCTAAGTCCTTAAGTCTGTAGTCTGGAAGTATTAATAGAGGCTGGGCATGGTGGCTCATTCCTGTAATTCTAGCACTTTGGGAGGCTGAGGCAGGAGGATGGCTTGAGTCCAGGAGTTTGAGACCAACCTGGGCAACACAGCAAGACTCGGTCTCCACACACACACACACAGACACACACACAACTTACACACACTTAGCTAGGTGTAACGGTACGTGCCTGCGGTCCCAGCTACTCAGGAGGCTGAGGCTGGAGGGTCCCTTGAGTCCGGGAGGTCCAGACTGCAGTGAGCTATGATTGTGCCAATGTACTCCAGCCTAGGCAACACAGCGAGACCCTGTTAAAAAAAAAAAAAAAAAGTATTACGAGGCACAGGATGTTTATTTATTCGCAACTACGTCCTGTTATAAAAAGTAGTGATTCCAACGTGAAATATTTACACGACGCATCCCGTTACTTTCCCTCCCTTGGCCACCGACCCCCATCCCCAAAAGCTGCTTTCTATGTAAGTTTCTCACTGGAATAGCGAGTGAGAAATGTGTTTGAAGACTAGGGAAACGAGAAAGGTATGCGGGCTGCTAGAGGGTTTCGGGTGGGTTGTTTGAAAAAGGAAGTGAAGGAATTCAAAGTTTCACATCATGAGCCTAATGTAAGGCGTGTCCGGGCCGTCCCGAAGGTATCTGGGGAAATAGGTTTGTGAGGACAAAGACCAGGGCCAGGCCCAGGGCGGAGCCTCCGCGGCCCCGACGCAGGGACTCGGCCTAGGCGGAGGACGGGGCGGAGCGCGGCCGGCACCATCGAGCCGGGAAGATGGCACCGCCCACGGAGCTGCTGGCCAGGCCGGAGCGAGGCAGCGCGCCCGGCTCCCGCGCCATGGGGCGGCTGGTGGCTGTGGGCTTGCTGGGGATCGCGCTGGCGCTCCTGGGCGAGAGGCTTCTGGCACTCAGGTAGGTGGGACTCCCGCGCGCCCCTCCTCGGCGGTCCCCAGGCTCGGGGTGGCCGCGTGGTGCGGGGAGGGCGCAGGCTGGGGGAGGGATTCCTGCGGGACCTGGCCCTGCGGCCGGGGGTGGAGAATTTTTGAATGCTGTCCCTCCCCCAGCTAGTTGAACCCCCATCACCCCGACTCTCCGCTTCTAGTGAAAAAACTAGCAAAGTTTGGAGTGAATCGCGACACTTTCTTGAAAGTTTATAAGCCCTTGCTGCTAACAAAGTTCTCTTCTGCTTAGGCTGACAAGAGAATGCTTTGCAATTACCCAAGGGCCAAACTAGTGGTTTAAATTGAAAACAAAATGACTACTCATGCATTGAAACCTTAACTATGAAGATTTATTTCAGGTCATTGGTGCTGTTTCTCCTTGTTGCCCAAACCAGACCCGTCTTTAATAAAGTTGTTCTCCACCCATTTCTGCATAGTTTGAGAAACTCTTCAGCTGTAGATCAAAGACACTTGAAATATTCAGCTACTGTTCTTACTTCCTATTTATTCACCAGGGAAGCCTGAAGCCAGAATGCCAGACAGCGCAGACACTATTCCATCTCGCATTTTAGTTTTAATGAAAATCTCTGGTAGGTAGACATCATCGTTTATAAATTACCAACTCAACGTTTGTTTTTTGTTTATTTTATTTTTTGTAGAGATGGGGTCTTGCTGTATTGCCCAGGCTGTTCCCTAACTCTTGCACTCAAGCAATCCTCCAGCCTAGGCCTCCCCACAGTGCTGGGATTACAGGTGTGAGCTGTTCTGCCCTGCCTCAACCAAAATTTTATAGGCCTCATGCAAAAGAGTTCCAGAAAGACTGAGCACCTGCTATGTGTAATGTTCTCTCTTAGGCTTCTATAGTAGAGTACGACCCTTATGGAGTTTGATACAGGGGAAGAGAGAATTAAAATACAGTAAATGTATAAATTAGGATGTTCTAAGGACAGACACAAATGAACCGCATAGGCTTAAAGAGGAAAGATTCCATCCCCTGAGGGTGGAGTTCTAGAGGGAGGAAGAGACATTCGACCTGACCTTGAAGGGTGGGTGCAACACATATGAGCATGAAGGGGCCCATGCCAAATGTATAGTGCAGCAGGAGCAAAGGGGCTAAGGTGGGAAGTTGGAAGACTAGCAAATGGGCCAATTTGAAGGGAGCATAAAGTCAGGAGATGAGAATAGTAGGGTGGTGGGAAGGATAGGTTTTGAGGCCATTAAATATAAGTTGAAAAATGGGGCCCCACTTTCATAGGCCCAATAGTGCTTCAAAAGGGAAATATTGGTGGGTTTTGCTTTTCAACAAGAACTTAATATAACTAGTTGTGTTTTATAGAGATAAGCCTGGAAGGGGGGATTGGAGGAGAGCAATGGTTCTCTGTACATTAGAATCTCCTGGAGGGCTGGTGTCTGAGTGGCACCACCAAAGATTCTGATTCAGCTGTTCTGGATCAGAATCTACAGCTCACACCTGTAATCCCAGCACTGTTGGAGGCCTAAGCCAGAAGATTGCTTGAGCCCAGGAGTTAGTGACAGGCCTGGGCAACATAGCAAGATCCCACCTCTACAAAATGAATAAATAAATAAATAAATAAATAAAAAACAAAATTTGAGTTGGTAATTTATAAACTATGGTGTCTACCTACCAGAGATTTTTCGTTATAATTAAAATGTGATATGGAATAATGTATTGTTTGGCAAGCTGGCTTCAGGGTTCCCAGGTAAATAGATAAATAAGGAAGTGCATAATGTAAGAACAGTGGCTGACAGTAGCAGTGGCATTTTTTATTTTTAAAAACATTCCTGATAATTCTAATGAGCAGTCAAGGTCGAGAACTACTAGAATAGAGAGCAGACATGGGGTAACTGGTTAAGGTATTGCAGTAGGTCAGAGAGGATAACAGGGACCCAAACTCTGGAACCCCAGGGATGAGGGAGAAGTCAAAGGTGCTACCAGAGTTTGTGCCACAGCTCCACTGTCCCATGGTTGTAGTTTCATCTACTGATAAAGCAGTGCAAAGAGGAAGCGTGTGGTGGCTGAGATGGGAGTGAGATTTGAGGAAAGAACGCTTATGGGTAGGAAATGGACATGTTGACCTTAATTTTCATGTTAGGTAATGCCCATTGTGCTCTACAGAACATTCATGAGTTGGATGACTTTGTATATGATCTGTCCTGCTCTCCATTTCAAAGGCAAGACCACCAAAATTCACAAGCTTATTATGTTGTCACTAATGTGTAAGCCACCAGTTTTTCTGCAAGTTGGAAGTTTTCTCAACAGTCAAATATTCCCCCTTCTCACTAATCTTAAGGTTTTAAAGTTATAGCTGCAAATCTAAAAAAAAAAGAAAAAGTAAATAAAACTTATTGACAGAATGCCTGATAGTTTATTTACAGGTTTTTGTTTGTTTGTTTTTTGTTTTTCTTTGTTTTTTATTTTGACACAAGGTCTTGCTCTGCCGCCCAAGCCAGAGTACAGTGGTACATCAAAGCTCACTGCAATCTCAAACACCTAGGCACAAGCAGTCCTCCCTCCTCAGCCTCCTGAGTAGCTGGGACTACAGATGCATGCTACCATGCCCAGCTAGTATTTTTATTTCTTGCAGAGACAGGGTCTCACTTTGTTGCCCAGGCTAATCTCAAACTCCCAGCCTCAAGTGATGCTCCTGCCTCAGCCTCCCAAAGTGGTAGGATTATACACATGAGCCACCACCCTCGGCCTACTTTACAATTTGATGCACCTTTTCTTTACGTGACTGTGATGCACTTTAATGGGCAGTGACTTTATAAAATGGTAACTTTATTGGATATGTGGAGCCCCAAATGGGCTGACGTGAGAATGTTGGGGTAGGTGGTGGGTGGCTGGATTTAGCAAAGAAAAATGTAGGCTACCCAGTTAACTTTGAATTTCACATGGATTTTTTTTTTTTTTTTTAGTATAAGCATGAAATACTTATACCATACTTTTAGCATTAAGCGTGGAATTTGGGACATAATTATACTAAAATATCATTCATTGTTTATCTCAAATTAAAATATCACTGGGTACCCTGTATTTTATCATATGTTCGAGTGCCTTCTGTCAGAATTTGGTGACCCTTTGAGTCTGTTTTAAAAAGGAGCATGTTTGGCCGGACACAGTGGCTCACGTCTGTAATCCCAGCACTTTGGGAGGCTGAGGCGGGCAGATCACTAGAGGTCAGGGGTTCAAGACCAGCCTGGCCAACATGGTGAAACCCCGTCTCTAATAAAAATACAAAAATTAGCCAGGTGTGGTGGTGCATCCCTGTAATCCCAGCTACTTGGGAGGCTGAGTCAGGAGAATTGCTTGAACCCCAGAGGTAGAGGTTGCAGTGAGCCAAGATTGAGCCACTGGACTCCAGCCTGGACAACAGAGAAAGACTCCCTCAAAAAAAAAAGAAAAAAAGCATGTTCCCACCTCCCCATAAGGAAAGGCTCTTCAGAGGAAGTTGAAGGAACAGAGGCTTTATGTTTGATTTTTGCTTTAATCTGATGCCTACTGTTTGATTATTCAATATTTAGAGATGGTACTTTGGCAATCAAGTTATTTCTCTCCCCAGGTTGCCCACTTCAATTTTTAGTATAAGGATGTCCCAGAGGGATAAATGCCATCAAAGTTGTCTTTCTTCTTCTGAACTGTAACTGGGATTCCACACCCTCCTTTTCCACCCCTCCCTAGTTGAGCAATAAAGGGGAAAATAACAGTATACAAATATTCCCAGGCCAGTTCCTGGTGTCAAGGTACACAGCCATGGATGAATCATGAGGCTTGAGTGCATCAGAGACCTAAGCGTGGGCAGGAACCCCCAGAGTACCCATGTGAATGTTCTGCTTGCTGCCTCGCACCTTTTATGACAATTCCCACAAGAAGCTATGTGGTCTGTTTCTACTTCTGAAAGAGCAGCCTTTTTCCCTTTTTTTTTTTTTTAAACCACCATCCTTTAAATCATTTATTATGTAACTCTTGTGTGCTGGTCAGTCAGTGTGTCAAAAGTGTAAAAACTTCTTTATTTATTTTTTTAATCTATCTTTTAAAAAATATTTTCTTTCTTTTTTTCTTTTTTCTTCAAGGCAGGTTCTTGCTCTGTCACCCAGGCTGGAGTGCAGCAGCACAATCATAGCTCATTGTAACCCAGAACACCTGGGCTCAAGCAATCCTCCCACCTCAGCCTCCTAAGCAGTGAGGACTATAGGCATGCACCACTACACCTGGCTAATTAAAAAAACATGGCCGGGCACGGTGGCTCATTACTATAATCCCAGCACTTTGGGAGGCTGAGGCGGGTGGATACCTGAGGTCGGGAGTTCAAGACCAGCCTGACCAACATGGTGAAACCCCATCTCTACTAAAAATACAAAATTAGCCAGGCACGGTGGCACATGCCTGTAATCCCAGCTACTCAGGAGGCTGAGGCAGGAGAATCACTTGAACCCGGGAGGCGGAGGTTGCAGTGAGCCATTGCACTCCAGCCTGGCAACAGAGCGAGACTCTGTCTCAAAAAAAAAAAAACAAAAAAATTTTTTTGTAGAGATGGGGGTCTTGCTGTGTTGCCCAGGCTGATCTCAAACTTCTAGCCATAAGTGATCCTACCGCATCAACTTCCCAAAGCACTGGGATTATGGGTATGAGCTACTGAGCCCTGCCAAATTTCTTTATATTAAACCAAAACGTACATTTACTGATATTTGGAAAGAAAGCTCTTTTACTTTTATGCCTTCATCCAGTCTTCATAGATATCTTCCCTTTTACATTATAACTGTAAATACTGAGGTTAGAGAGGTTAACTAGTTAGTTCAACAGAATAATATAAATATTGAATAATATAATTAATGAATAATTAGTGCTGAACCTGTCGCCTCAGCCAGGTCTCCTGATTCCAAATACAGTTTGCCCCAGCTCCCCACAGTCTTCTAGCTTCTCTGCCAGTGGAGCAAATTTTCCCTAGGTTTACAGGCCTAAGCACAGATTCTTAGTTACTTAGTGCAAGTATTGCCAGAGCCCAAGGGGTGAATTCCAAAGGGTTTTTACAAGGCTATACATAAAAGATAAAGCCCTGGCTTGTATATCACTTGCACATAGGAGATAAAGCCCCAGCAGTTGTATGTAAATTTCAAAAGCAGAGAAGTATGGCACAAAGAAACTCCTGATAGTAACACTGTGTTCCCACTTTGCTTAGGGGCATATTGGCACCGTAGCATGGTACACCCTTACTGCTACCTGCCATGAGGCCAGATAATAGCTAGCAGCCCCTGGTCTCATTCTACTCTGGATGGGTACTGCTGTTTCCTGAATGAAAGACACTGAGATTGATTTCATGCTAATGACTGTTGGTTAAGAGTTCATGCTTTCTATTCACAATAGCAAAGACTTGGAACCAACCCAAATGTCCGTCAATGATAGACTGGATTAAGAAAACGTGGCACATATACACCATGGAATACTATGCAGCCATAAAAAAGGATGAGTTCATGTCCTTTGTAGGGACATGGATGAAGCTGGAAACCGTCATTCTTAGCAAACTATTGGAAGGACAGAAAACCAAACACCACATGTTCTCACTTATAGGTGGGAATTGAACAATGAGAACACTTGGATACAGGAAGGGGAACATCACACACCGGGGCCTCTTGTGGGGTAGGGGGAGGGGGGAGGGATAGCATTAGGAGATATACCTAATGTAAATGACGAGTTAATGGGTGCAGCAGACCAACATGGCACATGTATACATATGTAACAAACCTGCACGTTGTGCACATGTACCCTAGAACTTAAAGTATAAAAAAAAAAAAAAGTTCATGCTTTGTGGACAGGTAGCCTGAGTTCATTCATAGCTCTACTATTTACCTGAAACCTTGGACTAATTATTTCACTTTTCTGTGCCCCAGTGTTGTAATCTGTAGGATGGGGTACTGCCTGCTCCACAGTGGGACTATGAGAATGCTTAAAATAATGCCAAGCGCACAGTCAGCTCAATAAATGTCATCTATGTAGACAATGAAATTCAAGCATAATTCCTTAAACCTTTGTGCCATACATCCCTTTGGCAGTCTGGTAAAGCCTTCATTCCTTCTCAGCATCATGTTTTTAAATGAGTAAAATAAAATATATAGGATTACACAGGAAACCAATTAAATACTGCTACCAAGCTATTTAAAAATCTATGATATAATATGCTTTTTAAATTAAACCCTTAAATGGATCTAGAGGTAGGTAAATGTCTAACAGCAGATATTTTGAAGTTGCAATGAATGTAAATGGCACTTTGAGCTATCTACAACTGAAATGCGATAGAAAAGTATCTATAATTTCTATTAGTGACAGTCACAAATACTACTAATAGTATTGTGGTTTGTTGCTTATACTCATCATCAAAGGAAATACTCAATTTGAGTTAAAGGTTTAAATAAAGATGTATTTTTCCCCCATCCAAGTTCATGGATCCCTGAATTCTACCCATGGATTCCTTGGTCACTGGACTCCATAGGGGTCACTTGGGGAATGATTGTGACACCAATGAAGGAAGCCAGCGGATACTGTTTGCTGTATTATACCTACCATAGGCTCGTGATGAGGAAATAATAAAATAAATAACTGTAATGAAAAAGAAAAGAAAGGAAAACAAAAGGAACCTAAAACAGAGAAGGCAAATAGCTTTCCTTTTGAGTGTCAATTTTAACAGACTCCCTGTGGTTGCGAAACAATGTGTCTGAGGCTGGCTCTGGGTTAGAGGGAGAGTGCTGTTATTGATTAGCAATTCCTGCATGACAGCAGAGTGGCAACAGCCATGCATCTCTGACCTGGCACAGTCATAAGCATGTTATAGACATAAAGTGTTAGGGAACAAATAGGCTCTAGCAAAAGTAAAGAGTGTTCCTCCTCTCATATCATCACTTATATGTGTTTATACCATTTATGTTGTATTTTTTACATGAATACTTTTAGATTTATTAATCTAATCCAAAAAGGTTTGTATAGCTTTCTCTATATTAAGAGAAATATATGTATTTCTTAAATACACAAAGTTCTTAAATCTGATGCCAGCGAGGATTGCTTCCAGCCACAAGTAACATATATCAGATTAATAGTAGTTCATTCAAAGAGGGATTTATTTTCCTCACATGAAAAACAGCTCTGTGGGTGACCCAATATAGAGCTTGTTCATTGAGCCAGTGATTATATCAAGGAACTGGGTTCTTCATATATTTTCATTCTTTGATCTCCCCCTATTGACTTTATAGCTGTATCTTTCTCAAGGATGCAGAATGGCTGCCGCAGTCTCAAACACTGCGTGTGTGTTCAAATCATGAAGAAAGGAGATTGAGTGATGCCAGCTAGCTCTCTTCTCGTGACTCTCCTTTGTATCTAGAACACAGTGTCTTTCCCCAAAACCTGGGTCATATGACTACACCTCAATACAGCGGAGTCTGGGAAAGCAAATATTTGCTTTGCCCACCACTACAATAGAAACGACAAGGGAGAAAGAAAGGGGGTTGGGCATGGCGTTAATTTTGTCAGCCGCTAGGGTCTGCCACCCAGAAAACAGAAGTCCACTAACAAGCAGGGAACTGATTGTTCTGCCAGGGAAAAAGTCTGGCAGTTTCCTACTGAAGAAATTTGGAAGTCTTGATGGTCCAGGAAGGATAAAGGCAAAACCTTCATTTTCTTTTATCAAAAAGGAAAGCCAAGAAAAAAATTAGTTAAGTAGAAGTTATGCACAACCCTCATGTAACTCTTCCATGTTAATAGCAGGTAGGCTGCATATGAAAACATGATATTATACAAGAAAACTAGTTGATGAAGATTGCCCTATTTAGCACCAATTACTTACGCAAACCTAAGTTGACTCTGAAACAGGAACCCCATATTAAACTTTTCAAACACATCAGAATATGTTACTTTGAACAGATTTTATTTAATCCAAAGAGATTATCTTTGAAAAAGGTAGATGGTAAACATCGTTATCCCTATTTTTGTATAGTCAAATAGGCATAGTAGTAAGTTGTGTAAAATTGACATCCAAACCAATGCATGATACTAAAACTTGGTGTACAAACAGCAGTTACATCCTATTGCTTTGTATCTACATCTGTTTCTGGAGTCATATAACATTTGTAGAATCTTGGAGGTGTTTTAGGCTCATCCTTATTTTATCCATAAAGAAGACTGACACCTATAGAGATTAACTGACCTGCCAAGGGTCATGGCAGTTTCACTGCTGAGACAAGAACACAGATCCCTTTACTTCTTTCTGAGAAAAGTACAAAGTAGTTTAAAGCAAAAGCTTCCCTGCTTCCAGCACTTCTGGCTAAGTTGCGCCGTGGGAAAATTGTTTTGTCTGATTCAGTTTTCTCATCTTTTAAACTGGAATAATGCTACCTAATTTACAGGGTTGTTTGAAGAATTAAATGAATGCATGGAGGTAAATCACTTAGAACAGCGGTAAATTATACTTTTTTATTATTTATTTCCTTTGACCACCCACAATTATCATCAGTGTCATCCTCATCATCACAATTAAGATTACTACCACATTAGGCTACATAAACTTTTTTTTTCTCTCTCTGTTTTATAATTTCAATTTTATTTTAGATTCAAGGGGTACATGTGCAGGTTTTACATGGGTATATTGTCTGATGCTGAGGTTTGGGGAACAACTGATGCCATCACCCAGGTAGTGAGTATAGTACCCTATAGTTTTTCAGCCCTTGTCTACTCCCTTCCCTTCCCCTTCTAGTAGTCCCCAGTGTCTACCATCGTCATCTTTATGTCCATGTGCACCATTGTTTAGCTCCCAGTTAAAGTGAGAACATGCAGTATTTGGTTTTCTAGCTTATTTTTCCTCTCTTAAATCACTTCTGTGACACGTAGGCCATGAGATTTATTGTATTTTTTAATGCCTTATTTAAAAATTTGTATTATTTAATACATTTAATGCATTATTTTTTATTATATTTAAATATTGATTTATTTGTACTTTTTGCCTTATTGCTATATTGTTTCAAAAAATTTAACATTATTTGAGTTACATGATTTCAAATACATACTGATTAACATTTTAATTAGAAACTTTATGTCTGATATGAATTGCCAAAATGTGTAGTTGGTACAACCTATGAGTCATTCTGGGTTATCTAGAAGAAACTGGTAGCCTGCCCCATACTCCAGAAGCCTTCCCCAGTGTCTAGACCTCAGAAGCTGTCAGGAATATGCACAGGAGAAGGACACATGGCAAATAGCTATTTCGTCTCTTAAATGTATGGTATGTGGGAACCACTGAAAAATGTAAAGTTTCTACAAGGTGCTATTTTTATTATTTATGGCTCTAGAGAACAGAGAAGGTGAAAAATGTGAGAGAGAAGGGAAAGCCAATAGTATGTGGCCTTCAAAACAAAAGATCCCACAGATATTGTCCCAAACTGCTTCCTGGCCCTCTAGAGTGGAGAGGGAGGGGGAAGACATCCTATTAGAGTTCAACATTCTCTTATTATTTCCTTCTTTTAATTTTCTGGGTATACAACAGCAAATAGTTTTGCTGAAGTAGTTACAGAACTAGTTGGTGTTCTCCAACCTTCCTATTCCAATACATACTGTCATGGATGGGTACACTAAAATCTCAGAATTCACTGCTATATCACTCATCCATGTAACCAAAAACCACATGTACCCCCAAAAGCTATTGAAATAAGATAAATACATTCTTATTTAAAAAAATACTGTCATAGGGATGCTACCTTCTTTTCTTTTTTGTTAGTAACTATTTGTGGGATGTCTTTGGTGTGTCAGGCTCTGAGCAATGCCATTTTCTCTTGGCTTCTTTGCAGTCTCTGTGTGAGGCTTACAGTCATTTTTCACGTTTGACTCTTCAGAAGGAAGACAGGGCTACTGGTTCTACATCTGGAACTCTTTTCCCACAACACCAACACTGAGAAATGTGACATGGTGCTGTGTTTACATTTGCATAGGAACTTGCATTATAAGTTTTATTTGTTGAGTTATTGGCTTTTTTTTTTTAATAACCCACATCAGTATATAGAACTTTGCAATAGGCATTTTTGTTTTAACTTCATTTCTGGTGCAGTTTTATTTTCCTACCCTTGTCTTTCTATTTTCTCTTTCATCTGCTTTAGACTTAAACTGTGTTTTATGTATTGCTGTAAGCCTCTTTAAACCCTTTCTAAAACAAAGCAGGGAATACATAAACAAATAGTTTTTTGTTTTTTGTTTTTTTTTCTTTGTAACAGAAATCGACTTAAAGCCTCCAGAGAAGTAGAATCTGTAGACCTTCCACACTGCCACCTGATTAAAGGAATTGGTATGTATATGAAAATGCTTGTTGGGCACATTGCATTTTTTGGCCATTAACATTAAAACACTCATTAATGGCATTTTAGCATGAAATTACTGCTTTTCAGTGGATAAATCACATTAGATCAACAAAAACCTCTTTGGTCAACCTCTTGATCTGATGAACCCTGTATTTATTCTTCTTTCCTACCCTCACTGTAAATTATTCTTTTTTGTGTGTAATTCTATGTTTAGCATTTGATTTCTTGCTTGTTTTGTGACTTCTCTGAACTATTTTTGTTGCGTCTGTATTGTTTGTCAGGTATGGCCGCTGCAGTCTGTGTTCTGTGAGCCTTGTGGTCAGCTAGTGAAGGAAGCTTTATGTAGGCAGTGACAGCATTTACCCTGCTCACTACTCTATAACTAGGATCTGATCTTATGGCTAACACGTAACTGACCAATATGGTTTGGTTGTGTCCCCACCCGAATCTCATCTTGAATTGTAGTTCCCATAATCCCCACGTGTTGTGGGAGGGACCCAGTGAGAGGTCATTGAATCATGAGGTGGTTACCCTGTGCTGCTGTTCTCGTGATAGTGAGTGAGTTCTCATGAGATCTGATGGTTTTATAAGGGCTTTTCCCCCTTTTGCTCGGCACTTCTCCTTGCTGCCGCCATGTGAAGAAGGGTGTGTTTTCTTCCCCTTCCACCAAGATTGTAAGTTTCCTGAAGCCTCCCCAACCACACGGAACAGTGAGTCAATTAAACCTCTTTCCTTTATAAATTACCCGGTCTCAGGTATGTCTTTATTAGCAGCCTGAGAACGGACTGATGTACCGGCACTTCACAATATGTATTGTAAAAACTTGTTTTTATTTTATCTTCTAAGCTATGACTGCAGAGGGGGAGTCTCCCTCTTCCCTTGACTTTATGTAGGATGTATTGTGGAGTCTGAGTCTTTGAGTAGGGGTTCCTAAGAGCAAGCCCCAATTTTGCTATAGATAAGGAGGGATCTGTCCAGATTCTTCTCCAGCACTGAGGGTCTCTCTGGTGTGTTTGCAGTTTTTCTCCAAGGTAGAGTCTGTGTCTTGCTGTCTTTTACCCTTTATCATCTACTAAGTACATGTCCCTAGTACATAATAGACTAGTAGTTAGATTATCAATGAACAATAAATATTGGCTTTCCTTTTTTTTAAATTTTAATTTTTTTTTTTTTTTTTTTTGAGAGGTGGCCTCACTTTGTCACCCAGGCCAGAATGCAGTAGCGCAATCTTGGCTCACTGCAGCCCTGATATCCTGGGCTCAAGCGATCCTCCCGCCTCGTCCTCCCAGGTAGCTGAGACTACAGGCACATGCCCCCACTCATGGCTAGTTTTTTATTTTTGTAGAGACAGGGTCTTGTTATGTTGTCCAGGCTGGTCTTGAACTCCTGGCCTCAAGCAATCCTCCCAGCTTGGTCTCCCAAAGTGCTGGGATTGCAGGCATGAGGCACTGAGCCCAGCCAATATTGGCTTTCCTTAGATATGGTTCATGGTATGATTAGAAACAAAAAGAATTAGCAGTCAAAACACCTAGTTTCTAGTTCTATTCTGCCACAATGTAACCTTAGGCAAAGTTGGTTTTTGTATTTGTCACCTATAATGATGAGTTTGTGATTAGACTAATGGTTTTTAGACTTTAAAAAGCCTGGGACCATTTATTTATAATCTTACTCTGAGAGCCACAGTGTGGAAATAACTAGACTGTCATTGAGTCACTTCTAGTCCTTTACAACAACATCCTTCTCTAGAGGTAGGAGAGACAATTTAATATTTTGTTTTACTCTTTAGAAATTAAAACTCGGGTTACATGGAAATGTTCTCTTCTCTGAATAGGTAACATTGTTAAACAAGTTTTGAGTGTCCTTCCATCTTTTTCTTTTTATGAATACTCCTGTACATAATTTTTAAAAACATAAGTGAGGTCAAATTATGCATAATATTTCAAAACTAGCTTTTTGTACTTAATACTAGGTTTTGGAAACTTATGTTTGTACATAATGTTACCTTTTCTTCACAACTGCACAGTATTTTTTGTGCAAAGTTCATATAAACAGTGTATGTGCAAACAATATAGAAAGATATAAAATGGAAAGTAAATAAAAATAAAAATCTCTCATCAAACTCTTCATCACCCCCAACAGAAATAACCCCAAAGATAAAGCTCCCTTTTTTATCTTTCCTGATAGTTTCAGTGCATTTGCAAACAAATATATTGACTCTTTTTTTCACAAATAGAATTTTAGTGTAAATATTTCACAACCTTCTTCATTCCTAAAACAGTGTGAGCAGCTTTCCACATCAGCATATATAGTTACTTTGTTCTTTTTAATATTTTCACATTCCATGATTTATTTAACCATTCCCCTTTTAATGTACATTTGGGTTGTTACAGTTTTTTGCAACTATGAACAAATCAGTGAACATCATTGCTGTTGAGTTTGTGTGTCTGTAGAATATGTCCTTAACAATGGGATTGTTGTTCCCTTAGAATATGTGTTTAGAGTTTTGACAGTCATTGCTAAGTTGCTCTCAATTTGGCAACAGTAATAAACTCAGTACCTCATAGTTGTAACCACATTCACTCCAGACAGAGTTCTCAGCACTCTTTTAGTAAAAATAAACCATCAGTTGACAGTGCCACCTTCAGAGTTTCTCTACAAATACCTTGCTTGCCTCCCTTTCTTTTTTTCTTCTTTTAAATCAGCTTCCTCAGGTTGATCTGCCTCTCATTCCTTAGGCATCTGTTTCCTATGTGTTCTTTCTCCTTTTTTTCATTGATACTTTTGTATTTCCCCAGTTCTACCTCCCCTCCCCTAGACTGGTTGGCTGTCCTGGAATTTCCCTTCCTTCTTTCAATTGCCCAAACACTAAGTGGGAGGAGGCAAACTCATATCAAATAGCAGATTGACTACATCTGTGCTGGATCATGCAGACAGTTCAAGAGTCCCAAGTAACTTAGCAGCTTCATCTTGCCTTCCAGCTGCAATCAAGAAGAGCCCTCTCAGAACTGGTCACTCAGCAAAAGCCAGATGGCATTAGTAAAAGATGTTGGGCAAGGGTGGGAGTTTGGGCCAGTGATCTCTTAGGTTACTTTTGCTGCTGAGTTAATAATTGTCACATTATTAAACAGCCCTTGGCCCTGGGAAGCCCACCTTCTGTGAATACAAGTCTCAGAGTAGACAATAGGGCACAACCAGCCATGTTACATGACAGACTGCCAAGTGCATTCCTCTTACAACTCACTGGGATGGAGCGCTCCTCAGAGAAAAACAAGCCCAGCAACATTTGTATTCTGAACAGGCATCTGTCTATGTTTGTGACCTTTATGTTGTGATGTGTGTGAGCTGCTGTCTGGAATTGGAAAGAATGAGGAAATATGTCACCTATGGCCCCTCTTGTGAAGTGTTAAATGCCTCTGAGGCACTTCAAAAGGCAACAGAGCGGAGAGGATGAGTGATTAGAAGCACATTTGGGATACATTTTTAGATCTAATTAGAATTGTCCTTTTTTTTTTCTTTTTTGCTTTTGCCCTGTGGTTAGCACACACCATATGAACGTTTGTCGAATGCTATGTTAGTGATGCATAATGGTTAATAATAACTTTTGGTTATATATCTTTAACAACAGTTGCTTATTCACAGGTCTTTGATAAGAAGAAATAACAATGTGCTGGACACACATTTCTATACAGGCAAAAGTGACTTTTTATGATAGAGAGGGCTGTTTCTTATTTTCTGTTTTGAAAACAGTAGTAGCTATGCACTTGAGGCCAACTAATCCCTCTAAGAGGTGAACCTTCCTTCCCCCTTGCCCTTGATTCCCATCAACACACACATACATATGCACACACTACCGTGCTTCAGTCACCATCACTGGAAGTGAACTATGTGCAACTTTTGGGTGCTTTATATATATCATATCATATTGTGTCTGCTTTAATAAATCATAGTTATTGACTACATATCATACAGGATGTGTGCCTTCTGTGGGTCAGAAAATAAGTTCACTATTTAGTCCTTTTCAAAAATTCCTTCCCGATCTATCTTATAGACAGAAACTAAGCTTTTATACACCCAAGATTTGGCAGATTAACATCTGCATATTAAAATGTCAAGAGCTAGTTAACTTTATTTGAGGCTTAAAAGTTAAAAAATCTGATTTTCTAAATGTCTGGCCTTCAAAATTTGAGTGGACTGTCTTTCTCAAGATAACTAACAATTTTATGCACTTGGCAGTCAAGACCTTTACAATAACTGCTGCTTGGGAGATTGAGGGGAAAAAAGCATTAAAGTTTGTGGCCCTTATAATCAAGTACTTTACAGTCTACTGATGGGAGAAAAGGAAAACAAAACAAAACAAAAAACCACTGTGAGATATAGATATGTCTTTTCTTTCTCTAGCAGATAAGTACCTGAGGCTCAAGGAGGTTAAGCAACTTTTGCAAATTCACTTTCCAATATAGTGTCTTTTCCCAGGGTGACTAATGTATATACTTGATGAGTGAACCAGAAAAGTAGGAAATAATATGTTACATATGGGATGCTCTATTGGGTATAGTAAAGGATGCGTTGCTGTTATAAAATTATAGTCACTTAGAAAAGAGATGTTTATTTTTATTTTTCTCTCATCAGTCTTAAGGTAAGTGAATGGCCTAGGGTAGTTAGGTGACTGTGTTCCATATGGTCATTCAGGGGCAAATGCTGATGAAGCAACACAGCTGTCTTCATCTAAGACTAGAACTCTGCTTGTTGCCATTTCCCAGCAGGAAGGGGTTGAAAGAAAATTTATGTAGATTTTTTTTTCTACCCAGTAGTTGCATATATATTGTATTCTCACATCCTATTGACCCAAACTTAGACATATGGCCACATCTGTCAGCCAGAAAGGGTGGGCAATGTTATCTATAGCTGTGTTGCTACGTGCCTATTGCTAAAAAGGCTAAAAAGGAAGAAGGGGAACATGGATGCTGGTGAACACTTGGCCACCTCTGACACAGATAATTGCTAAAGTAATAAGAAGAGATGGAAATTAAATGTGCTAAGCTAGGAGACTTTCTAAAGAAAGGGTTTGTCATGCTACGCTGTGCCATTCATGTGTTTTTTTGCTCATGCTGTTCCTTGTGCCTGGAAATTCTCCCCCTAATTCCCCTGAGCAGTGGATGCAGTGGATACCCTCCCCAGATCCCCCCCAACTTCCCTGAGTGTTGGCTACCAAAAGCTCTGAGTGCACCCAGGGAGCTAAGTCCTCCTGCCCACAGGCAATAATGGACTGACACGGGGTAGACTTAAAGAAATAAGAGGCACATCAATCAATTGAAATGTGTGGGACCTTACCTGGACTCTGAATTAAACAAACTGTAATTTTTTAAAGCTACACCTTTTAAACATGATTGGCTATTTGAACACTAACTAGATATTTGATGATATTGAGGAATTATTGTGAATTTTTAGTGTAGTAATGATATTGTGGTTTGTATAAATATATTTAGGGATAATATGATGCCTCAGATTTGCTTTAAAATAACACAGGATGAGGATAAGTGGTAGGACTGCAAGGGAAACAAGACTGGCCATGAGCTGATAACTGTTGAAGGTGGGTACTGGGTATATAAGGGCTCACCACACCATTCTCTTGATTTGTGTCTATTTCCCATAATAAAAAGTTTAAAGAGAGAGAACCGATGAAGGGGAGGGAGAGAGTCAAGCACACAATAAGAGTGACAAACAGTGCCAAATCAGCCCACAGTATTAAGTTTTCACATATTTACATAAATATCACCTGGAATGCAATATTGAAATTAATGTATATCACTAGAATAAAAAAAGTAAAGATTTAATAAATTTGTTTTGAAATAAAATAAGTTGAAATACGAAAAAGACAGAAAAGGTTTTGAAAGAGGTTTTAAAGAAAAGTGCAGGATATTCATTGGTAAAGATGTTGGTGAGAGGCTTGGAAGCAAAACTTCAGGGGAAAAAGACAACATATGGAATTGACCACAATTGAATTTACAAGTGAAGTGGCTTTACAGAGGAATCAGGGGATGTTTCTGAGAGAGGAAATTCATTAAATTCTAACTTGAATATTTTCTGTTTGCCTTTAAG
The DNA here is from genome assembly GCF_000001405.40 of Homo sapiens. Lineage (NCBI taxonomy): Eukaryota > Metazoa > Chordata > Mammalia > Primates > Hominidae > Homo > Homo sapiens. The sequence continues at coordinate 95,418,402 of NC_000007.14, read as the reverse complement.
TCAGAGCAAAGGCTTTGAGTCCCAGCTTCCCAGTTTGTGACCTTGAGCAATTGCTTAACTTTTCCAAAGCCTCCAATAGTCTTCACTCTAAAATAAAAGATAATCATATGAGATATTGTATGCAGGGTATTTACAAGGAGCCTGGTACTTGGTGTACCTAATGTATGTTAGTTATTATTATTAAATTAGAGGAGCAAAAATTTCTCTAGCATTGACTGCTCCTGACATAATCACACCGAAGAGGGGATACACGATGATAAAACCTTCCTGCAGTAGTGGCTATAGAAATGATGACGGGGAGAAGATCTGGAAAATATTCCAAAGAAGGCTACAGATAGATACATTTTTTCCATTGGAATTAGGCAATGGAGTTAAACAGAAGTTACAATATGGTTGAAATAAATGTATTTTTTTAAAAAAAGATTTCTCTTTCCTTAATTATTAAAAAATATACAATTTTGTAGAAAATTTTAAACAAAGTATAAAGAAAAAAATAAAAATCATTCATAATCCTATCAAAGAAGCATTGTTAATTTTTTCTATATATCTTCTTTTTCCACGTGTATACTTGGAAATTAAATTTTCTAAAATAATTTTCAGGAAAAACAAATTTTAATTAATTGAGCTTCTACTAAATAGGACTGAAAAGCAAAACCTGGACTAGAATTCTCTCTCGGTGTGTGTGTGTGTGTGTGTGTGTGTGTGTGTGTGTCTGTGTGTACATGTGTATGTGCTGTGTATACATGTGTATGTGGTGTAGCGTTCCCCTGATTCTTAACTTATTACCAGTGGACAACCACCGTGGAACTAGAGTCTAGTCATTCTTAACCTTTTTGGGGGAATCACAGTCTCTTTTTTGAATCTGATGAAAATCAAGGACCGTTTTTACAGAAACGTTCTCATCTGTGCATACATGAGACATTTTGCATTGCATAGAATTTCCGAGGGTTCACAGATACTTTGAAGCCCAAAAGTGATCCACAGACCCCAGATTGAGAACTCCTCCGCTATGCCATGCTTAAGCTTATTTCTGTGTATCTTCTTTCTGAGGAGCAGGCAGATGGGTCATCTTTACAATGTGAAGTTCTTGGCATTTTTATTTTGTTTTGTTTTTCTGCACTACGATGGAGCAAGCAACACTGGAGGCAACTGGCTAAATGCAAACTCATGAAGCAAGACCAAAATGGCTGGATAGATAGATGCTGTTTGGTTTTGACAACCTAGAAATAACCTTGAAGAAATCCTATGGAGAAGTCTTAAAGAGGAAGATTGGATTTTGTAGACTCAAAGAATGTGTCATGGTTTGGCTTAATCTAAGCCATTTTTATTCTTCTTTTCTTGTGTTTGGGTCTATTATCTGTCTGTAGAATTTATACAGTGAGACTGCTGGGGAAAGTCTTATGTCTAATTATTTGCTGTGCTGTGTGGAGTGTACTGCAGACAGTCAATAAACAATCAATAGTAATTGTAGCCTGCCTCAGAGACAGGAGTTAGAAACTTCAACTGGCTTAGGTGCATGGTATTTTTCATTAATTTTCTTCTGCTAGTTTTTTTCTCTAATTTAAAGCCTAAATTTAAAGATTAAATAGAAAAGCTTTCTTTGCTTATGAGCACAAGTAGGCACTGTTTTTAAAAGAAGGAATATATAATCCCAGGTGTTTTACCTCTGTTAATGAGAAAGATGTCTGTTTGCTTCAGATTGAATGAGCAAAGAAGAGGACAAGGATATTTGCATGGTTAAATGCCTATGAGCCCTTCCTTCAGAAAGTAATATTCCCCTGATGTCAATTACTTTTATACGGACATCTGGATGTTTATCATGAGAGTGTACAGATGTCAACTTTTTCAGTATTATAGCTGGAAATGTGGTGATAACTTGACTTTGATTTGAGTAAACATAAAATATCTAACATTTAAAGTCAGAAGTTCACTTCAGGAAGGGGTTTAAACTGACATTTATTAAAAAGAATGGTTCCTTGGAAAAAACATCAGAACCATCCCTAAAGATACAGTCACTCTGATAAAGTAAACAGAGTCCCAGTTATGCTCTGTGTAACAAATAACAGAACTTGAACATGACATTTATCTGTTCCTTAAACTTACAGAAGCTGGCTCTGAAGATATTGACATACTTCCCAATGGTCTGGCTTTTTTTAGTGTGGTGAGTGTCTTCTTCCTTCCCCAAATTCAGCAGAGGAGATACAAGGGTATTTGATGAGGGCTGCAGAACAGTAAGTTGCTTTTAAAATTCATTTTCCAAAATGCATTCTGAAGAAAAGAGAGGTCAAACAAGATCTTGGAAAACTTCCTCCAGCTTTTCTAAATGTAGAGATGAAGACTCTTTGCCCATTGAGATAGTGTTCTTTATTTCCCCATTGCATTGCACTAAAATATTCCAATGCAATCTGTGTTTTGTTTTGTTTTTTCTTTTTTAATTTTTTTTATTTTTTGAGACGGAGTCTTGTTCTGGTTGCCCCGGCTGGAGTGCAGTGGCATGATCTCAGCTTACTGCAACCTCCGCCTCCCGGGTTCAAGCAATTCTTTTGCCTCAGCCTCCCGAGTAGCTGGGATTACAGGCGCCCGCCACCATGCCCGGCTAATTTTTGTATTTTTAGTAGAGATGGGGTTTCGCCGTGTTGGCCAGGCTGGTCTCAAACACCTGACCTCAGGTGATCGCCTGCCTCAGCCTCCCAAAGTGCTGGCATTACGGGAGTGAGCCACCACGCCCAGCGCAATCTGTGTTTTAAATGTGCACTATTAAGAGGGATATTTGAGGTCTTACTGTGGATACTCAATACTAACATTATACTATTTTAAATACAGCATCTACTCATCTTTCTATTACTATTCAACTTGAAGCAAATATTCTTGCCATTATTATTTATTTTCAAATATTATACCAACCTTGCCCTTTTGCTTTCTTTCTTTTTTCCCCTGAATAGCCAATCATAAGTGGAAAGTCATTGAGTTTATTTACACCCTTCATTTTGCCTTGATTCTTGTAAGCTGAAAAACAATATCCTTTCTGGGTATACAATAGAAAGACTTTAAAAACAATTGGCTTGTGAATATTGTTGTGAATATTGTTGAAACTAGCTTGTAACAATGTCCATTCTAATTGGAAATCCAGATAAGGGGACAGATGAGGAGGTTCTGACCACCTACCTCCCTGGCTTGGGCAGACATAGGAGTTCTTGGCATCTTCATAGGTCCAGTTTTTCTGGAGGAAGAAGTAACCAACTCTGACACCTGACTGTAATTATTCCATTTCCTCTCAACATCCATTATTTTCAGGCTCTGAGACTCAAGAGGGATGTGAAATACTGGGAGATACTTAGAAGGGAGTCACCACACTAATAAAATAGTTGTTAGACTTATGAGAAAGGTGAGAGAACTCAGGTTGGAGTAGAATGAGAATTAGAACACTCTTCAGGTTCCTGATGGTTTTTATGTGAAAGACAGTGAGCAGCTGGTTATTACCACTGAGGCAATAAAGAGATACTGTGGGCTTTAGCAGAAACACCAGTATATGTATTTAGTTTTTAAAATAAGGTTTTAAAAGGAATGTTTTATTTAATTGCCTACACAGAATGAATAAAGTGATATTTATAGTAGGACTCTGGGTTTGTTTAGGAGCACATGCTTGCACATGTGTGGCTTAGGAAAAACCACTGGGACCACTAGTCTAAAATATTCATAAGTAAAGATGCAAACATTCTGAATAAAGTAGAAGGCAGTTGCATTGATTTTTTTATTTGTTTATTTGTGTTTTTTGTTGTTGTTTTGCAAGGATGTGTTCTTGGAGATTTTTATAATCTAGAATTCACCTATTTCAAGATTTCTCTCCAGCCCCCATAGTAATAAATCTGAAGTAGGAGGGATGAGGTCTCCAAACACATAAATCTACAGCCATTTTAGCTTGGGGGCATGTTATAGTTACAAAGATCTTATAGCCATATCAATAGAACTTTTTCTGCTTTTTTTCTGTTACCCTCCTTTGCTCATTTGACTTTTTTTAAAATTTAGAAACATTCCCAGTTTGCTGCTGTTTTTCATTTACTTGGCATTGTCTCTAATAAAACCTAGAGTGTACTCTCTTCTAAATAAAGAGGTCCTACATTGTGGAGGTTGTTCATTCTTCTTCCTAGCATTTTAGCTCATCTAACCCAACCTATTTTACAGTTATGGGTTGAGGGTCACCTCAAAACTAATGTCACACTTCATGAAGAATTGGATGACATAGAATAAAATATAAAAAATGTAAACAATGTGAGTGTGCTTAACACCACTGAACTGTACACTTAAAAATGGTGAAAGTGATGAATGTTGTATGTATTTTATCATAATTAAAAATAAATTTTTAAAAAGAGAAAAAATACTTAAATAAATAAGGAGTGCGAACATAACCATGACTAGTTATCACCATCTGATAGTGCTTCCTTTGCATGTAAATCATGCTTTTGTTTTGGGGACATTCATAAAGAATAGGGATTAACTGAAGTGGCACTGCCATGTAACAATAGCATAATTCCAGTTTGTTCTACTTACCAGGCTTGCCCTCCATGAAAATATACAATTGTAGATAATCTTTTTTAATTGGAGAGATTTCCTCTTATGTCCAATTTTATACATAAAGTAAGACTTTTTTATTGTGTGCCTAAATTTGTGTAAATATGACTGCATCGTATTAGTAAACTGAATTAGGTAGTGCATTCACATAAAATTTAACATCACCAAGAAGGCTTTACCTTAAGAATGTAATGATGAATCACCATTTTAGATAGACTGATAGGTAATTTATTAACTGATTTAAAAGAGAAAAGACCTATATCATCTCAGTGAGTACCAAAAAGCATTTAATAAAATTCAATACTCATTCCTAAAGTTCCAAGCAAACTAGAAAGATAAGGAAAATTCCCACAAAACTACAGCAAACATCATTCTTGATGGTGAAGCATTGGCTGCATTTGCATTAATGCTCAGAACAGGAAGAAAATACCCAACACCACAACCATCAGTAATCTACTAGAGTTCTTAGTAATTCAGTAAAACGAGAAAAAGAAATGTGAGATAGAAAAGAAAAAGACAAAACTGTCATTAGAGAAGCAGGGACTGGCTCAATTGCCCAGGCTGATGTGCAGTAGTGCAATCATAGCTCACTGCAGCCTGAACTCCTAAACTCCTGCGCTCAAGAGGTCCTTCCACCTCAGCCTTCCGAGCAGCTAGGACTACAAGTGCTCACCATAACACTCAGCTAATTTTTTTTTTTTTTTTTTTTTTTTTTTTTGTAGAGACAGAGTCTTGCTATGTTGCCCAGGCTGGTCTCAAACTGCTGGCCTCAAGCAGTCCTCCCACGTCAGCCTCCCAAAGTGCTGGAATTATAGGCATGAGCCACCAGGCCTGACCTAAAGCTGTAGTAATTTAAAAAGTGTTATATTGGCACAGGAATAGACATGAGACATTAAAATAACAAAACAGAGAGTCCCTAAATAGACCAATATGTAAATGTCAGAGATCTAGCACATGATAAAGGTGATATTTTGAATCAGTGGGAGAAGGATGGACTGTATGCCAGGCACTGTTCCAGGCACTGGGATCTAGCAGTGAACAAATTTCCACAGTCAGTATGTAGATGTCACTTTTCTCCACCCTCAGCTCTCCCTGGAATCACCTAGTCCACCAACCTTCTGATTACTCTCTGAAGAGAATAAATCCCTGATCTTCTTTTCAGTTATTTTCAGGCTTTCAGTATTCCACCTCCCCGTTATTATTTTTTCTGTTATCTTTTCTCTGTTTTTTGAGTTTTTGTGGCTTTATGCCACTACTTTAACCACAATCTCTATTTATCCTTCATGTACAGTTCCCATGTTAGTCCATAAAAATACTTAAGCTTTTGTATTTAACATTTTTCACCGTTTTGGAAAGGGTCTAAAATTCCCAGGACTCCACAGCTTTGCACCAGATAAGCCTGGAGGAATACTAATGATGGATCTAAAAGAAGAAAAACCAAGGGCACGGGAATTAAGAATCAGTCGTGGGTTTGATTTGGCCTCATTCAATCCACATGGCATCAGCACTTTCATAGACAACGGTAAGAGCCAATGGGCTACCAACATTTAGTAACGTGTGATGGTTCACAAATGACTGTGAAAAATAGATTTGGATCATATTTCTAGGAAGAGAAGAACAATTAACTCATGAGTGATTTCTGTATTCTTCATTACAAAGAACTTGTTCATTTGCCTCTTCAGCTGGCAGTAAGTTATGCTACATTTTGAAATTCCTAACAGGTAACACCTGAAAGAATGTTTAGATTTCATAATCTTTTCATATACCTACGATCATCACATTTAAAAAAGAACTGTATTTTTGAATTAAAGTAGAAACAGATTATGCATGAATTCTGTATATGGAGTAGGAAACACTTTCTTAAAGGTCAGGGAGCCAATGATCAGAAATAACACCAGACGGACAGCAATAGGAAAGACAGAGAATGATCTGTTAGGTCGTCTAACAGCTTATACATTCAACCTTTCCTTGCCTGTGGTATTTAAATGTCAGTGCCTGCCCAGAGGTCCCGTAGTTATGTCTTGTAAATTAACTCTGTTCTTTCAATTCTTTAGATGACACAGTTTATCTCTTTGTTGTAAACCACCCAGAATTCAAGAATACAGTGGAAATTTTTAAATTTGAAGAAGCAGAAAATTCTCTGTTGCATCTGAAAACAGTCAAACATGAGCTTCTTCCAAGGTACTTCCTCATTTTGTTCCTTCTCTAATTTATCCCCAGCATTTGCAAACAATCCCTATGGTGGGTTGTCCTGTCATCTTTTATAAGCGCTAATGTATATATTAGCTAATATGTAAGAGCTAAAGAGCTTATATTTCCTTATTTATAAATGTGTGTGTATAGTTTCCTTATAAACCAGGGCAAGCATGGCATATGAAAGTTGATGTCACTCATACTATTCACTGTTCTATGCGGACTCCTTTGAGAAATGATGAAGTGCCCGACTACAGGGTGATACTCTTCAGGCCCATCTTGAGGGTAGAAGGCAAACCCTAACATTTTTTCCTGCTGTCACCCTCCATCTTAGATGACTCATCACCCAGATGAGTGTCTTGCCAAGGAAGAATGGCCTGTTTTTTATTGGGTTTGTATGCTTTGCATGGGACTTTATACCAATCGCTTTCATAGGGTTAGTGATGGTTGCATGCTAGTAATCCCACAGAATTAGAGCCACTCAAGTTGAGAGTGAGTCATTACACTTCAAGAACATAAAGCTGGTTGAAAATGTGGCTAAGAGAGAATCATGTGTACCCCCACCCCCAGTTCAGTGTGTATTAGCCTACTGCTTCTTTTAGTTTAAACTTGATGAATATTTTTAATTTCTAATGAAATTTCATTTCTAATGAAATTAAAAATATTGCCTATCTAGGGCCTATCTATGCCTATCTAGGGCATAAGCATGTAACTTCCAATCATTCCTTCCAAAAATGCACTTGATAAAAAAAAATAGGAGCATAAATACCATCCAAGCATTATGGTGCTCTTTCAGAAAAATGAGACCTACCTTCCCTGTAGCTCTATATTTTTCATTTAGCAAAGAATAAAGCAGCTCTTTCAGAAATTTTTGCATAGAGTAATTGGAATTTAAATTTAATAACACCCTCACCTAACTGGTCTTAAAATGAAATTGTTTTTAGCATATAAATCTCTCACCTGAAGCATTGTACTATGGCAATTTTATCATCCATCTCTCTGCAAGTGTTTATTGAGTGCCTGTTCATTCTCGGCATGTCAGCTTTGTGAAGCAGGTAGAAATTGAACAGTCAACCTTAGTTTGACTAATAACTAAGCCAGGGAAATTAGAAAAATCCAGGAACTGAGTAAATGGAAGCTAGGTAAATGTTACTGACTGCCTAACCAGCTCACCAGCCAATCAGGCTCTCTCCAGCTCTGTACTGTGGACAGCTCTGTCCTTACGTATAATTGTTAAACCCTACATTTCTTGCTGTCAAAAAACATGCCCTGATGGCACTAAGTTCTTTCTTCTCTTATGGTAATCCTGCCATAATTGCTAAATGACCTGTGTTCAGATTACCTGGTACCATACAAAATTGTTCTCTGGCAACAATATTATAGTATATTGTATATGACTATAGTCGTGATTTTTAGCTCGTCTTTTCCTCTTACCAAAAATTTAAAGCACATGTTGCATAAATCTTATGAGTACTTAATATTTAATATGGAGACCAACAGGCCTTTTGTTTCCTCTCACATGCTATTTTTCTTTTTCAGTGTGAATGACATCACAGCTGTTGGACCGGCACATTTCTATGCCACAAATGACCACTACTTCTCTGATCCTTTCTTAAAGTATTTAGAAACATACTTGAACTTACACTGGGCAAATGTTGTTTACTACAGTCCAAATGAAGTTAAAGTGGTAGCAGAAGGATTTGATTCAGCAAATGGGATCAATATTTCACCTGATGATAAGTATGGCCCCTTATAGAATATCTTCATTTTTCTTCAGTTGTGGTGCTGGCCAAATTCTTTACTTTGCTTTCTTTGTCAATGTGAAAATAGTTTTCTTGACATTTATGGTATATTATACATATAATATATAGATACACTATATATATAATTATATATGTTTTGTATATATATTTACATATACTTAGTCACATGTATTTATATGCAAATACAATACCATATTTAAGTAAACTATATAATACAGTAATATATATGTATTTATATATAATATATAAAGTTTGGAATACATCATTGTCAAATTTAATTTTATAAATATAAATTTTAAAGTGTGATCATACTGATGCATACATATTGAAGTATCAGGTATTTCCTTTTAAATAAATGTATTATTTTTATTGGCTATACATTATTCCATTATAAGGATGATCTTAAACTAATTTAACCAATTCTCTATTGATGGATATGTGTATAGGGGTGGGGAGTTCTACATAAAAAATATTTTATACTTCTTATTTACCATGGAATTTTAAACAAGTATTTTTTTTAAAGAAAAAGTCCCTAGGAGAGTGTTTTTTTTTTGTTTTGTTTTTTGGAGATGGAGTCTCACTCCGTCGCCCAGGCTGGAGTGCAATGGCATGATCTCAGCTCACCTCAACCTCCGCCTCCTGGGTTCAAGTGATTCTCCTGCCTCAGCCTCCCAAGTAGCTGGGATTATAGGCATGCGCCACCATGCTTGGCTAATTTTGTATTTTTAGTAGAGATGAGGTTTCTCCATGTTGGTCAGGCTAGTCTTGAACCTCCAACCTCAGGTGATCCGCCCACCTCAGCCTCCCGAAGTGCTGGGATTACAGGCATATGCCACCACACCTGGCTCTAAGAGAGTATTATAACATAATGGTTAAACTTGCAGATTTTGGACTCATACAGGCCTGGGTTCAAATCCCACCCAGGGCACTGGCTAAATGGTTCTATGAGCTACTTTTCTGTAGAACAGACCCCTAGAAATAGAACTATTTGCTCAAACAGTGTGATTCTTTTAAATGTTAACTTTAATAGATATTGCCAAATTGTCCTCCAGAATTATCTCATTATTTTTATATGCACAACCACAACCTATAAGAGAAGATATTAAATTCTTGATAGCTTTCTTATCTACTGCCTCAGCACACTGAAAAATTTAAACTACTACAAATACAACATAAAATAAATTTGGCACTCCTTGACAACTAAATGCCCTTATTTTTGTAATCCAATTTCTCCTCCTTTCTTGTTGACTATAGAAAAAGAATGTAGAATCATTTAATTTAAATTGTCTCTAACTGACCTGATCCAACCTCTGCAGCCAAATCTGTTTTTCACTCTTATATTTCCATTATGAGAGTCAAACTTTCCAATCACCCAAGCTAACAAAAAAATAACAATAATGAAAAGGGAGAATCAGCTTTTACTCCTCTTTCACCATTCCTATCCAGCCTGTAGGCAGGTCCTGTTGGTTCTACCTGTGCCTCCTTCCTCTACCCCCAAACTCCTTTCCCTTTGAGTGAGACCTGCCTAATTTAGGTTGTCATCCTCTCTGACTAGCATATGAGACTTTCTTCCAATTTGTTTTCTGTCTACTTGGATTTTTTTCACTCTTGCCAATTTTGTCTGTCTATCTCTATTAGCCTTGAAGGGCTCCCCAAAGAGGGAACTCTGTCTTCCTCACCTTTGACTCCTTATGCCAGTACAGTGCCAGGCACAAAGCAAATGCTCAGGAATTGTGGAACAGAACTGACCATTTGTTGCCACTTTATTATTCTAAGATTTCAGTGGAATCCAATTGCTTATCAAATCAAGGCAGGGTAAAGGGTTGGACTTTGTTTAACAGGCCACCTCCAACCTCCCTTTTCTACTATTTCCATGCTTTCTATGCTTTAGACAAAGAACTCATTGTTTTAAACATTCCTTCCTCTTCTTGCTCCTGTGATTCTGCTCTTGTGCTTGCTTCTGCCTGGGAAGTGCCTCCTCCGTCCTCATCTCAAATCTCATCTCTCTTTACACAGCCACTGCAGATGCCCCTTCCTTGGTGAGCCTTTCTGTGTCCTCGGAAGTTAGCTATTTCTAGACCTGAACTATTTCTCATGCTTATTAGGTGTTTAATGTGTACAAACCAGTGAGATTTGTTCCAACACACTATAAACTTTCAAGGAGAGAGGCTGTGTCTTCTTCATGTTTATATCTGCTGCAACACTGAGTTCATGGCTTTTCACACATAATTGCTCAACAGAGCAGGTGCCATGGAAAGTCAATTCAATGAGTAAAATTACCTCAAAATAGTCTGTTAATTCACTCACCTTTGAAGTAGACAGATTATTCTGCATTGATACTTATCTCTTACTCTTAAAATTCGCTATGTATTAATAAATATTTTATTGAATATTAAGGAATGATCACTATTTTAATAAGATGTTCTTTACCATATATTTCTATATGTACATGATAATTAGAAGTATCAAATTATATTGTGGAATGTAAAAGCTTTTCTTCTGAAGCCAAGCATTTGTTTTATTGTCATTTCAGTGGCAAATATGGACTTCATATTCAAAATGATGTTCTATATTATTTTTCCTTACAAGCTTTTTGAAAAACAATTTAATAATTCCATGATTGTTGTAGCACCACTGAATTGATTCTGAAAGCTTACTTTTTAAATAAAAATTGACCTTTATCAAGCATTCCTTGAGGGCCCATGATTGATTAACTTCTTGGCAGGTTATTAAGACTTATTCTTTCACACTGTATTAATGAAGCTTTATATTGGCATGGAGCTCTAACCACTGTGTCCTTTCTGCAAAGGTATATCTATGTTGCTGACATATTGGCTCATGAAATTCATGTTTTGGAAAAACACACTAATATGAATTTAACTCAGTTGAAGGTAAAATATTTATTTTTACATATAGACAGTAATCTATTATGCTTTGCAATGACATAGTTTTTCTATAAGAGTACCACACGTAGAACAAAATATGGATGCCAGTGTAGCTATTCTGGGTTTTTAAATACTCCCTACAACTAGAGAAAGCTCCTGTTTCCAGCGATCTCAAGAACTGACCATGATTACATGCAGCAGCAGGTTGAGAGTGATATTCATCAGATTTAGGGCCCATTCCATGAAGTATTGATGGCAGTGGAAGAATTCCAATAAGAATTTTCACAATTGAAAATACTAATAGATGAATTCTCAAATGAAGGTTTATGCACAGTGTCAGTTCTTTCAATAATACATGAAGGTAGAAATTGGGTTCCACACCATTATTATTTTCTTCCTACTCAACAACACATATTTTAGGTTGATTAAGAATTTCCTATCTTGCTTTGATTGAGTTCCTTGAGCTAACTGATCATTGTGCATCTTTTAAAGGAAAAGGAGTTCAGTTTTTAAGATAGATTTTTACAGAGACCGATTATCACCCTAACTTTCTTAATTTCAGGGAAGAAGAAAAGTGGCTCCAAACCAGTTTTTAATACATTCCTTTTAAGCAATATTGGTGTTAGAAGGTGGAAGCAGGGCGATGTGTAATTTCCTCACATGCATAGAGGCAGGAAGGTTACCTCTAAATTATTTAATCAAGTTTCTCATGTCATTTAGATTTTGACAATTTCTCATTTGGAAGGTACTTGAGCTGGATACACTGGTGGATAATTTATCTATTGATCCTTCCTCGGGGGACATCTGGGTAGGCTGTCATCCTAATGGCCAGAAGCTCTTCGTGTATGACCCGAACAATCCTCCCTCGTCAGAGGTTTTTATATTTTCAGTTTTTTAAACTTAATTATTCAAGTCCTTTTGAACTAATAATACAATAAATTGTCACAGGGATGATTTGTTTAGTTATTTTAAAGCAATAATATAATAAGCTTATGTCGTGGTTTTGTAATTGCGTTAAGCCAATAATTGGCAGAATGTTACATTGTTCAAATACTTTAAGAAAGGTAATCTTTTGATGTATTAAATTATGGTGGAAACTAGTCAAAAGGCATTTTTATAAAGACATGTGCCCTTCTTGGGTGGTATACTGGCAATTTTTAAAATATCTGATTTATTGTCAGCTCACCACATGATGTGATATTTGTTCATGTTGAAGTAGTGTGAAAGTAGGCACATTAGTATGAAAGTATTTCTATTAAAGCTGAATTGCTATAATAACACTAAATCCTGTGTTGGCATGGAATAACTAGATGGTTTTAAGAAAGTACTTTCTTTGAAGATTGGAGAAAGTACTTTAATTTAAACATTAAAAAGATTGGTAACTGCTATTTTCAACAGCATGTCCCCTTAATCAGTGTGTCATTGTGGAAAACAGGGCTTATTGATGATTGAGTGACATGCATGTACGGTGGTCTTATATTCATACTTTGTATCCCCTGAATAGGTTCTCCGCATCCAGAACATTCTATCTGAGAAGCCTACAGTGACTACAGTTTATGCCAACAATGGGTCTGTTCTCCAAGGAAGTTCTGTAGCCTCAGTGTATGATGGGAAGCTGCTCATAGGCACTTTATACCACAGAGCCTTGTATTGTGAACTCTAAATTGTACTTTTGGCATGAAAGTGCGATAACTTAACAATTAATTTTCTATGAATTGCTAATTCTGAGGGAATTTAACCAGCAACATTGACCCAGAAATGTATGGCATGTGTAGTTAATTTTATTCCAGTAAGGAACGGCCCTTTTAGTTCTTAGAGCACTTTTAACAAAAAAGGAAAATGAACAGGTTCTTTAAAATGCCAAGCAAGGGACAGAAAAGAAAGCTGCTTTCGAATAAAGTGAATACATTTTGCACAAAGTAAGCCTCACCTTTGCCTTCCAACTGCCAGAACATGGATTCCACTGAAATAGAGTGAATTATATTTCCTTAAAATGTGAGTGACCTCACTTCTGGCACTGTGACTACTATGGCTGTTTAGAACTACTGATAACGTATTTTGATGTTTTGTACTTACATCTTTGTTTACCATTAAAAAGTTGGAGTTATATTAAAGACTAACTAAAATCCCAGTTTTGTCTGTGTTTAATTCTGAAGGCATATGGCTAGGAGAAATGGGAAAGCAGCTGCTTCCTTATGGAGTTTGGATAGGCAAGCATGGCCATATTAATTTCTCTTGTGGAAAGCTGAAAGTGAATGGACTCTTAATTTGAAACAACAACAACAAAAATCAATGAAATATTGCAACTCAAATTCCCAGTTCCTAAGGAGGTTTCCATCAGCTCTCTTCCTTAATGGGAGTCCACTTTAGAGACAAAGAGGAAATAAGGGTTGGGACAGGAAGGTCTTGCCACCTCCTCATTGAACAGAACTGTGAACTAAAGCCAGGAGAATGAAGTCAGTCGTCCGTGACCACATGGTTAAGCAGCAGCAATGCTAGGATCAGGGCCGCGTGCCCAGCTCACAGAGGGAGAGTTTTTCTGCTCACTGTACCTCCTATAAAATCATCATAAGCCCTAGAGAGAGACTTTCATGTGTTTCTTTCCATTGTAATTTATCAAACCACTTTACTTCACTTCTCATACTTTTTCCCTATCATCATCATGAAAATATTTGTCAGTTAATTACAATATGCCAAACAATGCAATGAAAGTATTACATTCGTTATCTTATTTAATCCTAATTGCAGCCTGGAGTAAGTATTGATATTATATCACTGTTAACATTTCACAGATATTCAGTCTATTTCTGATGCCAGAGCCTGTACCGCTAACCACTACATGATGCTACTGCCATAGAACGAACTAGTATTTTATTACTGTTTTTCCTGATGTATACAGTTTCTTCATGTTTTGTAGATATGTTTGAGTTCTGCTTTTAGATGAATCATTTAATGGATTTTAAATTTAAATTTCAGTAGTATTCTTAAATTTGGCCTGTATCCATTTGGCCTGTGTTGTTATTTATATATTTAAGTAGTTTGCTACATATTGTATTGGATTTATTTCATGCTAAAATAATTATTTTCTTTTTTGTTTACATTGTCCATGGGAAAATGCTAAGTCACAGATGAATACAGCAAGATTAAATATTGCAGACCTAGGGATCCAAATGAAGAACTAGATGTTTTAGATTTTATGAGATTATATCAGACTATCTAAAAAGCTACATTTATAAAAAGTACTGGAATACAGTAGGCATAAAACAAACTTGGTTTCTATTGCATTTATTACAAATTTTAGAACAAAACCATGTCCTTTGCAGCAACATGGATGCAGCTAGAGGTCATCCTAAGCAAATTAATGCAGGAACAGAAAACCAAATATTGCATGTCCTCACTTATAAGTGGGAGCTAAACATTGAATACACATAGACAAAAATGGGAACAACAGACACTGGGGACCACTAGACAGAAGGGAGAATGAGGCTATGGGCTGAAAAACTAACTGTTGGGTACTATGCTCATCACTTGGGTGACAGGACCATCCATATCCCAAACCTCAGCATCATGCAGTATACCCAGGTAACAACTCTACACCTGTACTCTTTCACTACCCCCTCAAAAAACACTGGGGAGTACAATTTGCTGGATCATATGGTAGAAGTATGTTTAATTTTGAAGGAAACTGCCAAATTATTCCAAGTGGCTATACTGCTTTGCATTTGCACCAAGCAGTGAATGAGAGCTCCTATTACTCCACATCCTGGCCAGCATTTGGTGGTGTCAGTATTTTGGATTATACTATTATGAAGTGGTATCTCATTTTGATTTCCAATTACCTGATGACATAAAATGTTGAACATTATGCTTGTTTGCTATCTGTATGTCTTCTCTGATAAGGTGCCTGTTTATACCATTGGCCCATTTTAAAAATCTTCCTTTTGTTGTTGTTTTGTTTTCTTATTAAGTTTTAAGAGTGCTTTGAATATTTGGAATAACAATCTTTTGTTAGGTATGTCTCTTGCAAATATTTTCTCCCAGTCTGTTGCTTGTCTTCTCATTCTCTTGACAGTGTGTTCTGCAGAGGATATTTATTTTTAAAAACAAAATCAGGGCACCTCTATAAGATAATATAGCCACTTCAAATGATACTACAGAATATTAGCATAGACATGTACTCACAGTGTATTTTGAATAAAGCATGCAAGTATTTTAAAAAAATTTATTTGGACAAAAGTATATGTAAGTTAATAAGCACATGTATGGCCAGCCACGGTGGCTCACTCCTGTAATCCCAGCACTTTGGGAGGTTGAGGTGGGCGGATCACCTGAGGTCGGGAGTTTGAGACCAGCTTGACCAACATGGAGAAACCCCGTCTCTACTAAAAATACAAAAATTAGCCGGGCGTGGTGGTGCATGCCTGTAATCCCAGCTACTCGGGAGGCTGAGGTAGGAGAATCCTTTGAACCCGGAAGGCAGAGGTAGGTTGCGGTGAGCCAAGGTAACACCACTGCACTCCAGCATGGGCAACAAGAGCAAAACTCTGTCTCAAACAACAACAACAACAACAGCAAAAAAAAAAAAAAAAAAAAAAAAAGCACATATATTATTTATCTTAGAAATAAAAAAAATGAATAATCTCTGATTTTTGGCTTCTCTGGACCATGAGGAATTCTATCAAACTCAGTATATTGTGCACTTATTTATGGTGTCTTCTCTCTGATCTTATACTGAGCTGAACAATTGAAAACAACTGAAACTGTAATTGGGATATGACACCATGAGGTGAATATAGGTCTTACAGGTGTGTATGTGTTAATTCTTTTTACTCCAAGATTCCGTTTAGTGACAATAATTGTTTTTTTACTTTTACAAAACCTCAGCTCTTTTATAACAAATGTGAACATGAATACTTAATACAAGGAGTAAGAAAGATTAAATATAAGCTATAATACAGTATTTTTTTCATGTTGCATATGGATTAATCCTTAATTGCAACTCATATAAAGCTGATTCTTTTCTCTGGACTTTGATTTGCTCAGTTTGAGTCCTATCTTGGAGTCACAGCCAACCTAGGCTAGTGAATATCTACTCTACTCAGCAAAGCAATGAAAAAGTAACAGCTTAAAAGTAACCCACCGCCACACCAGCCACTTCTACCTTTCTGTGGCTACTTGTAGTTTTCATTACTCACACTGTTTTCCAGGGAAGGATTTCTGGGTGTGAGAGAAGGAGCTGGGTGGGAGAATCCCAGTAGCATTCTCTTTTAGCTTTCTGCCCCTGCTTTTCAGCACTTTTCTTCTACTGTGTTTTAATTTTCATTCTCTTTTTATGAGTTTAAGTACACTTTGAGATATTTAAGGAGATCTGTATTTATTTTTCTGTGAACTTTTTTTTTCCTTCAAGGATGCTGGCCTTTTTCTATGAATTTCTAGTTCTTCATGTGTAAAGGAGGGAATTATTTTTCCAGTTCATAACTAAATCATCCATTATGCAATTCTTGACAGGGATTGAAAACATCAGGAAATGATGTTTTCCATTAGAAGAGAAAGCAGTACAGATATTTTCAAACTTTTAAAATGGAACCTGGTTGTCCCATCATAGGCAGTATTGAGTGCAGAAGACATTACTCAGACCTTTCTTAAGAAAGGGCTAATATAAAAAATACATTTATTACATGAATTGATTCAAGGCCTGAAAATGATGATTAGGATAAACATGACTTTTGTCACTCCACTTTGAAGAAAACTCTCCAGATTTCTCCTACAATATAAAATGGAAACCACAGCTTTAAATGGACTCTCTGAGGCTGGGAACAGTGGCTGACACTTGTAATCCCAGCATTTTGGGAGGCTGAGGCAGGAGGATCACTTCAGCCCAGGAGTTCATGACCAGTCCGGGCTACATAGCAAGACCCCCATCTCTATGTTAAAAAAAAAAAAACTTTAAAAAAAATTACTACAGCTTTATATATAAGATATATGGTGGCACCTGCTGTAGTCCCAGGTACATGAGAGGCTGAGGTGGGAGGATCACATGAGCCTGGGAAGTAGAGGCTGCAGTGAGCCATGATCACACCACTGCACTCAAGCCTGGCCAGCAGAGTGAGACCATTTCTCTAAAAATTGTTTAAAAATGAATTCCCTGTTTTTCTATTCATATTGCTTCTGTTTCTTGGTCCCCATATCCATAAATACAGCCCTCTTTAGCAGATTCTCCAAGCCTAGACACCTTTCATTTCTCCCTCTCCCTCACCACCCCTTTGCTCATATCCAAACAATTGCCAGTCCCTCCACCTAAACATTTCTCAAATCCATACAATTCTAAGAACTTTGAGAAACAATCTCCTCACCTTCTCCAATCACCCTCACATATCTCACCCAGAAAGGCATCTAACTATCTCCTAGCCTCCAGGAAGGGTAAGTGCTCCACCTGCTCCATAATCCACTCTCATCATTGTGTAGCAATGTTTCTAAAACACCTGCCAAAACATGTTACTTCCAGTGGCTTCCCAATGCCCCTTAGAATATAATTCAGGTTTCTTAACTTGGCCTACAATCTGCCTTCCTCTCCAGATTCAATTCTCACCATCTTCTTCCCAAATCTTTAAGCTCAGTGATTCTCAAAGCATGGTCCCTGGGCCAGCAGCATCAGCATCACCTGCAAACTTGTTAGAGATGCAAATTCTCAAGCCCCACCCCAAATCTAACAAATCTCAAACTCTGGGTCTAGGACTCAGCAATCTCTCTTTTAAGGAGCCCTCCAGGTGATTCTTAGGCCTGCTGAAGTTTGAGAACCACTGCTGTATCCATACTGGACTATTTCTGTTCCAATTCCCCTACTTGCGGATACCCCGACCTCTTTCTGTGAACCTCACCACCCTTTCTCCACTTAATTAACTCCTTCTCCTTG
This sequence comes from Homo sapiens, assembly GCF_000001405.40. Taxonomy (NCBI): domain Eukaryota; kingdom Metazoa; phylum Chordata; class Mammalia; order Primates; family Hominidae; genus Homo; species Homo sapiens. Next base: position 95,400,079 of record NC_000007.14, on the reverse strand, counting down.
TCATACAATCTGACAAGTTCATGTAATATGTTGAATCTACCTTGAGATGTGTTCCAAACTAGAGTCGCTGAGGGGCTACCAGATATTGATGAAAAATCCCCTGAAGACAGTTAAAGTGGAAGATAAATCTGGAAAGAACCTTCCTGGCAAAGTGTGGCCCCTCAAGGATCCCCCCATTCACTTGGTGCTTACATAGTGAAATGTGAGCCTGCTGGAACCCTGGTGCTCATCCTGCTAAATACACTCAGCGCAGATGATTCCTAGCACACCACAGGTTGCACCTGAAGTCCTGAGTGGGGGAACCTTCCCCATGGTGAGTTGCAGGAAGTCACCAAACAAGGTATCAGACTTTCACTACCTGACTTCATTATTAAGTGCATCTTCAGAATGAAATTGAGAATTTTATTTAAATTCAGATATACCTAAATATTTAATACTTAAATAAGTATAAATTTAAAATAATAAATTTTCTAAATAATAGAAGTCATTTCTTAAAATAATACAAATATCTGGTCCTCTAGCATTTCTCTCTTCTGAGCAGCACTAGACTCATTAATGCCATGTAGTCGTACCCAGGTTTTAAACAGTGGTTTCTATGGCTTAGGACAATGTTTCCTAATGTTCTAAAATCCATATCCTCTTTTTAAAAAACAGCTTTATTGCAATATAATCATAATCTCTTTTGATTTGTTGCTCTTTTTCTCTATCGCCACCTCTTTTTCTTGGCAAGATTCACTGATAGAAACAATCTTTTTAAATTAAAAATGTAGCGATTGTAAACATGATCAAGATATAAAGTTTGAAAATTTTAAACATTACAGAGGGTCGTACAGTAAAAGCAAAGTCTCCTTCCATACTCACTGACCTCCCCACTCTCCACGACCCCAATCTTCTGCTCTCAAAGTAACTACTCTTCAGTTTATGTCTAGATTGTTTATATATATATATATATATACACACACACACACACACACACACACATATGTGGATAATATGTAATTCCCCTAATTTTATACCTTAGAATTATACCACATGTATATTCTGCATCCCCCTTAATGGCATTTTGATTATCAATGGTGTGGGACTCCCTAGATCTATATATAGTATTGTGTTACTTACTGTTTAAACGTATAGCATTGAATTTGGTCTACATTAGCTCTTTGAAAGCCCCACTATACATATAAGGAAAGAAGGGTCCAGAGGTGGTGATAAGTGATTTCAAAAGATTAAAGGGCCAACTACAAATGGAATTGGATCTTGAATTTAGGCCTTTTGAATTTATCTGTCCTGCTCTTTCAAAGTCAACAAACCCCTTTTACAATACTGATGTACCTGTGGCCTCTTGACCAAGTCAATTTGGCCTATTGCCAAGAGCAGATTTAGATGGTGACACTCGATACAGTGGCCTCCAAAGTTTGGAATTCTTTAATGCTAATTTACCATGCTGGGGATTTGAATTACTGATTATGGTATTCGAATAAAAACTAACCACTTCTAGGGTTTAAAGTTAATGTATACACACACACACACACACACACACACACATGCACACACACACACAGAGACTCCTCTGCCTAAAGTGAAGAATTTTTAAACAAATTATAGCTAACACAGAACTTCAATCAATTGCCCAAGAATACGCTTCTTTCTTTACCCCCTTCTTCATGCTATGCTGCAAACACAGTGATAAGGAACATGAGCTCTAGAGTCACCTGATCTGAGTCCAGATGGAGGCACTGACACTTAGTTATGTAACCTTAAGTGAATTATTACTTTACCTCTCTAAGCCTCAAAGCCTCACTTTCCTTCTTTTTAGTCCCATCAAACTTGCAGCAAGCAATTCACTTTACTTCTTTGTAGGTAAGGTTAATAAGAAGTAATGTGACAAGGCATGCAAACGCTGAGTGAAATAATAATATGACTATTATTATTTCATTATTCATTCCATTTATTTTTTATTCTTCTAATTTTTCTTTCTCCCAAGTCCATATTTTACATCCATCCATCTAATCATATTTATTGAGTCATTATTAAGCACAAAGTTCTATGGATGGCACGGGAAAACCCAGTGATCAATGCGATGGAGTCCTTCCCACAGGAGCCTACAATCTCAAGCAAAGTTCAGAATTAATTAGTGGTTAATCTTTACTGACTTCATAAAACGTATCAAGCACAGTGCAGAGCACTTGACACTCATTATCACATTTAATTTTAAGCTACCTATGAGGTGGACGTTCTTTTACAGAAGAGGAATCTGTAGCTCAATAAAGCTGAGTACTTTATCTAGGCTGGATCCAAACCCAGGCAGCCTGACTCCCAAACCCTGCATGCATGTCTACATCACACCCCAGGCCCCTCAGCTCTGTGAGCCCTCCTGACTTCGATTCCTCCTCTGCTTGCACTCTTTTAACATTAGTCATCTTAACAAGAACTCTAATCTATACAATTCAAGACGTTACACTGTCCTTTTAATACAACCCTTCTTCCATAGATTTTCTAGAGGCAGCATGGTAGAGGCAGCTCAGTTAAGGGCCCAGATTTTGGAGTCTGCTGCTTGACAGCTGCCTGACCTACAGCAAGCCACATAAGCAATCTGTGCTGCAGGTCTCACCTGTAAAATTGGGGTAAGGCTACCCACACTCCAGAGATTGTGTTGATAATTAAATGCGTTAACATAGGTGTCAGCACAGGCAAAGCACACAGTCAGTACTGCATAAGCGGTGGGCTTCATTATTCATCCTGTAATTACGTATTCATACTAGAATCATGTATCCCATAGGTCAGGGACCACCTTTTCTTTCCTTAATACCCCCAGGATTGGCAAATCTTGCTCTCTCAACAAATAGTTTACTCGGTGGAACCTAACAGAACTAATATTTCTTTCTGTCCGTAAATAAAAATAGATCATGCTTGAATGTGCTACTTTGCCCGAACTCCCCAAGTCTTCCCGCATCTTCAGTTCCTCCCCCTCCAACCTGGTGTTCATCAGGAGAGGGGAAAGAGCATTTCTTGCCTGGCAGGAACTCAAGACCTAGAAGAAAGAGGGCCTACCCTGCCAAGGAAATGACCTTCCCCTTCCTCGCCTCTGCTCCTCTTCCCGTTTCCTGTCTTTTCCTTCTTTTCTCCTGGTGTTTCCTTCTCCCGTTAACTATGGGGACAGACGCAGCTATTCACAAGTCCGTCTGGGCAGCACACTCCGAGGTAAGGCACGAAGGTCAGGAGACAGGTTCCCGTGCCCCAAATCCTGGAGAAGATGAGTTAAAGCTCTTCGCTTCGATTGCCTTCGCCCTTCCCGCGTCTCGGGAGCAATTCAGTGTCGCCTCACGTCTGGCCTTGCAGAAGTCCGGAGTTCCGGCTCTGAACTGGAGCTCCCCGCCATTCCCGGGCCCTCCGGTTTCTCCCTCAGGCCATCTGAGGAATTGAGGTAGGATTTCGCGGGTGTTAGGAGCAAACTCCCACCACAACTCGGTCCCGGGCTCCCTCTCCGTTGAGCCTTGACCTCTGCCCAAAAAACAAGGAATCGTGGGCGTGAAGGCGGCCTTGAACCCGGGCGGCGGGGCTCGGCGGGACTCGTCAGCGCCCTGCTGCGGCACCCGGGCCGCTCAGGTAAGTAGGAGGCGTGTGCGGGCGGGGCCGAGCGGGCCCCAATCCGTACGCGAGGCAGGAACCGCCCGCCGCGCCCCCGAGAGCTCTCGGCGCCGCGCAGTCGCCGCTGGGCACCCCGAGACCATGGGGAAGCTCGTGGCGCTGGTCCTGCTGGGGGTCGGCCTGTCCTTAGTCGGGGAGATGTTCCTGGCGTTTAGGTGAGTGGCATCTTGACAGGGCGTCTTCGACTCTCTTTCTCTCCTCTTCCAAGTGAGGTCAGGGGCTGCCTGGCGCCCCCTTCCTAGCGGGTAGGAAAGAGCAGCTTTGGAACCTCACTCCTCCATCTCACCCAGCAAACCGCCCCTTGAGACTCGCTTATGGGGAAAGTGAGCTACTTGCGTTTCCAAAGACTGCCGAGCCGAATTAGTCCCATTTATTTTTTGAAGGTTATGATCCCCCACTTTGCTTTCTGAAGGTCATGACCCCCTTTTACTTTCTGAACGTGATGACCCCTTTCCCAGCTCGCCCTCAACATTCTGCTTGGGAAAAAAGGACGTCCATTGGAAACGCCGGACTTGGGAGAGAGGATCAGGCTACCAGTTGGATGTTTACGGCTGACTGAGACATTGCCCAGGTCTGGCTAACCATGCAGAAGTACTGGGTTATGGAACCTATCCTAGATTTAAAGAGCTGGCCAGACAGCAGGGCAAACCAGCTGAAACCTGCAGGCGGTAACTGGCATTTTGTAGGCATTTGACCTTTTGAAGTGGAAGATACAATGGTGATAGCCAGCCTAGAAATGTCTCAGGAAAAGTCAATACTGGGCTAGAAAGAAGAACCTTTAAGTGATAATACACATTCATGAGTGGATCGAAAGCCTCTGCTTGCTTTCAGTTGTCTTTGAGTGTTTATGTATTTCTCTTAGTTGAAGCTGGTCTTCTTAGAGGATCACGTCTAGAATCTGTTGAGGTGCCTGGTGCCTATTAGTAATACTTCCAGTTTGAGAGTTTTATTGTTACATTTGCTCCCAGTGCAACCACATGGAGAATCATAAAATAATAGTAATAATAATAAAGTAGATCTAAGGGTATTTTTTTAAATAAATGACTGTAAGATAAGTATTGAGTCTTTCTGAATATACTTTAATAAAAATTTTAAATTATCCCTGATATTAGAAGAATGTGGAAACATTCCTTTTCACTCTGGAAACAAGAAAATTGTGTTGAAAAATAAATCGGCCAATTGTTTAAATTGTGGTTGGTTTAATGAATTTACATACTTGCGGAGTAAGTCAGCATAAAATTTAAAAATTAAAGCAAAAGTGATAGAGTTTGACTATTAGGAGACCCTGTTGAATTTTGGGAAAGCAGTTTGGAAGGAAAAGTTCAAAGGGCAAGACTGTAGGGGATTAAGTGCAGATTTATAACAGACGATACTTTAGAAAATTAGGGCTATTTCGTGCATTTAAATTAATAATATTGTTCAATTACTCATACTATTAAATAGTGTCTTTTATTTGGGCAGCAGAATTTTCCATGTTGAATCATATTATACAGTTTTTCAGCAATAACTGGGTAAGGTTAGCTGATATAGGTAAAATACCCACATAATGTCTACATTATGTAAATAAACATGAAAGGAAGTACCTACTTACTTGTTATGTCATTCATAAATTATGATAAAGATAGTTAACCAACACGAAGATGATTGAAGTCCACATTTAAACATACATTTTGAATGCTGTGCCTTGACTTCCAGGGTTGGGTTTTATCTTCTACAGAGAAAGGGTGAATGCCTCTCGAGAAGTGGAGCCAGTAGAACCTGAAAACTGCCACCTTATTGAGGAACTTGGTATGTATGTGACAGTACCAAGAGGAGCCAGCACAGCTTCTTGGTCGTCATCCACCTGACTGAGCCCTACCAGCTCATTTAATTACCTGTCACTACTTAAGCCCTCCCAGTGGGACATCTGCCCCGTCCACTCTGCCCCATGCAAGGTCTTCAGGGGTGTACTAAATGACATTCTTTGTGGGTTTTTCTCAGCACATTTCCTTACTGACATCTCTCCACATTACCTAAAGAATGTCATTGACCACTCCCTGGTTTTCCCCTCACTGAATGCTTCTCCTTTCCCATCTGTGGTATTTCACTCTCCTCCTTGTCCTCTGTTACCTTTCCTTTTTTTGCTTCTTTCTTCTTTCCTTCCTCCCTCCCTTTCCTTATTGTCATTCCTGGCTTCAAGTGTTATTTTTTTTCAAATAATATGACTCAGCCCCTCCCCTCAAGAACCTCACAGCAGGCTGGGCGCAGTGGCTCACACCTGTAATCCCAGCACTTGGGAGGCCGAGGGGGGCGGATCATGAGGTCAGGAGATCGAGACCATCCTGGCCAACATGGTGAAACCCCATCTCTACTAAAAATATAACAATTAGCCGGGCATGTTGGCGGCGTGTGCCTGTAATCCCAGCTACTCGGAAGGCTGAGGCAGGAGAATCACTTGAACCAGGGAGTCATCGGAGGTTGCAGTGAGCTGAGATCGCGCCACTGTACTCCAGCCTGGCGACAGAGCGAGACTTTGTCTTAAAAAAAATAATAAACGAAGGAACCTCACAGCCTACCTACCTTCTTTTAAAAAAATTCATAAAAAATCCATGGCCCAGTCCCTAACCTTTCAAACTGCAGCCCTTCTTTTTTAGTCAGTTAAAGGGCAGCTCCAGCTCAAACTCTCCCTAAGCTGAAATCTATTTTACATTTCTGTCGTTTTCTCCCTCATCCTCCCACCCACAACCAGCTCTGCTTCTAGACTTTTCCTATGTATGGTACCCCCATTCTCAAAAGATTCAGTTCAAAATCCAGGAACCATTGTTCCCCGCTTGTCCCTCATGCTTCTACGTGAGACATGGGCTAATCTCACCTACTAGTTAATGCCACACCTGCTTATTTGGGCTCCACAGCTCCAATTCTTCCTGACATTGCTAACAGAAAAATAAAATAAAATCAGGCTAGATTGTGTTCCCTGTTCTGGGAATATGTTCTTTCACCTTCTCACCTTTGCTTATGAAATTCCCTCCAAACTTACTGATTCCTCTGTCTCTGCTTACTAAAATCAGCTGCAAAATTCATCTCCTTCCTCTGAACTCTCACAGCACTCTGAAGCTCCGATTCACTTATGACACCTGCCACATGCCTTGTATTATAGCTAGCAGTGTTCTCTCTTTCACTATCAGATTGTAAACTCCCTAGGGCCAAGAACTGTGACTTATTTATTAGAATGTGATGAGATAGCTTATTTTGGGATATGATTTTCTATTTTATTGCTATATTTAAAAATACAGAAAAAGTACCCTTTTGATTTGAGTTTTCTGCCTTTTCTTGCCTCTCAATTTCTAAAAAATAAAGTAATCTGAACCTTGCACTCCCTAGTCTTAGAGGTGGTTTGTGCTAGCAGCTGGAAAGCAGAAGAAACCAAAGAAAACGCCTTTCCTGAATTGTTTTTAAAAACCTGAGCCCCTTCAAGGGATTCTGTTGGAGAAGGGATATGAATATGTGGATATCTTTGAATAATGGGGATCCTTACCCCACTGGCTGACAGCATTCTGGGAGAGGAGCAGGACCTCAGAAGGAATGGTTGCAAGGTATCTTTAGGGACGCTGGACCCTGTGTTCCAGCTAAGGTAAAGACCTTGTGTCAATGCATTACATGGAAGTAGCAGAATTGTCTAAATTAAAGGGACCAGTAACTTTGGCAATGAATAATTCGATGATACGTAGTGTAGAATGAATGCCAGATGGCCTTTCCAAAACATTCTGCTTAGGTTTAGAACCCACCACTTAAAATGATTTCATAACCCTAACAGACAAACCCAGTAATGACTCAGATTGGATTTTCCATCAACTTAGTGGAATAGGATATCAGAGTGATTTAATTTGATTTTAAAAATAAGGAAATGTGACATTTACTCATTTGTTTACTGTTTTGTGGTGTAGTAGTATTCATATTCACTATACAAATAACTGTCAAAATATATAAGCCTGCAAATAATCAAGAGGTATAATTAGACTAGATGATTGGTAGGGTCTAGTCTGACTCGAATTGTATCACTCAACTAGATTTGAGAAGGTAAAATTACAGTTAATATTGTGAGTCTTAGGTCAATGTTCTGATTTGCCAAATATTTTGAAGAAAATGGCTTAAATAGTTGGAAGCAGGCTGGGAGCAGAAGAAAGAAATGCCATGTTACTTCTCATGTCTATTGGCATATGTTTGGTGAACTAAACAAGTTAGAATGATGATGGGTCATGTGTCAGTAGGACAATACTGATATATATGTTTTGAAAAAGCTGCTTTATCAAAGGCCTGGTGACTATGAGCAGCCTGTTGAGTCCTTTACAAACATCTACATCATCCTCATAACCAATTTGTAAAGTGGATGCTGCTATCTATGCTTTGCAGATTAGGAAATTGACATACAGAAGAATTAAGTTGCTTGCCCAATGGTCCGGAACTAGGGGGTGATGGGCTTAGCTTATGAGCCAAGATCGTTTCCTTCTATGCCTTTTTACTCTCTGTTGTGTAACACTAACTTTCTGATCTACTGACAACACATTTTTTATTTTGGAAGCTTCAGGAAAGTATTGCAACAGTGGAAAACAGAAAATCTGAGATGCAAACAGCTGAAATATTACTAGATACAGGTTAATCAAAACAAGGCAGTCTAGATATTTAAATTAAGATAATGGATAAGATAATACTCACAAATCACAACTGGTTGAGGAGTAGAGGCTTTACAAAGCCCTGAAAAGCTGCTGAAGGATTTTAGGTAGGGTATAGTAGGCTGTAACAGAGCTGGAGAAAAATTCTTATTTGTGTTTTCAAGACCCAGACTTTTGAGGTTTATTTTATTGGTAGAAGAAACTCTTATTTTGTTTTCCTTCTCCAGCATTTTTTTCTGGGAAGAAAAGTTGAAAGGTGAAATATATCTTTCTCTGGAAATCATATCTCATAGATCTTTTTGTATTACGTTCATCTTTTTATCCAAGGCTTTTGAGGGTCAAGGATTGTTTTAACCAGGACGTTATCTGGCTGCCCTTGACATCTAATCAAAGCTGCACTTGAAATATGAATACTTCAGTAGGACTTTCACTAGGCAGGATTATCGAGTAGGTGGCCTCTGTATTTAATACCTACGTATCTTCTCTTCCACTCCTTTCCATTCTATAGCTTCCCATGTCTCCAATATATGCTTCTACTCCATAATAGGTTCCATGTGTTTTCTTAGCTGGCTATCAGAAACTTCTCTCCAAGATGTGAAGTGACGATAATAAAATTAACTGATAGTAATGCTTTGATGTGATCCTTTATCAGAGTGCCTGTAGGGGATGACTGGAGAAATGAAGAAAAGAGTAAAGAAATGAAGTTATGCCAAGTAGCAGTAGGGTTGACAGGCTAAGAAGCAGTAGGCACCTATTCATAAGACTGATTTTAGACTTAGCAGTGGGATTTTAATGATAGTTGTGCATAGGCTAATAAGTGTGTGGGAAAGTCTCAGAGGAAGGTATCCTGGGGGCTTTTGCTCCCACAGGTGCCATTGTTGCTGAGATGCATGGGGCCTGTCGTGCAGGCGTAGTGTAGGTGACAGCTCCTTTTTCAACTTGTTCTCAGTCAAAACTTACTTATTATATGTCTCTTTCCATAGAAAAAAATGCTGAAAACTAGCTCTTACTGAGAAAAAAGATCTAACTAAACTTTCATATTAATATTCAGTAATCTTTCATATTCATTTATACTCATTAGTTTATTACTCAATAATTTCCCAATATGATTGTATAATGTAGCGTTTTAGGCTTTACGTTGGAAGAGAAGGAATGCTTGGCAGAGAGGCCTGTAATAAAAGACCTTCACGATTATGACTTTCCAGATTTTATCACTGAGTCTATAGAGCAGCCTTCTATGGGGGATAAAGCTGAATCTCTCAGGATATGCCCTGGAAATTGTTACTTAAAGAGTAAATCTAGGATATGAGTTTATTTTCTAGGTATTTGCCTTTTTCTCCTGAAAATGGGGTTCTAAAAAAGGATTTAGTATTTGAGGAGTCTGACTCAAGCTTTACTATAGAGTAGCATGCCTGTGAGATTCTCCAAAGTTAATATGGTTTCCCAAGTAAATGGTTGAACAAGTCAACAATTTCCAAAAGAAGTTTCCAAAAGATATTTGTAGTTTGGACTGTGAGACGTATTTTTTAAGCCTTCATATATGCATTTTTCTGATTCTACCCTTCTTTTGCAGAAAGTGGCTCTGAAGATATTGATATACTTCCTAGTGGGCTGGCTTTTATCTCCAGTGTGAGTATTTTCCATGCTGCTCTCATGCTCACATCAATAGCTGTATAGACAGTGCATTAATGTTGTCCTCTGGAGCTGCCAGATGGATCCCTATGCTCTCATCCCACCTCCGGGTAAACCAGTCAACTAAAAAAGCCAAAACAGAATTTTGGAGGGCTAATTAGAACACCACAGGAATGCCCAGCTTTGACTGCCTCATGGTGGGCAACTCCCTGGGGGTAGTGGCATACTCAGTAGGGTCTTGATAAATGTGTATTGATTTCCACTCGATTCCTAGGCTAGTCTCCAGTTCTGTCCTATTGCTATCCATTCTCATCATTGCCCTATTTGACTGGGCTTCCGCTTCTGGTAGTCATCTTCCCACTAACTGGTATTCCTCTCACCATGTCTGCCTTTATTTGGAGCTCTGCAAATGTTTGTGGATCGAATATTAACCACGTTACTCGATTTAAAACTCTAAACACGTTCCATCTTGGGTTCCCTGCCATTCTTAACAAGTCTTTCAAAGAGAAATAGAGAACAGACTGCATTTTAATTCCCAGTACTGTCTTCACAGGAATAATCAAGAAGTTACACCAGGGACAGCATTTCGGTAAACAAACAAAAAAATGTGTATTTATGAGATGTTGAAATTTTTCATATATTAATATTTGTTAAATCAATTGCATTTTGAAATGGGGATATGATTTTGAAAAAGTATATTTACCACATTTTCAATGTGAATTCTGATTGCTGGAATTGGATGTCTAATATTCCATTTGGGGCAATAAAATACCACCAAAGAACATGGATTTTGAATTTAAATATTTTTGGCCAAAAAAGGGGTACTTATAATAACCGTGGCCTGAATTTATAAATTCATAAGTACACACAGTAGAATAGAGTGAGGCTCTCATTTGGACCTTAAACTGCTGCTGGTGTCACTGCTGGAACTGGTGCTAGTCTGTGTGGGCAATATTTTATTTCTTTATTTTTCCATCAAAATCAAGGATAAAACAAAATGGTCTAGAAAAGTTTTTTCCTTGTTGACCTAAATTTTCTATTGTCAGTTTAGATTTTTTTTTATTATACTTTTAAGTTCTAGGGTACATGTGCACAACGTGCAGGTTTGTTACATAGGTATACATGTGCCATGCTGGTTTCCTATACCTATTAACTTGTCATTTACATTAGGTATTTCTCCTAATGCTATCCCTCCCCCAGCCCCCCACACCCTGACAGGCCCCAGTGTGTGCTGTTCCCTGCCCTGTGTTTATGTGTTCTCATTGTTCAACTCCCACTTATGAGTGAAAACATGCAGTGTCTGGTTTTCTGTCCTTGTGATAGTTTGCTGAGAATTATAGTTTTCAGTTTCATCCATGTCCCTGCAAAGGACATGAACTCATCCTCTTTTATGGCTGCATAGTATTCCATGGTGTATATGTGCCACATTTTCTTAATCCAGTCTATCACTGATGGACATTTGGGTTGGTTCCAAGTCATTACTATTGTGAACAGTGCTGCAATAAACATACATGTGCATGTGTCTTTATAGTAGCATGATTTATAATCCTTTGGGTATATACCCAGTAATGGGATTGCTGGATCAAGTGGTATTTCTAGTGCTAGACCCTTGAGGAACTGCCACACGGTCTTCCACAATGGTTGAACTAATTTACACTCCCACCAACAGTGTAAAAGTGTTCCTATTTCTCCACATCTTCTCCACCATCTGTTGTTTCCTGACTTTTTAATGATTGCCATTCTAACTGGCATGAGATGGTATCTCATTGTGGTTTTCATTTACATTTCTCTGATGACCAGTGATGATGAGCATTTATTCATGTCTGTTGACTGCATAAATGTCTTCTTTTGAGAAGTGTCTCTTCATATTCTTTGCCCACTTTTTGACGGGGTTCTTTGTTTTTTTCTTGTAAATTTGTTTAAGTTCCTTGTAGATTCTGGATGTTAGCCCTTTGTCAGATGGGTAGATTGCAAAAATTTTCTCCCATTCCATAGGCTACCTCTTCACTCTGATGATAGTTTCTTTTGCTGTGCAGAAGCTCTTTAGTTTAATTAGATCCCATTTGTGAAGTCTTTGCCCATGCCTATGTCCTGAGTGTTATTGCCTAGGTTTTCTTCTAGGGTTTTTATGGTTTTAGGTCTTACATTTAAGTCTTTAATCCATCTTGAATTAACTTTTGTATAAGGTGTGAGGAAGGGATCCAGTTTTGGCTTTCTACGTATGGCTAGCCAGTTTTCCCAGCACCATTTATTACATAGGGAATCATTTTCCCATTGCTTGTTTTTGTCAGGTTTGTCAAAGATCAGATGGTTGTAGATGTGTGGTGTTATTTCTGAGGCTTCTGTTCTGTTCCATAGGTCTATATATCTGTTTTGGTACCAGTACCATGCTGTTTTGGTTACTGTAGCCTTGTAGTATAGTTTGAAGTCAGGTAGCAATGATGCCTCCAGCTTTGTTCTTTTTCCTGAGAATTGTCTTGGCTATGCGGGCCCTTATTTGATTCCCTATGAACTTTAAAGTAGTTTTTTCCAATTCTGTGAAGAAAATCATTGGTAGCTTGATGGGGATGACACTGAATCTATAAATTACCGTGGGCAGTATGGCCATTTTCATGTTATTGATTCTTCCTATCCATGAGCATGGAATGTTCTTCCATTTGTTTGTGTCATCTTTTATTTTGTTGAGCAGTGGTTTGTAGTTCTTCTTGAAGAGGTCGTTCACATCCCTTGTAAGTTGGATTCCCAGGTATTTTATTCTCTTTATAGTAATTGTGAATGGGAGTTCACTCATGATTGGCTCTCTGTCTGTTATTGGTGTATAGGAATGCTTGTGATTTTTGCACATTGATTTTGTATCCTGAAACTTTGCTGAAGTTGCTTATCAGCTGAAGGAGATTTGAGGCTCAGATGATGGGATTTTCTAAATATACAATCATGTCATCTGCAGACAGAGACAATTTGCCATCCTCTTTTCCTAACTGAATACCCTTTATTTCTTTCTCTTGTCCAATTGCCCTGGCCAGAATTTCCAATACTATGTTGAATAGGAGTGGTGAGAGAGGGCATCCTTGTCTTGTGCAGGTTTTCAAATGGAATGCTTCCAGTTTTTGCCTATTCAGTATGATATTGGCTGTGGATTTGTCATAAATAGCTCTTATTATTTTGAGATACGTTCTATCAATACCTAGTTTATTGAGAGTTTTTAGCATGAAGGGCTGTTGAATTTTGTCGAAGGCCTTTTCTGCATCTATTGAGATAATCATGTGGTTTTTGTCATTGGTTCTGTTTATGTGATGGATTACATTTATTGATTTGTGTATGTTGAACCAGCCTTGCATCTCTGGGATGAAGCTGACTTGATCATGGTGGATAAGCTTTTTGATGTGTTGCTGGATTCGGTTTGCCAGTATTTTTTTGAGGGAGGATTTTCGCATCAATGTTCATCAGGGTTATTGGCCTAAAATTATCTATTTTTGTTGTGTCTCTGCCAGGCTTTGGTATCAGGAAGATGCTAGCCTCATAAAATGAGTTATGGAGGATTCCTTCTTTTCTATTGATTGGAATAGTTTCAGAAGGAATCGTCCCAGCTCCTCTTTGTACCTCTGGTAGAATTTGTCTGTGAATCCATCTGGTCCTGGACTTTCATTGGTTGGTAGGCTATTAATTATTGCCTCAATTTCAGAGCCTGTTATTGGTCTATTCAGAGATTCAACTTTTTCCTGGTTTAATCTTGGGAGGATGTATGTGTCGAGGAATTTATCCATTTCTTCTAGATTTTCTAGTTTATTTGTGTAGAGGTGTTTTTAGTATTCTCTGATGGTAGTTTGTATTTCTGTGGGATCAGTGGTGATATCCCCTTTATCATTTTTTATTGCACCTATTTGATTCGTCTCTCATTTCTTCTTTATTAATCTTGCTAGTGGTCTATCTATTTTGTTGATTTTTTCAAAAGAGCAGCTCCTGCATTCATTGATTTTTTGAAGGGTTTTTCATGTATCTATCTCCTTCAGTTCTGCTCTGATCTTAGTTTTTTATTGCCTTCTGGTAGCTTTTGAATTTGTTTGCTCTTGCTTCTGTAGTTCTTTTAATCGTGAATAACCAGATAGCATCATGGTGATGGATCAAATTCACACATAAGAATGCTAACCTTAAATGTAAATGGGCTAGGTGTCGATTTTAGATCTTTCCTGCTTCCTCTTGTGGGCATTTAGTGCTATAAATTCCCCTCTACACACTGCTTTAAATGTGTTCCAGAGATTCTGGTACATTGTGTCTTTGATGTCATTGATGTCAAAGAAAATCTTTATTTCTGCCTTCATTTCATTATTTACCCAGTGTCATTCAGGAACAGGTTGTTCAGTTTCCATGTAGTTGTGTAGTTTTGAGTGAGTTTCTTAATCTGGTGTTCTAATTTGATTGCACTGTGGTCTGAGAGACAGTTTGTGATTTCTGTTCTTTTGCATTTGCTAAGGAATGTTTTACTTCCAATTATGTGGTCAATTTTAGAATAAGTGCGATGTGGTGCTGAGAAGAACATATATTGTGTTGTTTTGGGGTGAAGAGTTCTGTGTATGTCTATGAGGTCTGCTTGGTCCAGAGCTGAGTTCAAGTCCTGGATATCCTTATTAACCTTCTGTCTCGTTCATCTGTCTAATATTGACAGTGGGGTGTTAAAGTCTCCCAGTAGTATTGTGTGGGAGTCTAAGTCTCTTGGCAGGTCTCTAAGGACTTGCTTTATGAATCTGGGTGCTCCTGTATTGGATGCATGTATATATACTTTTTAAAATATATATTTTTTATTATACTTTAAGTTCTAGGGTACATGTGCACAATGTGCAGGTTTGTTACATATGTATACATGTGCCATGTTGGTGTGCTGCACCAATTAACTCATCATTTACATTAGGTATATCTTCTAATGCTATCCCTCCCTCTTCCCCCTACCCCACAACAGGCCCCAGTGTGTGATGTTCCCCTTCCCGTGTCCAAGTGTTCTCATCGTTCAATTCCCACCTATGAGTGAGAACATGCAGTGTTTGGTTTTTTGTCCTTGCGATAGTTTGCTCAGAATGGTGGTTTCCAGTTTCATCCATGTTCCTACAAAGGACATGAACTCATCATTTTTTATGTCTGCATAGTATTCCATGGTGTATATGTGCCACATTTTCTTAATCCAGTCTATCATTGTTGGACATTTGGGTTGGTTCCAAGTCTTTGCTATTGTGAGTAGTGCCGCAATAAACATACGTGTGCATGTGTCTTTATAGCAGCAGGATTTATATTCCTTTGGGTATATACCCAGTAATGGGATGGCTGGGTCAAATGGTATTTCTAGTTCTAGTTCTAGATCCCTGAGGAATCGCCACACTGTCTTCCACAAGGTTGAACTAGTTTACAGTCCCACCAGCAGTGTAAAAGTGTTCCTATTTCTCCATATCCTCTCTAGCCCTGTTGTTTCCTGACTTTTAATGATCGTCATTCTAACTGGTGTGAGATGGTATCCCACTGTGGTTTTGATTTGCATTTCTCTGATGGCCAGTGATGATGAGCATTTTTTCATGGGTCTGTTGGCTGCATAAATGTCTTCTTTTGAGAAGTGTCTGTTCATATCCGTTGCCCACTTTTTGGTGGGGTGTTTTTTTCTTGTAAATTTGTTTGAGTTATTTGTAGATTCTGGATATTAGCCCTTTGTCAGATGAGTAGACTGAAAAAATTTTCTTGCATTCTGTAGGTTGCCTGTTCATTCTGATGGTAGTTTCTTTTGCTATGCAGAAGCTCTTTAGTTTAATGAGATCCCATTTGTGAATTTTGGCTTTTGTTGCCATTGCTTTTGGTGTTTTAGTCATGAAGTCTTTGCCCATGCCTATGTCCTGAGTGTTATTGCCTAGGTTTTCTTCTAGGGTTTTTATGGTTTTAGGTCTTACATTTAAGTCTTTAATCCATCTTGAATTAATTTTTGTATAAGGTGTGAGGAAGGGATCCAGTTTTGGCTTTCTACATATGGCTAGCCAGTTTTCCCAGCACCATTTATTAAATAGGGAATCCTTTCCCCATTTCTTGTTTTTATCAGGTTTGTCAAAGATCAGATAGTTGTAGATGTGTGGTATTATCTCTGAGGCCTCTGTTCTGTTCCATAGGTCTATATATCTGTTTTGGTACCAGTACCATGCTGTTTTGGTTACTGTAGCCTTGTAGTATAGTTTGAAGTCAGGTAGCGTGATGCCTCCAGCTTTGTTCTCTTAGCTTAGGGTTGACTTGGCAATGCGGGCTCATTTTTGGTTCCACATGAACTTTAAAGTAGTTTTTTCCAATTCTGTGAAGAAAGTCATTGATAGCTTGATGGGGATGGCATTGAATCTATAAATTACCTTGGGCAGTATGGCCATTTTCACGATATTGATTCTTCCTATTCATGAGCATGGAATGTTCTTCCATTTGTTTGTGTTCTCTTTTATTTTGTTGAGCAGTGGTTTGTAGTTCTCCTTGAAGAGGTCCTTCACATCCCTTGTAAGTTGGATTCCTGGGTATTTTATTCTCTTTGAAGCAATTGTGAATGGGAGTTCACTCATGATTTGGCTCTCTGTTTGTCTGTTATTGGTGTATAAGAATGCTTGTGATTTTTGCACATTGATTTTGTATCCTGAGACTTTGCTGAATTTGCTTATGAGTTTAAGGAGATTTTGGGCTGAGACAATGGGGTTTTCTAGATATACAATCATGTCATCTGCAAACAGGGACAATTTGACTTCCTCTTTTCCTAATTGAATATCCTTTATTTCTTTCTCCTGCCTGATTGCCTTGGCGAGAACTTCCAACACTATGTAGAATAGGAGTGGTGAGAGAGGGCATCCCTGTCTTGTGCTGGTTTTCAAAGGGAATGCTTCCAGTTTTTGCCCATTCAGTATGATATTGGCTGTGGGTTTGTCATAGATAGCTCTTATTATTTTGAGATATGTCCCATCAATACCTAATTTATTGAGAGTTTTTAGCATGAAGGGCTGTTGAATTTTGTCGAAGGCCTTTTCTGCATCTAGTGAGATAATCATGTGGTTTTTATCTTCAGTTCTGTTTATATGCCGAATTACATTTATTGATTTGTGTATGTTGGACCAGCCTTGCATCCCAGGGATGAAGCCCACTTGATCTTGGTGCATAAGCTTTTTGATGTGCTGCTGGATTTGGTTTGCTAGTATTTTATTGAGGATTTTCACATCAATGTTCATCAGGAATATTGGCCTAAAATTCTCTTTTTTTGTTGTGTCTCTGCCAGGCCTTGGTATCAGGATGATGCTGGCCTCATAAAATGAGTTAGGGAGGATTCCCTCTTTTTCTATTGATTGGGATAGTTTAGGAAGAATGGTACCAGCTCCTCCTTGTACCTCTGGTAGAATTCGGCTGTGAATCCATCTGATCCTGGACTTTTTTTGGTTGGTAAGCTATTAATTATTGTCTCAATTTCAGAGCCTGTTATTGGTCTATTCAGAGATTCAAGTTCTTCCTGGTTTAGTCTTGGGAGGGTGTATGTGTTGAGGAATTTATCCATTTCTTCTAGATTTTCTAGTTTATTTGCATAGATGTGTTTATAGTATCCTGTGATGGTAGTTTGTATTTCTGTGGGATCAGTGGTGATATCCCCTTTATCATTTTTTATTGCATCTATTTGATTCTTCTCTCTTTTCTTCTTTATTAGTCTTGCTAGTGGTCTATCAATTTTGTTGATCTTTTCAAAATACCAGCTCCTGGATTCATTGATTTTTTGAAGGGTTTTTTGTGTCTCTATCTCCTTCAGTTCTGCTCTGATCTTAGTTATTTCTTGTCTTCTGCTAGCTTTTGAATGTGTTTGCTCTGGATTCTGTAGTTCTTTTAATTGTGATGTTAGGTTGTCGATTTTAGATCTTTCCTGCTTTCTCTTGTGGGCATTTAGTGCTATAAATTTCCCTCTACACACTGCTTTAAATGTGTCCCAGGGATTCTGATATGTTGTATCTTTGTTCTCGTCGGTTTCAAAGAACATCTTTATTTCTGCCTTCATTTCATTATGTACCCAGTAGTCATTCAGGAGCAGGTTGTTCAGTTTCCATGTAGCTCAGTGGTTTTGAGTGAGTTTCTTAATCCTGAGTGCTAGTTTGATTGCACTGTGGTCTGAGAGACAGTTTGTTATAATTTCTGTTCTTTTACATTTGCTGAGTAGTCCTTTACTTCCAACTATGTGGTCAATTTTGAAATAAGTGCAATGTGGTGCTGAGAAGAATGTATAGTGTGTTAATTTGGGTGGAGAGTTCTGTAGATGTCTATTAGGTCTGCTTGGTGCAGAGCTGAATTCAATTCCTGGATATCCTTTTTAACTTTCTGTCTCGTTGATCTGTCTAATATTGACAGTGGGGTATTAAAGTCTCCCATTATTGTTGTGTGGGAGTCTAAGTCTCTTTGTAGGTCTCTAAGGACTTGCTTTATGAATCTGGGTGCTCCTGTATTGGGTGCATATATATTTAGGATAGTTAGCTCTTCTCGTTGAATTGATCCCTCTACCATTGTTTAATGGCCTTCTTTGTCTGTTTTGATCTTTGTTGGTTTAAAGTCTATTTTATCAGAGACTAGGATTGCAACCCCTGCCTTTTTTTGTTTTCCATTTCTTTAGTAGATCTTCCTCTGTCCCTTTATTTTGAGCCTATGTGTGTCTCTGCACATGAGATGGGTTTCTTGAATACAGCATACTGATGGGTCTTGACTCTTTATCCAATTTGCCAGTCTGTGTCTTTTAATTGGAGCATTTAGCCCATTTACATTTAAGGTTAATATCGTTATGTGTGAATTTGATCCTGTCATTATGATGTTAGCTGGTTATTTTGCTCATTAGTTGATGCAGTTTCTTCCTAGCCTCGATGGTCTTTACAATTTGGCATGTTTTTGCAGTGGCTGGTACTGGTTGTTCCTTTCCATGTTTAGTGCTTCCTTCAGGAGCTCTTGTAGGGCAGGCCTGGTGGTGACCAAATTTCTCTGCATTTGCTTGTCTGTAAAGGATTTTATTTCTCCTTCACTTGTGAAGCTTAGTTTGGCTGGATATGAAATTCTGGGTTGAAAATTCTTTTCTTTAATATCGTTGAATATTGGCCCCCACCCTCTTCTGGCTTGTAGAGTTTCTGCCAAGAGATCAGCTGTTAGTCTGATGGGCTTCCCTTTGTCGGTAACTGGACCTTTCTCTCTGGCTGCCCTTAACATTTTTTCCTTCATTTCAACCTTGGTGAATCTGACAATTATGTGTCTTGGAGTTGCTGTTCTCGAGGAATATCTTTGTGGCATTCTCTGTATTTCCTGAATTTGAATGTTGGCCTACCTTGCTAGGTTGGGGAAGTTCTCCTGGATAATATCCTGCAGAGTGTTTTCCAACTTGGTTCCATTCTCCCCGTCACTTTCAGGTACACCAATCAGACGCAGATTTGGTCTTTTCACATAGTCCCATATTTCTTGGAGGCTTTGTTCATTTCTTTTTATTCTTTTTGCTCTAAACTTCTCTTGTTGTTTCATTTTATTCATTTGATCTTCAATCATTGTTACCCTTTCTTCCACTTGATCGAATTGGCTACTGAAGCTTGTGCATTCATCACGTAGTTCTCATGCCATGGTTTTCAGCTCCATCAGGTCCTTTAAGGACTTCTCTGCATTGGTTACTCTAGTTAGCCATTCATCTAATCTTTTTTCAAGGTTTTTAACTTCTTTGTCATGAGTTTGAACTTCCTCCTTTAGCTCAGAGAAGTTTGGTTGTCTGAAACCTTCTTCTCTCAACTCATCAAAGTCCTTTTCCATCCAGCTTTGTTCCATTGCTGGTGAGGAGCTGCATTCGTTTGGAGGAGGAGAGGTGCTCTGATTTTTAGAATTTTCAATTTTTCTGTTCTGTTTTTTCCCCATCTTTGTGGTTTTATCTACCTTTGGTCTTTGATGATGCTGACGTACAGATGGGGTTTTGGTGTGGATGTCCTTTCTGTTTGTTAGTTTTCCTTCTAAGAGTGAGGACCGTCAGCTGCAGGTCTGTTGGAGTTTGCTGGAGGTCCACTCCGACCCTGTTTGCCTGGGTATCAGCAGCGGAGGCTGCAGAACAGCGAATATTGCTGAACAGCAAATGTTACTGTTTGATTGTTCCTCTGGAGGTTTCGTCTCAGAGGGGTACCTGGCCATGTGAGGTGTCAGTCTGCCCGTACTGGGGTGTGCCTCCCAGTTAGGCTACTCAGGGGTCAGGGACCCACTTGAGGAGGCAGTCTTTCTGTTCTCAGATCTCAAGCTGCGTGCTGGGAGAACCACTACTCTCTTCAAAGCTGTCAGATAGGGACATTTAAGTCTGCAGAGGTTTCTGCTGCCTTTTGTTCGGCTATGCCCTGCCCCCAGAGGTGGAGTCTACAGAGGCAGGCAGGCATCCTTGAGCTGCGGTGGGCTCCACCCAGTTCGAGCTTCCTGACCACTTTGTTTACCTACTCAAGCCTCAGCAATGGCGGGCGCCCCTCCCCCAGCCTCGCTGCTCCCTTGCAGTTCGATCTCAAACTGCTGTGCTAGCAATGAGCAAGGCTCCATGGGTGTGGAACCCTCCGAGCCAGGCACGGAATATAATCTCCTGGTGTGCTGTTTGCTAAGACCATTGGAAAAGTGCAGTATTAGGGTGGGAGTGACCTGATTTTCCAGGTGCCGTCTGTCACAGCTTTGCTTTGCTATGAAAGGGAATTCCCTGACCCTTTGCACTTCCCGGCTGAGGTGATGCCTCACCCTGCTTCGGCTCACACTCGGTGCGCTGCACCCACTGTCCTGCACCCACTGTCTGACAAGCCCCAGTGAGATGAACCCGGTACCTCAGTTGGAAATGCAGAAATCACCAGTCTTCTGTGTCGCTCATGCTGGGTGCTGTAGATTGGGGCTGTTCCTATTTGGCCATCTTGGACAGATGCATGTATATTTAGGATAGTTAACTCTTGTTGAATTGTTCCCTTTACCATTATGTAATGGCCTTCTTTGTCTCTTTTGATATTTGTTAGTTTAAAATCTGTTTTATCAGAGACTAGGATTGCAACTCCTGCTTTTTTTTTTTTGCTTTTTATTTGCTTGGTAGATCTTCCTCCATCCCTTTATTTTGAGCCTATGTGTGTCTTTGCACATGAGATGGGTCTCCTGAATACAGCACACAGATGGGTCTTGACTCTATCCAATTTGCCAGTCTGTGTCTTTTAATCGGGGCATTTAGCCCATTTACATTTAAGGTTAATATTGTTATGTTTGAATTTGGCCCTGTCATTATGATGTTAGCTGGTTATTTTGCCCGTTAATTGATGCAGTTTCTTCATGTCATCAATGGTCTTTACAATTTGGCATGTTTTTGCAGTGGCTGGTACTGGTTGTTCCTTTCCATGTTTAGTGCTTCCTTCAGGAGCTCTTGTAAGGCAGGCCTGGCAGTGACAGAATCTCTCAGCATTTGTTGTCTGTAAAGGATTTTATTTCTCCTTCACTTATGAAGCTTAGTTTGGCTGGATATGAAATTCTGGGTTGAAAATTCTTTTCTTTAAGAATGTTGAATATTGGCCCCCACTCTCTTCTGGCTTGTAGGGTTTGTGCCGAGAGATCAGCTGTTAGTCTAATGGGCTTCCTTTTGTGGGTAACCCAGCCTTTCTCTCTGGCTGCCTTTAACATTTTGTCCTTCATTTCAACCTTGGTAAATCTGACAATTGTGTGTCTTGGAGTTGCTCTTCTCAAGGAGTATCTTTGTGGTGTTCTCTTTATTTCCTGAATTTGAATGTTGGCCTGCCTTGCTAGGTTGGGGAAGTTCTCCTGGATAATATCCTGAAGAGTGTTTTCTAAGTTGGATCCATTCTTCCTGTCACTTTCTG
Source organism: Homo sapiens (assembly GCF_000001405.40). NCBI lineage: Eukaryota > Metazoa > Chordata > Mammalia > Primates > Hominidae > Homo > Homo sapiens. The sequence continues at coordinate 95,378,286 of NC_000007.14, read as the reverse complement.
GTACACCAATCAAACGTAGATTTGGTCTTTTCACAGAGTCCCATATTTCTTGGAGGCTTTGTTCGTTTCTTTTCACTCTTCTCTCATCTTGTCATCTCACTTTATTTCATTACTTTGGTCTTCAATCACTGATATCCTTTCTTCCACTTGATCAAATCGGCTATTGAAGCTTGTGCATGCATGAGGAAGTTCTCATGCCTTGGTTTTCAGCTCCATCTGGTCATTTAAGGTCTTCTCTACACTGCTTATTCTAGTTATCCATTTGTATCACTTTTTTCAAGGTTTTTAGCTTCCTTGTGATGGGTTAGAACATGCTCCTTTAGCTCGGAGAAGTTTGTTATTACTGACCCTCTGAAGCCTACTTCTGTCAACTTGTCAAACTCATTCTTCATCCAGTTTTGTTTCTTTGCTGGCAAGGAGCTGTGATTCTTTGGATAAGAGGCACTCTGGTTTTTGGAATTTTCAGCTTCTCTGCTCTGCTTTCTCCCCATCTTTGTGGTTTTTGTTTGGTGACCTACAGATGGGGTTTTGGTGTAGATGTGCTCTTTGTTGATGTTGATGCTATTCCTTTCTGTTTGTTAGTTTTCCTTCTAACAGTCGCGCCTCTCAGCTGCAGGTCTGTTGGAGTTTGCTGGAAGTCCACTCCAGACCCTGTTTGCCTGGGTATCACCAGTGGAGGCTGCAGAACGGCAAATATTGCTGCCTGATTTTTCTTCTGGAAGCTTCATCCCAGAGGGGCATCCGCCTGTATGAGGTATCTGTCAGCCCCTACTGGGAGGTGTCTCCCAGTCAGGCTACATGGGTGTCAGAGACCCACTTGAGGAGACAGTCTATCTGTTCTCAGAGCTCGAATGCCATGCTGGGAGAACTACTGCTGTCTTCAGAGCTGTCAGACAGGGACGTTTAGGTCTGCTGAAGCTGTCTGCCGCCTTTTGTTCTGATTTGCCCTGCCCACAGAGGTGGAATCTACAGCAAGGCAGTAGGCCTTGCTGAGCTGTGGTGGGCTCTGCCCTGTTCAAGCTTCCCGGCCTCTTTGTTTACACTGTGAGCACAAAACCGCCTACTCAAGCCTCAGCAATGGTGGATGCCCCTCCCCCTGCCAAGCTGCAGCATCGCAGGTTGATCTCAGACTGCTGTGCTAGCCGTGAGCAAGGCTCTGTGGGCGTAGAACCCGCCGAGCCAGACACGGGAGGGAATTTCCTGGTCTGCTGGTTGCAAAGACTGTGGGAAAAGCACAGTATTTGGGCAGGAGCGTACCGTTCCTCCAGGTACAGACTGTCACGGCTTCCCTTGGCTAGGAAAGGGAAATCCCCTGACCCCTTGCACTTCCTGGGTGAGGTGACGCCCTGCCCCACTTTGGCTTGCCCTCCATGGGCTGCACCCACTGTCCAACCAGTCCCAATGAGATGGACCAGGTACCTCAGTCGGAAATGCAGAAATCACCTGTCTTCTGTGTTGATCTCACTGGGAGCCGCAGGCCGGAGCTGTTCCTATTCCGCCATCTTGGAAGCTTCCTTTCAGTTTAAATTTTCAATGTTATGCCAAATATACCACTAAAAGTGATGATTCTATAACTAGGAAATTTCTTTACTGTTGTGAAATAATGTTTGTCCTTCCTACTGTATGTTTTCTTTTTTTTTTTTAATTTTCACTGGAACTAAAAGTTCTGAATCATTGCTATACAGGAAGTATATATTTTCATCACAAATAATTTTATGAGAAATGTTAACATGAAGTTTTAAATAATGGATCTCCTTTTGTAAATGAACAAACAACTTATAGGATAAGGATTCTGTTGTTTTGCTTGTTTCTAATCCTTCTGCACTGTAATAAATTCAGGACCTTGTTCTTTTGGTTTCTCCTTTTACCCTTTCTTGCCATCCTAGAAGATGTTTGGAAGTTGCTGATTTGGAGAATAATTCTGTGCAATAGATATTTCTAGTCTATTTAGGGATGACAAACAGGATATTTTCTTCCCTGCCTTGGGACTTGACATGCTTCTCTTTGACTCCAAGATTACTCCCTTCTTCACACTTTGCCAGCTAACTCCCACTTCTTTGTGAGGGTTCATTGTGGTGGCACTTTACTTCCTCAGGAGAGTCTTCCCTGGCACTCTCTTGTGGGGTGAGGTGCCTCTTCAATGTTCCCTCTTGAATATTCCCTCACATCCCCTGAGTTTAGGCTGTTATAGACCACACCATACTTAAGTGCTTGCTCTAGGTTTCAAGATCCTTGAACTCAAGACTTTGGAACATGTATTGACATGCCCAACACCGAACATACTACCAGGCATTTGCAAGTCCTCGAATATTTACTGAGTTCATGTGGTGATGGATGAGTATAGTGGAAGAGTTCATTGATTGTCCACATTTACCTGTAGTTTGTTGGGAAAAATAAGATTCCTGCATGTCTAGATGATGATTTTCATCACTTTCACCAGTGAATGGTATGAAAAGAATTGCTTACAGTCATTAACACACAGTTGGTTTGCTGCCACAAATTCCTACCTAACTGCTTTACACAGAAAACTAGGTGAATGTGAAGCCATTTATCAGAAGTGTTTCTTTGATCATCACACTTAATCTAGACCAAGCTTGTTTGCAGTGCCCTGCCCTTATCTATCTATCAGATTATTTTATTTCTGTAACATCCAGTCTTTTCACTAGCTGGCTATGCTCCACCTTCCCCCAAGCTACCAAGGTACTTGCCATTGTGTTCTGTCTTGAGCTGCCTTCCTGAGCAATACTGTTTACTTCCAAACCTTTCTGTATGTGTGGCAGAGAGAGTCTGAACAATAAATGATCTGAGTGATTTAGGCAAATCACTCTTCTAGGCCTCATTTCCCTCATGTGAAAGGGAAGATGTGAGATAAGATGCCCCTAATATATTTATATGTATATAATTATTATATATTTTTTATTTTTAACATATGTGAGTGTGTATATATATACATACATATATACACACACATACATATATATGTATACATATACATATATACGTACATATATACACACATACATATATATATGTATACATATACATATATACATTAAATTTTTTCTTCAGTACTACTATTATCTGAGCCATTGAGCTTGGTGACAAATTGGTTATGGGGAAAAGAGTAGACTGAAAATTGAATTTTATGTTCTGATGTTGGGGAGCATAGTGATGTCCTTAACTGAGAAGAATAGATATAAATGAGAGGATGGATTCGAGGGGAGAGTGTTGATTTTGGTTTTGACTAGTTGATTTTGAGCTGCCCTTTGGGAGGAGGTTGGGAAGGCAAGCTAGAGTTACAGAGTTACAAATAAATGTGCAGACTTGAAAGTCCTTGATATAAAGGAAATACCTGAATCTTTATGTATAAGATCTGCAAGGAAAGAGTATAGAGTGAGAAGGGAGGAGGGATCGATAAAAACAGAAGGAGGTATAAATCCAAGAGTCAGGAAGAGGAGCAGGATTTCTATCTGGGAACTCAACTTTTGACGTTTTGATAAGAAAGAAGAAGGTATACTGTAGTGTCAAATGCCACAGAGAAGCAGATCAGAAGTAGAAAAGTTATCAAAATAAAGTAATTTGGAGACCATTTATATGATCTTTATAAGGGTATTTCTACAAACTGGTGGGAGTGGAATACTAACTTCAGGGAATTGAGAGTTGGAGCAGTTCACATTAGGCAATAAGATCAGGTGATGTTTCTAAGAAATTTGATGGTGAGGGGAAGAGAGATAAATGCATATATGAAGAGGCAGTAAAGTTAAGAAAATATTTATTTCAAGGAAGGAAACCTTGTAATTTTTTAGGCCAAAGAAGAAGCTGTTAGTGAAAAATGAGTGGTAAAGCAAGAGAGAGAGGGTGTAATCTCTAGAGACAGACCCTAGAGAACAGGGAACCAAGAAAGCAGGTAAAGGATTTAATCTAAGAACAGAGGAGGGACATTTCTTACTTGAGAAAAGAGGGAGAAAGAAAGAGAATGAATAAAACTGAAGAAGAATTACTGGGACAGAAAGGAAAGAATTATAGGAAATTCATGTTAAATGACATGACATTTTCAGAGAAGTAGTAAGTAAAGTCATCCACTCATAATAAAGAGGAAGAAAGTATGGGCTCTAGAACAGTGGTCCCAGCATTTTGGGCACCAGGGACCAGTTTCGTGGAAGACAATTTTTTCCACAGATCATGGAGGGGGAGTGGGGAATGGTCAAGATAAAACTGTTCTACCTCAGATCATCAGGCATTAGATTCTCATAAGGAGCATCCAACCTAGATCCCTTGCAGGCTCAGTTCACAATAGGGTTTGCACTCCTATGAGAATTTAATGCCACTGCTGATCTTACAGAAGGTGGAGCTCAGGCGGTAATGCTCACTCACCTGCAGCTCACCTCCTGTTGTTCCTTGTAAGGCCCAGCTCCTTACAGGCTACGGACAGGTACCAGTCTGTGGCACAGGGGTTGGGGACCCCTACTCTAGAAGATAATGAAATAAATTTAGAAGTGAGACATGAGGAAATCCAATAGATTGCCTATCATAATGAGCCAAAAAAATCAATAAACAGTACTAAATGTCTGGCTGAAGTTGGGATAGTGACTTTGTAGTGGAGTTTTTCAATCTGATTTTAGACTTGCCCTATATAAGAGCTAGACCAAGGCAAAGGGAGTTCGCACAGAATGTGATAAGGAAGCAAAGGGTGTAGCTATTGATGACGACAGGATTATGGTCTGGAAGCAGAAGTTTGTGGCTAGGGACATGCCAATCCCTTCTCCAGATGTGCTGACTTAAGGAGAATAAAGAGGGAACAGTGCCTCCTCTGATGAGCTTCAGTAGTGCCGGTGTTGTCTGGGAAAAGCCAGGTTTCCCTCAGACAACATTGGGACATACGAATTGGGCATAGAAGGACTGTTCTAAAAAAAGTTTGAAGATATAGCTGGGGTTGTTCAGAAAAGATTGACTACCTCAAGAGGGAGCAGTGGAAGAGCCAGTAATAGTATCATAAGTGTATGTGTACGTGTGTGTAGAAAGGACAGGGAGAGGGAAAGAGGCAGAAAGACAAGGTGAAATAGGAAAGAGAGAATTGCAATAGACTGTAAAAGAAGATAAAGGTAGCAGAGAAGATATAAAGTTATTGATATTGATATATATCCAGTGATAGATAGGGGACATGGAGAGGAAGTGGACTGTTTTGTAACTGGTGTAGAATAAACCAACCCCAAGGTTTGTCACAGTGGACTCAGATGCAGCAAAGGCTTCATGCATTCAGGATGCCTATTGTTGATTAATAGCTACCTGATCCTAATAGTAGAAAGGACCACTGTCCAAGTTACTGGAATAAACTTTTTGTGATGTTTGAGTAAAGCATTCATGTCAGAATTTTCAGACATACCTATAGGAACAAAATAGGTCAAAAATAGTCAACTATATAAGACTGGTATCCTTATGTTAATTCTTAGCCAGCTATACTGTTTGCCACTACATGATATAATCGATGTAGGAATGGGAACAATACAATTAAACTATACACCCCTTCTCTCTGCTTTGAGGAAGGTTAGTTATAGAATACCAGGACCGGAAATAATCTTATAATCATGTATTTGAACTTCTTCATTTTATAGATGAGGAATGTGAGGTACGGGCATGTGAAGGGATTCACACAAAGTAACAGCCTAGTCTCTTCTGTTATATTTTTTTGGCTTAACTCCTTTTCTCTAAATTAAAAACTCTTCCTTATCTTGAATATGGTTCTTTCTGTGTTCATAGCCAATGTTTAGATGACATCAGTAACACCCCAGATCAGATCATGGAAACAGCTGACAGAGTGAAAAAGCCCAGTAATCTAAATGAAATTTAGAACTTTGAACATTTTTATTTGGCTTTGAGATTTTAAATTCCTTATGAAAATATTGTTTTGATATGTATATGTGTGCACACTTGTTCTTTATTTTTAAAAGGGATTAAAATATCCAGGCATGCCAAACTTTGCGCCAGATGAACCAGGAAAAATCTTCTTGATGGATCTGAATGAACAAAACCCAAGGGCACAAGCGCTAGAAATCAGTGGTGGATTTGACAAAGAATTATTTAATCCACATGGGATCAGTATTTTCATCGACAAAGGTAAAACCTGTATGTTTAGGGATAAGGGGGAAATGAGGGAAATAGAAACCATTTATCTCCAGCCCCTCAATATTTATGTAACAGGAAGAGAGAAGATGCTATTTTACCATACAGATGTGTTTTTTTTAAATGATAAATAGGTATAAAACCTTGTAAACATTGCATTAAAGAAGGAACACTAGTATTTTTGGCCCTATGTGGCCTCCTCCTCTTCCTTCTATCCACTTGTCTTCTTGTTTGACTGTCACAACCTGTTTGAATACTGTTCTCAGAAATCTAACATGTAAACTAAAGGCCCTTTAGTTTAGTTGTCACTAAAGACAACTGTGAGACGTTAAAAAACATAACATAAGGGGGAAAAAAACAAATTAGACTCATCAAAGTTAAAAGCTTTTGTGCTTCAAAAGACACCATCAAGAAAGTGAAAAACAACCCAAAGAATGAGAGATAGTATTTGTAAATCATATATTAGATGAGAGACTTGTATTCAGACAATATAAATAATTCTTACAACTTAACAAAACACAAATAATGTAATTTAAAAATGGACAAAGTATCTACCTAGATAGACATTTCTCCTAAGATACACAAAGGCCTGTAAGCACATGAAAGATGTTTATCATCCTTAGACATTAGGAAACTACAAATCAAAACCAGAATGAGATACCATTTCACACCCACTAGGATGGTGATAATTAAAAAGACAGACAATAACAAATGTTGGCAAGGATGTAGAAAAATTGGAACCCTCATACTTTGCCAGTGGGATTGTGAAATAATGTAACCACTTTGGGAAGGAGTTTTGCATTTCCTCAACATGTTAAACATAGAGTTACCACACAATCCAGCAACTCTGCACCTTGGTGTATGCTCAAGAGAATTGAAAACCTATCCATGCAAAAACCCATATACAAATGTTCATAGCAGCATTACTCCTAATACAAAAGGTGGAAATAACCCAAATGTCTATCAACTGATGCATTCATAAACAAAATGTGATAGGTATTTATACAATAGAACACTATTTGGCAATAAAAAGAAATGAACTACTCATGCATGCTATAATATGGATGAAGCTTGTAAATATTATGCCAACTGAAGGAATTTAGTCACTAAAAGCCACACATTATGTGATTCCATTTATATGAAGTGTCCAGAATAGGTGAATTCACAGACAGAAAAATTGTTGGCAGGAGCCAGGGGAGTGGGGAAGGAGGAATGACAGCTAATGAGTAGGTGATTTCTTTTTGGGTGATGAAAATGTTCTGGAACTAAATAGTGGTTATGGTTGCACAATTCTGTGAATATACTAAAACCCACTGAAGTTTACATTTTAAAAGTCTGAATTCAGTGGTGTGTGAATTATATCTCAAAAATATATTATAAAAACATAAGTTATCAATATACCATATATGCTTTAAAAACAATAGTTTCCAATATTATTTTTGACTTGTTCACAGTTCATAATTTCAAACATTTAATTTTAAAATATTTTTGGGTCTATACAGCATGAAGAAAATTAAGAACAGGGAAACTTCACTAACAGTAACCACATGAAAGGAGGACCAAATTGAAGTGCTAGAATTCCATGAAATCTTATATACACTTTTATTTGCTTAGCAAGCTCTGCTTTAAAAGATAATTGAATCTAACAATTTTTCATTGGTTTATAGTATACAAACTATTTTCATATATAATGGTGTCTTTACTTCTCGAAATAAAATCCTGGGCCCAACCTTGACACTTCCTCTCCCTGGCCCTTTTGATCAACTCATTATAATGTTTTGTTTAATGTATCTCTCCAATATCTCTCCAGTCTGAAATATCTGTCCATCTCTCCCCATCCTCACTGCTACCAGCAGTTCAAGGCCCCAGCATGCCTTCCCTGATTCTGCATGGGCCCCCAACTGTACCTTCCTTCTCATACCACCTCAATTCATTGTCATAGTAAGGATTTCTTTTTATGCAAATCTGATTATGTCCCTCTTTTCATCAAATTTTTCATATTGTTCTGTCACTCTGAGGATAAACCCCAAATCTCCAGAACGGCCTGGGTTCCTGGGTGCTTCCCCTGTACCTTCTGGCACCTGTATGCTCTCCAGTTTCACTGGAAACCATTCTCCTCCAGACTCTCTGGACCAGCCATACTGGATTTCTTTTCATTCAGTGAAGTGTCTCATGCCTCAGGATCTTTACATCTGCTGTTCCCTCTGCCTGGAATGTCCGTCTGCCACTTCTGGCTCACTCTTTGTCATCATTGAAGACTCAGCTTAAATATCATCTTCTCAGGGAAGCCTGCCCACCATCTTGTTCCAATTTGTGTACCTTTCTATATTTCTTCTCAATGTACCTCTTTTTTAAAATCATTCATTACGGTGGTAACTAATTTTTTTTTTATGAGATGAAGTTTTGCTCGTCTCCCAAGCTGGAGTGCAGTGGCACAATCTAAGCTCACTGCAACCCCTGCCTCCCGGGTTCAAGCAATTCTCATGCCTCAGCCTCCCAAGTAGCTGGGATTACAGGCATGCGCCACCATGCCCGGCTAATTTTTTGTATTTTTAGTAGAGACAGGGTTTCACCATGTTGGCCAGGCTGGTCTCGAACTTCTGACCTCAGGTGATCCACCTGCCTTGGCCTCCCAAAGTGTTAGGATTACAGGTGTAAGCCACCACTCCCAGCCTACAGTAGTAACTTTTTTTTTTAAATGTTAAAGGATAGGAATTTTCTTTCCCTCTCCTGCTCTTGCTCTATAGCAAGTTCCTAAACTTAACTGTTACTCTTCAAATGAATGACACTCTATGAAGAACGTGTCTCCCCACTCTAGTATTCTTTGTTTTAATTTATTTAATAATTTTTCCTCCTTGTTTTCCTCTCTCAAATATAATCACCATAAAAGCATATTGATTTGTCCATTGCTGGATTCTGAGAGTCTAGAACAGTATCTGATGCACAGTAGGTACTCTATGAACACATATCAAATGAATAAATAAACGAACCCTATAGGACAGGCAGAGCACATAGTAATATTCAACTTTATAGATGGATACAATGAAGTTTAGAGGAATGCAGTGAAGTGTGACTTCACTTCTGCAATTAGTAAATGGCTGATCCAGAACTCAGACAGAGGAGGTCTCACTTCTAATCCTGTGTCTTTTACTAAAATGAGATTAGGACTCTATTTAAATAATTTTAAAACTGCAACTGTTTTGCCTCACACTGTACAAGACATAAGATTCTGCATTGGAGATGGTATAATAAGTGATTAGATTTACCTGAAACTATTTCATTGCATGGGATCATATTAGAGGTAGAGGTGGAGGTGGGTTTGGGGCTTTTTTTCTTTCTTTTTTTTTTTTTTGTTTGTTTTTGTTTTTGTTTTTGAGATGGGACATGTTTATACAATAACAGTCATATAATCAGGCTTCCATAAGTTGAGTATATTATGATTCACAGCTTATCTTATTTGTTTGTCATCTCCCTTAATTATGTATTTAATTCATAAGGCCAAAATATTACATATAGAAATAGAGATGGAATGAGGAGATGGAGAAGAAAAGTACTCTCACTAAGTATATCTTATTTGGAAAGAGGGATTCAGTAGATGCACTAGAAGAAATGAAATCAGGCTAGCACAAGTGATTGTTCACTATTGTGTCTAGCAAAAGACTGAAGGTCCGTGTTGGGGCTGAAATCCAACCCATGTTCTGTTTGCCACGCCCTGAGCCTTGGAACAGAGCTGGATCAGACCAGAAGGAAGATTTCCTCTGTGAGCAAGCACCTTTCCTTAATTTGCATCAAAGTGCCCAGTGTGTTTCAGAGGTCCTGGTTATGAATTTTGCATCTCAGGGTTTGGGCTTGTTCCATCACGTGCTTAAAAACTACATTTGGGAAAGGAATAGGGAAGATGAATACAGATCAAGTCCTACAGTGGGAGGATGGGACCAGACCCTTTAAAACTCCAGAGCTCATCAAACCTAGAACTCCTGATAAGTCAGAAGACAGCATTCTCAGAGGCCAAATTACTACCCTCAATCTTGTTCACAGCAGTTCACATTCCAATTGAAATGGGTAGGTGACATTTCTGAGGTGGGTACTACCTAGAATTAGTTAGTTTGTTTTATCTCGCATTCATATTTACATGCCATGTCCATTGAGCTCACTAAATATTGTTATGTTGGCTTGTGTCAGAAATTCATTGTCTAGCTGGGAAATGTTGCTTATTTTAAGGTGTTTACACTGCCCTGACATTCACTGAGCTTCTGTTGCAATGTAGATAATTATTGTACACACACAACATCTCAGCAAAGTTTTGTTTGCTTGCACTCACTTCTCTTGCTGAAGGGCCATCTGGGGAAACCACATCCCTGTTTATGCATCATTATAGTTCTGTAGGCTCCTGTTAGACAGGTTATGCATATAAGGGTGAAGTGACTATGGCAAAACATCTTGGCTCTGCCACTTTGTGGTGATGAAATTGCTGATGGATCATTCGCCTCCTGAGCTTCAATTTCCTCAACTAAATCTGGATTCTGGCATTTGTCTGACTTACCTATCATGTAGACTGTGAGGGTAAAATGCAAGATGTAAGAAGAAAACTTTTGGAAGTGACCAAGTTTTAAAACAAGTCTAATATTAGTTGTGATAGGGGTAACTTTCTTGGAAATTATCCCTTTTTTCCATGTAGACAATACTGTGTATCTTTATGTTGTGAATCATCCCCACATGAAGTCCACTGTGGAGATATTTAAATTTGAGGAACAACAACGTTCTCTGGTATACCTGAAAACTATAAAACATGAACTTCTCAAAAGGTATGGAATGAAAGTATTGTGCGGTTCTATTTACTTTGCACCTCTGCTGTGTGCTTTGTATTTTTTGGTTCAGCAGGCTTTCTTAAACTTTTGTTTTGAAATTGTTTTGATTTTTTTCTAAAGCTTTCTAATGATTCCCATGGTGACTCTTCCCAGCGCCTCACTAGAAATTGCCATGTTAGGTATTGAATATGCCTATATTTTCGAGCATTTTGAAAGCATTTTAATCCTATAAAGGTGCTCAATTAAATTCCCAGCTCTAATTCCATTCTCTTTACCACGGCAACTCAATACCTACTATCGGTCTCTGTTTAAACACCTACACCCTTTTTTGGTTGTCCTAGTAGGTTGTGTTCTGTGAGCCTCACCCACTGGGTGTTATAACCAACCTCCAGATGAGCCACTTCTTTGTTTAATTACAGCTTTAAAGTAGAATTTTTTAAAAGTCCTTGGGCACTTATAAAAATTACATTTGTTAAGCATTGACTATGTGCCAGGCACTATGCCAGAATACTTAATTTAACTTAATTCTCACAAAGCCTTTAATAATAGGCATGGGTAAACTAAGACTTAGAGAAGGTTTGGGTTAGATAACTTGCCCAAGTTACACAATTTGTAAGTGGCAGAAACAGGGTATAAACCCAGATCCATCTGAATTCAAAGCTGAGCTCTCAATTGCAATGAACATCTTTCTTACTGCATTCATTAAAATAACAGGCTTTTCAGTGGAGAGGCTGCCTGTTTAAAGGCTGTAGCAAACAATAAAGAATTCATCTTTTATCAAATGGGCTTAACATTAAAAAACTGGCTCCAAAACAGTAAATTGTTTCATGGGATAGAAGAATAGGAAAAGAAAAGAAAGTTCATCTTCTTTCCTTTGCTCTCTTTCTCAACATCATGTATTAATTTCTCCCCACAGAATATGGGGGAAACGAGTGCAGAGCATAGAAGTAAGAGAAGTTGAAGTTATTGAACTCTGCTCCTAATGCACCGTATGGGGTTCTGAGGCCATAGCGGAGAACAGGACTTCCACAGGGTTGCTGGGAAACTGTGGACAAGTCACTTAATTGGTGCCTCAATTTCTTGAGCATAATGGGGATTCTCATTTGCCTGACTTACCTAACTAGTGGATTGCGAGGATCAACTGCTTTAGCATAGGATCTCACAGGAAGAGTCTCCCAGAAAGTGCAGCCTGAGGGCACACCTGATATTTGGCCACTTCATTAGGGAGTACAATCCCAGGAAGCAGACTTGAGAAACCAGTGTGAGGCAAGGAAGGGAGAAGGTTATGGGTTGAATTTTGTGTCCCCCTGCCCTCCCCACCCCACTCCCCCTGCCAAAAAATATGTTAAAATCCCAACCACCACTTCCTCAGAAGGCGACACTTTGGAAATTGAGTCATTGCAGATGTAATTAGTAAAGATAAAATCATGCTGAAATAGAGTACCCTTAATGCAGTAGAACTGGTGTCCTTGCAAGAAGACAGGCAGATATACAGGGAGAATGCTATGTGAAGATGAATACTGACATTGGAGTGATATATCTACAAGCCAAGGAATGCCTGGGACTACTGGAATGCCTTGCTGGAAGAGGCAAGGAAGGATCCTTCCCTAGAACCTTCAGAGATAACATGGCCCTACCAATAACACGGTTTTGGATTCCTAGCCTCCAAAACTGCGAGGCAATACATTTCTGGTGTTTAAGCCACTGAGTTTGTGGTTCTTTGCTGTGCCAGCCCTAGGAAACACATGCAGTGAGGGAGGTACAGCAAAGGCGTCATTAAGCCAACCGCTGCTAACTGACTGCTTGAAATCATGGACTTATCCTCCAGTAATCAGCGTAAGCTGCATCTCAGGACAATCTGGTCAAGGAGAAAAAGGGAGAAGGGTTTATCCACCAGCCCCATCTCCTATTAGTCAAAGGTTTGCCTCAAGAGGCCTTCATTTTCCCACATTCTTGGTTGTTGTGCATGTGCAAGTCTAGTTTTGTGGTATCCTATGACTCAATGTCAACATGAAATCTGGAAGTGGGAGGCAAGAGGCCCACAGTAGGCATGAGCTGAGACACTGCTAGGCTGCCCCTCTGGGAAGTACATCAGACCTGTGCAGAACTGGTTGAAATAGCAGCAGCTGGAACAAGGTAGGTGAGGCTATGAGGATCTAAAGAGGAGCCTGAGGGTACACTGGCACAGGCATTGATAAGCACTTACAAGGGGGCATAACAGAGAGCTACAGAAACAAATTGTGAGGCAGTTTAACCTAATTTATGATGTCAGGCAATACTTTTTGGAGTAAAGAATGCTTAAGCTGAGATACAAAAGGTGAGTAGCCGAGTGACCTTGGGAAAGTCATTATATGTCAAAACTTCAAAGTATTTCCTGATTCACCCAAATTTTCCTCCCTAAAATTTAATCTAAAAATGTTTAAGCATTATTTTTTCAAGTCACTTTTTTTTTCTTTTCAAAAATAAAAATGACTTTATTTTTCTTACGGATTGTAAGAATAAGACTTGCTCTATTTTAAAATGTCAATGATATTGAAGAACGTAAGAAAGAATATCACCCATAATTCCATCTACTCAGAGAAAATATAAAGGTCCAGATGAACTGGGTTATGCTATGATAACAGGACAGCAAAACCCTAACATCTTGGTGGCTCAAAACTGCCAAGGTTTGTTATGTTTTTTCATGCATGCTATGTATCCAGTGTAGGTGATTTAGGGACTCAGTTTCATATTATCCTCATTAAGGGCCCTAGGAGGACCACAGTCTCTATCATCATAAAAGTTGCTCATTACTGTGGAAACATGAGGGAAACATGGTGAAGCAAGCAGTGGTTCTTAAAATCTTCCATCCACAAGCCACTCACCTCATTTCATTTCATTTCATTGGCCAAAGCAAGTCACATGGCTGTGCCTAACTGCAAGGGGATGGGGAAGTGTAATTCCTGAAGGAGGATAACCATAGCTATCAGTGAACTGCACTACAACTGTCACAGATAACCATGATCAACATTTACAAGTCAACAGATTTTGGGGTTTGAGATTTATTTGTGAATTTATTTCTTTTCACTGATTTCTGTGAAAGAGAAGAGTAAGAAAATAACAAATGGCTAAAGAAAACCCATCAGGGCAATGCAGAATCATGATTTTCTGTGGAATTCCTTAATCCATACTAGTTCATGTATCCTTTTTCAAATTGATGAACGTATTAGTCTATGTAGAGATGAGTGATTTTGACAAGGATAAAGGATATTTAAATACCTCATGGGTCTCTTTTTCCACCTCCCTTTCACTTTAGTGTGAATGACATTGTGGTTCTTGGACCAGAACAGTTCTATGCCACCAGAGACCACTATTTTACCAACTCCCTCCTGTCATTTTTTGAGATGATCTTGGATCTTCGCTGGACTTATGTTCTTTTCTACAGCCCAAGGGAGGTTAAAGTGGTGGCCAAAGGATTTTGTAGTGCCAATGGGATCACAGTCTCAGCAGACCAGAAGTAAGCTCTTTTGTGTATTTTTCTATCCTTTGCCCTTGACATTTTCGTGGACTCCTTTCCTTACGAGGAAGTTACTTCCTTACTTAGGCTTACGTAGTGAATATATGTGTGGAGGGATCAGTTGTGGCCAGGGTTCACACTAAATCTGTCATCCTAAGCAATCCATTTGTTTCCTTGGACTTTAGGTTCTTCCCAGTTAAAGGAGGGATGTGGACTTAAGGATATAAGGACCTCATTCCAAATTTTTACATAACTCTTGAAACACACTTTCCTAACACACTACAAAGGAAGATAAATGAGCAATACCCCTGCCCCTTATGAAAGTACAAAGTATTTGACCACTTATGCTAAGTTCAGTTACACAAAAGCTCTTAGGAGAGAGGGAAGGCTACCTTAGATTGGGCATAGGGATTGTATAAGTTTCAGACCTACTGACTTACAACAGCAGACCATTCAATGAGAAAACCCTATTTTAAACAGCATGAAATTTTATGAGAAAACACTTTTAAAAAGTGTTTAAAAATTGGAGGTTTTTTTATAAACAGAAGTACCTTGAATATTAACATGTATATTTGAGATAATGAGCAAAGATGATCCCTGTAGAAAACACCTCTCAGTGTCCTTCCTCTTTTAAAATATTGTGATTGAGCTTTATGGTCATTTGATACTTTTTTTCAAGCACTAGTTTTTAGAAGTATATACACTTTTGGCCTTGTAAGAGATCCACTTACCTTCATTCAATTTAAGGAAAAAGTTGTGACTTCGAAGTAATAAGATTGAGCCTATATATGTCATCTAGAAACACCAGTTTCATTATAGTCATAACTCATATTCAAAGCCTGTTTAAAGCACTTCAAGAATATTAAAAATACTACCCCATTATCTTCTTTTACTGTGGTTTAGAAAAGGATTGCAGTGGTACTTTCAAGGAGTGTGCATTTTTATACCTCTTCTCCAAAATAAAAGTGAGTGTTGTCTCTCATTACCACTTGCTTAAGTGTAAATGTCATTTACTTCAAAGGTATGTCTATGTAGCTGATGTAGCAGCTAAGAACATTCACATAATGGAAAAACATGATAACTGGGATTTAACTCAACTGAAGGTAAGAGTACCCTGTCTGGCCCACACAATCTGACTTCTTACCTTAGTCCCATACTTGACCCAGGAATGTGCCCCTTGAATGAGGAAAACATGGCTATTTGAGAGCAATGCCAGTGAGATTATGCATGCGTTTCTAAAATACAGAAGCAAAGCCCCCTAAAAACACCAACTTTAGGTGCCAGAAGAAGCTGTAGGGGTTGTGGGGATGAATAGGGAAGAAAGCGAGGAATCATTGAGACAATGTCTTCACTACTCCCTCTTTGTTGTAAGGTGATACAGTTGGGCACCTTAGTGGATAACCTGACTGTCGATCCTGCCACAGGAGACATTTTGGCAGGATGCCATCCTAATCCTATGAAGCTACTGAACTATAACCCTGAGGACCCTCCAGGATCAGAAGTAAGTTCCTATACCTCTCTGAGCTCACAGGCAAAGCTGCAAGAACAAATTTGTTGGGGTGACTTGGAAGAATTTAAGCCAGTCACATTTGGTGTTATAGAACTAAAGAAATTTTACGTATGAGAAAAGTAAAGTTTTTGACAGGTAGGGAGATAAGGTTCGTTAACTCTTTTAGGCCACCATTAACTTTTCAATAACTCTTGCTGTTGGGAATAATGGAAAAACATAAGCTCGATTATTCATATTGACCCAGATTGCCATATCGTATTTCCAATCAGGAGATAGTCTCTGAGCAGGTAGGTCTTGCAGTTAGACAAAGAGAGAGTTGTATATGGTACCATCTTCTTTCACACTGTCCAACATGAAGCTAAGATTAAAGGATTTAAATAACTGTCGCCTCAAAATAAAATGAGTTTTTGCCTGTAAGTTCTAACATATACGATGGTGTTGAAAATTGTCTTATTTTCAAGATATCATTTGTGTTATTTTAAAATATCTCTTCTAAAACAATAGCATAATCCATTGAATTTTCTACATTAAAAACAACATTATAAGACAACTGCATTTTCTATGGCATTAAGGTTAACAATTTAAAAATCTTTAGTGAATTTATATATAGCTATAAATTCTAGGCACACATACTCAGAGATTTATTCACAAAAATTTATTGAGTACCTGTAATGTGTCAGACATTGTACTTATGTTTAGGATATATCAGAAAAAATATACAGAGATCCCTGATCTTAAGAAAGGGGGACAAACAATGAACAATAAGCATAAGAAATAAGTAAATTACATAGTAACTTTGAAGATGGCAAATTTTATGGGAAAAAAGGCTCAGCAGAGTAAAGGGGATCAGGATTACTATATGCAGCAGGATGAGCAGGTCCTACTACTAAAGTCAGAGATCAGAGTAGGCCTCATTGAGAAAGTACAATTTGAAAAAAATTAAAATGTGTGAATCCACATTTGGTGATTTGAGAAACTGAAATTCAAATTCAAACCCAGTAATTGGCCTAGTGGGTAAATTAGGACATACAGTTATTTCTACTTCCAGTATTGCTGTCTTTCAGTTAAAAATATGATTATTTCTTTTTTTATTAATGTATTAGTCACAGCTTCTTAAAAAGAACACAAGAAATGTAAAAAGAAACAAAAGTCCAACCTAAGCCTAGAACCAGAATTGTTACCCTAAACTAGGAAGCAATCCTTGCCTCAGATATGTACCCCTAAGAGTGATAGACAAAACTTTCCTTTAAAAGCCCAACCACAATGTCTGTCTTAAGGAAATGAAATATGATACATAGGATTATTGGAGAATTGTTTAGGATCTTTTTCGTATCTCTATTTTCAAGTTGAATTATTTTTAAAATTTTAGATAAGACTTTTTGTCACAATTACTGACACCCTTTAATTTTGGTTGAATCTCATGTTTTGTACATGAAATCAAAGCTTAAGTATTTTTGTCTAACAAACCTGAGATGAAGGATCTCCCTTAAGATAAAAAAAAGAACAAACTCTGTTCTAATAAGAGATATCAATATAGACTCGTAACTCATAAATTTCTAATTGTTTTCCTTTAATTCCAAAATAAAAATTTTATTTTATTTTGTTTGAGTGAACTTCATCCAGCCTATTTGGAAGCCTGAGTGCTTAAATATACACTGATTAGCAAAGTTAAGTGTATTAATCCTGGGATCAATAACAGTACTAGGCAGTGATGTGTCAAATGAAATTCCAAAGTAGTATCCATTATTTATGCTTTCTAGCAACTTTGCAGATGTGAAGGGGCTCCAGCTGTGATGACTGCCATCCCATCAGTTACCATGTTGGGTTGGCTGGATAACTGGGTGTTTCTTCATTATTTTGTCTTGTTTCTCTCCCCATACTGTAATCTCAAAGGCAAGATTCTTCCCACAGAGGGAGGACCACCATCCACTTGAGAACTAAATAAGAGCATCTTAACTCCTTCTGTAAGGGATGCCTGCACTAAAAAAATTGTGTAAGTCATCCCTGAGGAATTTGGCTAATGTCAGAAAGCCAGTTCACTTTGGTGCATAGATATCTATGACATTAGTACTTTCATCAGAAGAAGAACAATTTATTGAAGATATACAGATTTTAGCTTCTGATTTCTGAAAAATAGATTTATCCTAGAATGTTTGGGAAGGACATCATGAAACAGGTGTTTACTCACATAATATACTAATAAACGATCTTTTCTCGACAGGTACTTCGCATCCAGAATGTTTTGTCTGAGAAGCCCAGGGTGAGCACCGTGTATGCCAACAATGGCTCTGTGCTTCAGGGCACCTCTGTGGCTTCTGTGTACCATGGGAAAATTCTCATAGGCACCGTATTTCACAAAACTCTGTACTGTGAGCTCTAGACTCTAGATAGTAAAAAAAAAAAAAAAAAGTCTACATATTTTGTAAAAGTAAACTGATAATTGTATGATAAGTGGCACTGTAAGTAAATAGCAAACACCAACCAGTGAGTGTGGCTTTTCTTATGGATAGAAGTAAAGGAGCAGACAGAGATTCCTTGATAGCCATCAAATTGCAAGTCAGGTTAATGACAGTCCAACAAGAAGCCAAACTTTACGGATCTTTGTTAGCAGCCCCAATGTTCTTTCTACAATAAAACATGTGGACTATGTCCAGTGAGGTCTCCGACTCACCTAGAGGTCCTTGGTAACTGGGTCCAAGTTTCCTCCTACAGTTTTGACGTTCTGGGTCTCCTACAGTCCAGACCAAGAGAAAAGCTAATGTTCAAGTATTTACAACCCCTGTTCTCTCCCCGCAGTTGTGCTGGGCACAGACAGTTAATTAAGTGTACCAGTCTGCAGATAAAGAATTAGCATCATGTGATTGCCCAAAGCCCTTAGAACTTGCATTCTCCCAGGGTACCGACACATAGGAAATTGGGTTCTGAGAAATCTGACAGTTGGGCCTCAGAGGCTACCTTAGGGCAGGGAGTGCTTATCTCTAATAGGCCCTTATTTGTATTGATGCTTGTATCTGAAATACAGTTGGCCCTCTGTAACTGTGAGTTCTACATCTATGGATTCAACCAACCAGAGATTGAAAATATTTGGAAAAAAATGGATGGTTGCATCCGTACTGAACATGTACAGACTTTTTTTGGTCATTAATCCCTAAACAACACAGTATAACACATATTTACATAATATTTAGATGATATTAGGTATTATAAGTGATCTAGAGAGTACCTACATAGGGGAATGAACATAGGTTATATGCAAATACTATGCCATTTTATATCAGGGACTTGAGCATCCGTGGATGTTGGTATCCATCAGAGTCCAGGAATCAATCCTCCATGGTTATTGAGGGACAACTGTTTTGCTAACCTACTGGGCTCTGAATCTTAGATGAAGCCTTAAGGCAGTTATCTTTGACTGCCTTTATCTTACCCTTCTGGTTTATTCAATAAACAGTTATTAAGCAACCTCCAGTAAATTTGGCCCTAAGGAATCTGAAATGAGTAGAATGGTTCTGGCCTAATGTCCTATCTTGAAGACCAACCTTAAACTTAATTTGATGAGAATGAATAGAAGTGTCCTTTTTTGGTCCCAAACCAGTACAACCTTTAGCAAACAAACCATTAATTAAAGTCAGAGCACCCAAGCACCTCCCTTCCCTTTTTGTGACTTTTATTCGGGAGTGGTTGGTTGATGCTTTTTCTCTTTTGGGGAGACCATTTTATATGCAAAAGAACATTGCTCAGTTTTATGTAGGTTTGCTGAAAAGTTTTGCAGGGTAAAATTCTCCTTTTTTCCAGTGTAACCCATTGTGATTTTGACTATAAGACTTTGTAGTTTTCATTGCTTCAAAGAGGAATAAACATTCAGCAGAATGCTATAGTCAGTTATTAGATTTTAAATTTCAAAAGCCTAGCTATCAAGAGAACACAGAATAAAAAAGACATTAAAGACATAATTTAAGAAAATAAGTAGAGTCAGTTTTGAAGAATATAATAGTCTTTGTTTTAGTCCCTAGCCCTCATACTTACTATATTATAATGTTTACCAGACTAGGGGAGAATAAAGAGAGATAGGAAAAGACAAAGATAATTTAGATGCTGGTAAGTTCCTGAGAATTGATCCTGCTCTGCCTTCTCCTCAGGCCAAGTTAGAAAGGCTGGGGGATAAAACTTTCCTCAGGAAATTTGGGTGATCTGATTGCTGAGGGACTAATGTGTCCTTTCCCTGGGAGGGCCTGGGAAAGTCACAAAGCCTTAGGGATTCTCTGTGCTCAGCCTGATGAAAAAACAGAGAAGAAATGCTAGTGTGATTTACTGGGGATGGCATCACACCTACACTTGAACTTGGCACAGAAGCAAATTCCCACGTGCCCAGAGGGGTATGGGGGTTAGCAGAGAAAGAACTGATAGACTTAAAAAGGTCTTGCTGTCAGGAAAAAGAAAATAAGTAGTCATCTGATTCAAATGAAGACCGAAGTTTAGACGGTGACATCAAAGACCAGCTGTCTCCCATGATGCTTTAGCTCTCCCTGCTGGATTTTAGAGAAAACTCCCAGGATTGGGAGGGGGCTTTGGAATTGCCTTATATATTGATTTGTGCTTCCAAACAATGTGTGGGGAGTCAAAAACAAAATTACATGAGGCTGTGGAAAAAATAAGTTCTGTTACACTTCATGGTTTTAGCTTTTTCAGAATTGGAACAGGATAGAGTGGAAAGAACTTAGTCTTTTGCTAATGGACATGTGATTAGTATCTTTTATTCCTTGTTCTGTGGCTAAGACCAATGGACTATTAAGTTGGTTTTCTCCTGGAAATGCCAGTGGAAGATCCAGCATAATCTCTTTTACACTTCACCCCTGCTCTTGCTCCAAGTAGGTCAGTCTCAACCTTCAGCTACTGGGATCCCCTCACTCAGTGTGTCCTCTCTTTGGGAGAGGCCTTGGCAAAGTGGTTGAAGCTTGGATTCCTCCTGGAGTAGGCAATTTACCCATTCTTTCCAAAGGATAGGGTTGTTGATTGTCCCATTATCATCCTCTCTTTGCCTTGTCATCTCCCTTCAATAAGTTTTTTCTCCCCTTCATAGGGAGGCACAGGTTTACCAACAGGCCTGCAGCCTAGACAGTTATCTCAACCAATTTTCCCTTTGCATAAGCACCCCCAATCTTTATGTGATTATCTTGAGCCTCTTCACTCACTTGGCTTGGGAAGGAGAAGAATCGCTCCTCACAATAAATGCTGCATTTTGATAATTCATTCTCTTCTCTTCCCTAGTCTTTCTGCTTAATTATCAGAGACATGAATTGGGAATACAAGGGTGAGGGTTAGAGGTAGATGAACTCTTCCAGGAGCCACAAGCAAGCTTTGGTTGTGATATTTGACTTCAAGTATTTTCAGCAATTTTCAGAATGTGGGGTACTTGGTGCTTTGTTGTTTTTATCTTTGAGCCCTTCGATGCTGATTCTATAATCACAGAAAAATTCTCATTCTGTATTCCTTTGGCATCAAACAGGTTTTAGTTTCAGGTAGCAGAAACCACTCTATCTAGTTTTTGGGGAAAGTGATCAAATGCAGGAACTAATGCTTCACAAAATGCTGGGGTATTTCCTTTGCGTTTGGAAATAAGACAAAGATTCTCTATTTTACCATGACTGTTGTTTAACATAGGATTGGAAGTCCTGACCAATGCTATAAGATAAGAAAAAGAAATAGGCTGGGCACAGTGGCTGACACTTGTAATCCCAGCACTTTGGGAGGCTAAAGAGGGCAGATTGCTTAAGTCTAGGAGTTCCACACCAGTCTGGGCAACATGGCAAAATCCCATCTCTACTAAAAATACAAAAAATTAACCAGCATGGTGGCACATTCTTGTAGTCCCAGCTACTTGGGAGGCTGAGGTGTGAGGATCACTTGATCCCAGAAGGTCAAGGCTGCAGTGAGCTGTGATCACACCACTGCACTCCAGTCTGGGCAACAGAGAGAGACCCTCACTCAAAAAACAAAAGAAAAATAAATTAGAACTGTAAGAATTGTAAGGGTAGAAATAGAACTATTATTGTTTGTAGATTACATAATCATCTACTTGAAAATAAAACAATAGAACCAAGAGATATACCATTAGGATACTCAACAGTGTTGCCTGATACAAGCTAAATAATAACATTTAATAGCAATGACAATTATGAATTTGAATCATAGAGAAGATAGCACTCACAATAGCAAGAAAATCTATACAGCATCTAAGAAATAAATATGTTAACTGGCCGGGCACGGTGGCTCACGCCTGTAATCCCAACACTTTGGGAGGCCGAGGCGGGTGGATCACGAGGTCAGGAGATCGAGACCATCCTGGCTAACACGGTGAAACCCCGTCTCTACTAAATATACAAAAAATTAGCTGGGCGTAGTGGCAGGCGACTGTATTCCCAGCTACTCGGGAGGCTGAGGCAGGAGAATGGCGGGAACCCAGGGGGCAGAGCTTGCAGTGAGCCAAGATCGCGCCATTGCACTCCAGCCGGGGTGACAGAGCGAGACTCCGTCTCAAAAAAAAAAAAAAGTTAACCAAGAGTACACAAGACCTCTGTGGAGAAAATGTTCAAACTCTAATAAAAGGTCTAGAAAATATTTTGAATATGTAGATACATATTCTAGGCTCCTGGATAAGGTGAACTTATAAGGATATAAATTCTCTCCAAATTAATCAGTAAATTCAAAGTCTAGTAGAATTCTTTTAAATAAATGACATAAACTTATTTATATCTTAAAGGGACAACTTTGATTTCTAGCAATACAACAGGCTAAATAATTCAGAACAAAACAGCCTAATATAAACAACAAAAGATAATAGAGAAAATATTTTTGAAAGCATCAAATATCACACAAGATAATATAGAATCAGCAAATCATAATTTAAAGGAAAGCAGAAATCCAGAAAGGTAAGCAGGATTGAATTCGGTCTTGTCCTGAGGGCATCCTAACTGATTGATCTTGTGCTTTGGGTTTTAATGTCTCAGAGGGCAAGGGGAACAGAAGCCAAATCACAGTTCATCCTAAAATGAGGAGTCTAATAAGGGACCAACACCTATAAAACCAAAACCCTCTGACCCCAAAGGGCTAAATATTCCTCTAAGGTTGAAATAAATATAAATCTGTTCAATATTTCGACTCCCAGAAACCTAAAAAGAAAATTGTCTTGGGACTGAGAAAAGTAAAATAAATACATTTAATATTGCTGATTAATTTAATATTGATGAAATAAATTCAAGATTGTTGTTGATATCCATCTGCTTATCATCACTCAGATTTTGAGCCAAATTCCCACTGATTGAACGGAAAAAAAAAAAAAACTCAAGCTGTAAATTTAGTATAAAGTCATACCATATTTGTAGTATATTTACTCACCTGGCAGAAACAAACACATATCCTCTCTGGATTTTATCCTAGATCTTAAGAAACCTAACAAATAATTATCTAAGCAATGAGCAACAAATCATAGTAAATAAATAAATAAATAAATAACCAAAGAAACAGAGCAGGAGAAACAAAAGCCAGCAGAAACAAGTGATGGCAGAAACAGACTTGCAGAGACCCCAAATACAGAAATGATCAAATAGAGGCTCAATAACTATACTTACAGAGTTTAAAGAAATAAAAGACAATTTTAAACCCAGGGTACAGTAAATTGTATAAAAAAATTGCAACAGATTTGAAAAATATAAAATTGAACTTTCAGAAATGAAAATCTAGTAATAGAAATTTAAAACTTAATGAGTAGCCAGGAAACATTTTATTATTGAGGTATAGCAGCTTAAAAATTGTTCACATATACATTTATAAAGGGTCTCACAATCTGAGGGAAACATTTTCCACTTTTTAATTTCAAAGCACACAAAAAGTGTTACTCCATTGGAAAGGCTATGAGGATGACTTCTAATCTTCGGGACTCAAATGCCTCGGGATAGTCACTCAAAGCCTTTTTTTTTTTTTTTTTTTTTTTTTTTTTTTGAGACAGGATTTCTCTCTGTCACCCAGGCTGGAGTGCAATGGCATGATCATGGCTCACTGCAGCTTTGACCTCCTGGGCTTAAGCAATCCCCCTACCTGAGCAGCTGGGACTGCAGGCGTGCACCACCACACCCAGTTAATTTTTTTTTTTTAATAGATAGGGTTTCCCCACATTGCCCAGGCTAGTCTCAAACCCCTGGGTTCAAGCAATCTACTTGCCTCAGCCTCCCAAAGTGCTGGGATTACAGGCATCAGCCACTGCACCTGGCCCCACACAAAGCCTCTAAATACACCCTCTTAAGGTAGATGACTGGTGAGGTCATGTAGGTTGCAAATAAAGACAGGCCAAAACATGCTCAGGCTCAGATAAAGTTATGGGTTATGTGATACATGTGGCTAATTATTGGAAAGGGGGAAAGGGACCTGAATTCATTCTTAAGTTTTTGAGGTCAGTTTTTCGGAAACAGTGTGGGGTTGTGTCAAGGACATTAGGGAGCAAAAAAAAAAAAGAAAAGAAAATGAGAGACAGAAACAAAAACCTTTAATGGGTGAATTTAACAGGAAATGTAGCAGATCTGAAGAGATAATTAATGAAATGAAAAATAGTTCATGGGAGATTATATTCAGTATAACACGGAAAAACTGAGAGAGGAAACTCTAAAAAAGACATGGAGGCTAAAAGTGAGAAGATCTAGCATAGGACAAATTGGATCCCCAGAAGGAAAGGAAAAAAAGAAAAGAGTTGGGTAGAGAAAATATTTTAATCATGCTGAGACTTAGAAATTCATACCTAGCCATATCTTGGTGAAACTGCAGAGCATCAAACACAAAGACTTTAAAAGGAGCCAAGGGTGGGAAGAACTATATTGTTCAATCAAAATAGACTTTAAAAGTAAAAGTATTACCATGGATAGAAGGGACCACCCAGAAGATAGAGTGATTTTAAGTGTACATGTTCCTTCTAATACAACCTTAAAATATACACAGCAAAAATTTGCTGAACTACTACAAGAAAAATACAAACAGTCGTACTGTCATCATGATTGATTTTAACTTGGCATTCATTGTTTATTGGTAGAACTAGCAAAATTTTTTTAAAAAGATTAGTGAGAATAGAGAGTACCTAAAACACACAATTTGCAAACTTAACCTAATAGGATTATATAGAACCTTGTGCCAAGTAATTGCAGATACACATTATTTCAAGCTCACAAGGAGCATCTACAAAAATTGACTATATACCTGGCTGTCAAGCGAGTCTTGATAATAGTATATATTGTCTGACTACAATGCAATCAAGCTTAGACTCAATTTTTTAAAAACCTAGAAAATTTGCATGTTGAAAAATTATGTAACATTTCTAAATAATCTGCGAGTCAAAAAAGAAAAAGAAGTAAAATGGAAATAAGAAAGTGATTTTAATTGAATAATAAAAATTTTCCAACAGATAAAATCTTATAGGAAACAGCTAAAATTAAATTTAAGTAAAATTTATACTCTTAAATGAGTACAATAGAAAAGAGGAAAAACTGATATTAAAGAGGTAATATCATCCTTTTGTTGATAGAAGAAAACAGCAAAGTAAGACCAAAGAAAGTTCAAGAAGGGAAATAGTAAACATCAGAGCAAAAACTAACATAGTAGATAGCTCTAGGATTGTTAGCAGTGGTGGATCCATATGGGTCTGCAGCAACTTGATTCTTGCCTCCTCAAAGGAAATAATTTACCTAAGGGGTATAAGGTAGAGTGAGAGACCAAGGCAAGTTTTTGAACAGGAATGAGAGCAGGAGTGAAAGGAAAGAAAGTATACTTGGAAGAGGGCCAAGCGGGCAACTTAAGAGATCCAAGTGCCTCATCCAACCCTTCACTTGGGGTTTTTATACATTGGCCTGGTTCTGAGGTTTGCATCTCTCCTTCCTTGATTTTTCCTTAAGGTGGGATTTCCACATGTGCAGTGGCCTGCCAGCACTTGGGAGGGGCTGCATATGCAATGTGTTTATTGAAGTTTTGTGTGTGCTCACTTGAGGCATTTTTCCCTTACCAGTTGAGCATTCCTAGAGGAAGGTCATATACCAGTTAAACTCCACCATTTTGCCTCTTAGTATGCATGCTCGGGCCCACTCACCCAACTCCTGAGACCTTATCGGGAAGCTGCTGATCTTGTTTCAGGTGTTTTCTATCTGTTGGGAGCCTGCCTGTCCCTGGCATCAGCTGCAACCAATTACTATTTTAGTGAGACAGCTTAACAATCACCTGGCCATCACCTGATCATCTGATGGTTGCCTGAGATTCATGGAAGCAGCGGCGGGGTGGGTGCCTCTTTTGCCCTGTTCATGTCTGCCAAACTACCTACTCTAACATTCCCGACCCAATTCTTTGGGAAAATGGACAAAGGTCAGTCTTCTGTAACTGCTTCCTGCTGACAGAAGGACGGTGATGATTGTTCTGTGGGTCTTGGCGTCTTGCTGTCAGGGCAGGGTGGCTTTGTGGGTTGGTGAAAGTGGTATCCAGCAAGGTCCAAGGGAGACAGGGGCAGGATTTCGCTTCTTTCATGTCTCACTGATGGGCAGTCTAGTGGTCCTCTGTAGAAGTGTGACTCTTGAATATTGAGACGATGGTATCTCTCACTGAGGATCATCTGAAGCTTGATGGCCTGAAGGTGTGAGGAGACAAATCGGGTTGCTAGATTTAGAAGACATGGCCCAAAACGGAGCAAAAGTAGGAGACTAACAAGTGGGCCTAAAAGGGGAATAACTCAGGAGAAGCATTTTCAGCTTCCTTCCCAATCTAACCAACCCTGAGAGGCTTGTTCCAGTAAACTGGAGGCTCAATTTAGGAGTTGTCTGATATTGTACTTTTCCTGATTGATTGACCCATAAGCAAAATTTTTCACCTAAGGCTAAACAAGTTTCTCTCTGTGCTGCTGTTAACTTGTCTAACTCCTGATAATTTTGGAGGACTATAGCTGCCAAAGAGTCAATTTGTTCTTGCACAGTTGTTAAGGTTTTAGCCGTAGCATCAATGTTCTTGGCTATTTCCCTTGAGGGCTGGCTATGGGTCAAGGAGGCTTTTGTGATTCTAGCAATTCTGGTTCCCATACTGGCTATAATACCAAGTCCTGTGAGAAGGAGAATTAATTGGATAGCCCTCCTCATCCTGGAAAAGATGGAATGCCTGTAGATTGGTGCTGGAAGAGAGAGATTGCCAGGGACTATGAAGATGTCTAGGGATACATAGCCTATGGTACAAGTTCCAGTCCGGTTAGTGGGGAGGCACTGGTGAACTGGCTGGCCACAAATATAGAAGGCTCCTTGGGTTTTAAGATAAGTAGAGATGTAAAAATGAAACAAGGGGGTGAGGACAGCTCCAAGAAATGCCAAGGCTGCCAACACACCCAGGTAGCTGGTGGCTATAGTCATGCCTGCTAAGACTTATGTGCATGGGCTTTGGTTCTGTTTAGTTCCCTTGGTTTTATTTTCCTAAAAAAGAGAATTTTGAGTCTGGTCCAATAGAACCCATTCTTCTGTAGAAATGAGATTGGCAATTTGCAGGCATTGGTTGTATCAGCAGGCCGGAACCAGAAATTTTGAATACTGCAGGAGCTTGGGTGTCCCTGGCAAAACTGGGTGGATTTATCCAGCAAAGTTCCCAGAGGAAAGGTAATATTTGAAGGTTTGGGAAATCTTGTGTGATGGTAGAATTAGTTGTGGGTGTACGTTTGGCAAGTTCGTTGGTTAGGATCTACAGTGAGAGTAACATTGCTAACTGTACTGGAAAGAGCCCCAACATCCATTCCATTTTTCTTATTGGCCGTAATGCAAATAGGGGCTAGTCCCATTAAAGTGGTATTAGAAAAGATGGATCCAAAATTGGGAGGTTCTTTGCAGATATCAGGGAAATCTTGCTTTACTTTTGCAAGAAGGCTATTTGCAGGCCCAAACATCTCCCATTAGCCTCCCATTGATAGAAAATATGCAGTTCTGCCTTTATACTTGTCCAATCTCTTGGTGAGGCTGAATAAGCTCTCCCTGCCGTTTTAGCAGAAGAGCTGGTACATAACCAGCAATTGGTGGAGTAAGGGGATCCTGTGCTTTGGAGCAGTTACTGAGCTTTTTCCAATAATGGGAAATCAGGATGGTAGTGTCCTGCTAGTAAAGGGGTGAGATTGAGAACCAACTGGAGCAGGCCCATAGCAACCTAAGGTGACTGTGAAGAGAGAAACTGGTCACAAAGAAAGCTGCCACTGGAAGGCCTAGTGGTGTACAAGTTAGGGTTAAAATAGTGATAATAATCAGAGCAATTGCAAGTAAGATTTCTAATATTAAGATCATCTTACTCTGAAGAGAAAGGATGTTGAGGGGCATTACTTATCTTTTCACTTAAAGAGGAATCACAGATTTTCCAGTGCCTCTCAAGTGTGTTCTGGAGCTGAGGGCATTGCTTCCAGATCTGGTGTTTTGGAGCCTTTCCATGGCTTCACTCAGGTGTGATGTATCCAACTGACAATCTCTGATACTTTAATGGCTCTAAGGGTGAAGAGGCCCCTTCGGACTGGAGTTAGTTGGGAATTCAGAGTTCCATCTCTCCAAGCTTTAATAAGAACTAGTGAGCCTGGAGGATACAGAGGCTGGTATTTTTCCCCTTCTGATTTTGGCTTTCTTTGTAACCAAAATTCCTGGAGAGCCTGTTGGAAACCTGCTAAAGAAGAGACACAGTAGGTGATTTTGGCAGTTTTTTCATCTAGCATTAAGTCTGAATATAGGAATGGCTTACCATATAAGGCCTCAAAGGGGATTAATTGCAAGGGAGTCTGAGGGGCAATATGGATCCAAAGTGGGGCTAAGAGTAAGAGGTCCACCCATGGCTGTGCTGTTTTCTGACAGAGTTTATTGAGTATGTGTTCGAGGGTTTCTTTAGTTCTTTCCACTTTTCCTGAAGGTTGTGATCACCAGGCAAAGTGAAGGTACATTTATGCTTACTAACGGCCCTACTAACCTGTTGAGTTACTTAGGAAATAAAGGATGGACCATTGTCACTTTGCAATGACCTGGGTAGCTCAAACCAGGAAATGCATTCCTTTAGGAGGAATTTAGCTACCTCCTGTGCCTTCTCAGTCTTTGTGGAGCAGGCTTCTACCCATTTTGTGAAGGTATCTACACAGACCAAGAGGTACTTTTACCTGAAGCCTGCAGGGAGATGAGTGAAGTCCATTTGCCAGTCCTCCCCAGGGTATGTACTTCTCCTCTGGATTGGACTTATTAATGGAGGGGGCTTCCCTCTCTGGGAATTATTTATGGTACATAGGGTATAGGCTTGACAAACCTGTTGAATGGTTTTGTTTAGTCCCTTCCCACTGAACACTTATTTACAAATTTGTCCTAGACTGTCCTTTGCAAGGTGGAAGAAGTTGTAAAAACTCTTAATGACTTTCCATTGGGAGGTTCCATTTTTGGACCCATCTTTTCTAATATCACTTTAATGGGAATAGCCCCTATTTGCATTATGGCTGAGAAGAAAAATGGAATAGATATAGGGGCTCTTCCCAGTACGGTTTGCAGTGTGACTCTCACTGTAGACCCTAACCAACAAACTTACCAAACATACACCCACAACCAATTCTGCCATCAACCAAGATTCCCCACACTTTTCTCCATCTACCTGCCAATTTCTTCATCTCTCCTCCAATTTCTCCATCTACCTCCCAATGGAAAGCTTTTCCCTGGGAGGCTTTCCATTGGGAGGTAGATGGAAAAATTCTTCCAATCTGTACCATCCACTGGTTTCTTCTTTATACCCATGTTGGCTGGACCAATCTATTTCTTCCTTAGTGTATTGGAGAAAGGGCAGTTCACTGGGGAGAGAGAGGAACAAGTCTCCCATGAAGGTATCATTTGACATGGCTGCCTCTTCAGCATTTTTGTCAGCTAACCTGTTTCCCCATGTAGTTTAATAGAAGCCCCTGTGGTGTCCTTCACAATGCTCTACTGCCACTTCCTGGGGCAAATGAGCAGCCTCCAGTAGCTCTAAGACTTGAGACCCATACTTAATAGGAGCATCCTGAGCTGTTAGGTACCTTCTTTCCTTCCAGATAGCCATGTGGGCATGAAGCACCAAGAAGGCATATTTGGAATCTGTATAGATGGTTATTCTTTTTCTTTCCCCTAGTTTTAGGGCTCTGGTTAGTGTGATGAATTCGGCTAGTTGCACTGAGGTCCCTGGGGACAGAGCTTTAGTCTCTACAACTTGGTGATGGGACTCTGTAGCATACCCTGCATATCTAGTTCCATCCCTGACGAAGCTACTGCCATCTGAAAACCATATTTTGTCTGGATTATCTATGGGCTGATCCTTTAAGTCTTCCCAGCTGGCATAAATTTTGTTAAGAATCTCACAGCATGAATATGTTGAGTTATCATCTCCTGGTAGTGGCAGTAAGAGGGCTGGGTTAATGGTGGAACACTGCTCAACTGTTACCTGTGGGTTTTCCAACAACAAGACTTGGTACTTTATCAATGTGTTGTCAGTGAGCCATTATGGTCCTTTTAAATTCAATAAAGGGTCTATTTGGTGGGACATTAGGAGCCAGATTGATTGTCCCATTGTGATATTGAAGTCCTCCTCGAGAATAAGGGCTGCTGTACCCACTACCTTGAGGCAATGTGGCCACCATTGTGCTGCTGGGTCTAGGTTCTTTGAAAAATAACCTACAGCATGTTTGACTGGCCCAAAGGTTTCAGTTAGAACTCCTAGTGCTATACCTTGCCTTTTCAGTGATGAAAAACTGAAATGGTTTGGTTAGTATGGGTAGCTCAAGGGCTGGGGCTTGTGAGAGGGCAGTTTTTAACTACCTAAAGGCTTGCTCCTGATTCTTTTCCCAGAGATTGTGTCCCTATTAGTCCCTTCTTTTAAAGCCTGATATAAGGATTTAATAATTCCACCACATTCCAGTATCCAAAGTCTGCAGTATCTTGTGATCCCCAGAAAAGCTCAAAATTGCTTTTGGGTGGTTGGTGTAGTATTCTAAGGATTGCCTGTATCTATTCTGCAGAAAGCTTGTGTTCTTTGAGGCTCATGATTATCCCCAGGTATTGGATTGCTTGTCTTAGTAGCTGTGTCTTGGCCTTGGACACTTTGTACCTTCTGTCTGCAAGGAAATTTAGATGTTGGATTCCTAACTCTCTTGTTGGGGAGCAGATTAACAGGTCATCCATGTACTGTAGGAGATGCCCTCCCATATAAAGACTTAGGTCCTGCAAATATCTAGCCAAGGCTTGCCCAAACAAATGGGGACTATCTCTGAAACCTTGTGGAAGCACTGTCCAGGTGAGCTGTTAACTTCTTCCTTTTTCATTCTCCAACTCCAATACAAATATAAATTGGGAGGATGGGTCTAGGGGGATACAGAAGAAATTTTTGAAGTCTAAGACCGAAAACCACTGAGCATCTGGAAATCTTCTAGAATTACATAAAGGTTGGGGACCATTGGGTGTATTCGGACTACTGCCTCATTTATGACTCACAGATTCTGGACTAACCTGTATTCTCCGTTAGTCTTTTTAACAGTTAAGATAGGGGTGTTATAGGGTGAGTTACAGGATATTAATCCATGTGTTAGAAATTTTTAAATCAGGGGCTGAAGTCCCTCTTTGGCCTCCAACTGAAGAGGAAACTGCCCTCTGCAAGGATAACTAGAAGGATCCTTGAGCTGAATTGCTATAGGCATGGCCATTACAGCCTTTCCTGGTATTCCTGGGGCCCAGACCTCTGGATTAATTGGAAGGTCTGTGGGCAGTTCATCCTTGTGTGTGGTTTCCTTGAGGAATAAGATTGCATTTGGAAAAGGGGGTGTTGGCCCTGGAGGAAAGGTTAACTGAACTCCTAGTCTAAACAAAATGTCTCTACCCAAAAGAGGCATAGGACATTCTGGCATCACTAAAAATGAATGAGAAAATACCATTTATCCCCACAGGCAGCACCAAGAAGGAGCAAACCTCTATATTATGGGCACCCCATTTACCCCCATTGCCTGGCAGGATTTGAGGATAATTGCCCAGAAAAAGAGGTAAGCACTGAGCAGGCAGCTCCTTTGTCCAAAAGAAACCTTACAGTCATACCTGCCGTGTCCAAAGCAGCCCTTAGCTTCATCCCCTCAATAGTGATGTTCAATCCAGGAGCTGGCCAGACCATAGGGCCCCTTCAGCTCAAGGTCATCAGGGGTTGGGATTCTGTCCCAGGGGCCCTTTGGCCCTCAGAGAAGTCTCAGATCCAGTGGCTGAGCTTGTGGCAGAGGGGCAAGCCATGCGGGGCTTTTTCCCATCTGCTCCACTGGGGCTGTTTGCCTTCCAGTGGCCTGACTTCTCACACCAATGTCAGTTATCTGGGAGGGTTGTCTGAGGGCAACCTGGAGGGGGCTAATGGACCCGTAGAGCAGCCAATAGTTGGAGCTCCCTCTTTTCCTTTCACTTCTCCTTTTCCTGAACACTTTCCTCTTCCTCCTGGTCCTGGTTGTAAAAGACTGAGGAAGCTATTTTGAGGGTGTCAGGCATAGGGGTGTTGGGACCCAGTGCTAGTTTCTGGAGTTTCTTCCAAATCATCTGGGGCTGCCTGAGTTAGGAAATGGTCCTTTAGGACCAGTTGCCCTTCTGGTGTCTCTGGGTCTAGGTTAGTATATCTCATTAGGGCCTCTTGTAGCCTCCCTAGGAAAGCAGAGGAGGTTTCAAGAAGGCCTTGATCTATTAAGGCCAATTTATTGTAGTTCACAGGCTTTGTTCTGCTAGCTTTCATTCCTTCTACCAGATAGAGGAATATGTGGTTCCTTGTCCACATGCCCCACTAGGTATTGTAATCCCAAAAGAGGTCCACCTGAGAAACTGTTGTGCCCCCTACCCGCCCCCACCCCCAGAGTAGGCACCAGGGTCAGTCATATGCATTGCATTTGCAAATTATTGGGCCACTTCCTTAATGGAGTCACGTTCTCCCTTAGACAGAGTTTGCCCTAGTATGACTGAGAGGTCCCTCCAGGTGAGTTTAAATGTTAAGCCTACCTTGTGGAACCCTTTCATGTATTTGTCAGGGTCTTCCATAAACTTACCTAGTTCCATTTTAATTTGGCTCAGGTATTGCATAGTGAATGGAGTTTGGACCCTAGTGGCTCTACTGGGGCTGCTAACCTCTTGAAGCGGCATAACTTAAGGGGGTGGTGTCCAGAGGATGGCCCTGGTTAGGGAAGGAAATGAGCCAGGGCTGGGAGACTTGGATATAATAGGGTAGAAGGGGAGTTTGAGCTAAGCTCTGCCCTTGGTTTCTCTGGGGCTTGAGCCCTGGATAAACACAATAATGGTCTCCCAAACCAACCAGAGGGGGCTGCCTGACTGTGGCTGCTATCATTGCTGGATCCATTTTACAAGCCTGACAAAGGTCAGGGTTGTTTCTTAGGACTATGAAGGCCTGTACATAGGAGATTTTTGCCCAATTTCCCTGCTGCCAGCAAAACAAATCCAGTCAATAGATCATATTAAAATTTATGATCTCATTTTCTGGCCAAGATTCCTGGTCCCTGAGCTTGGATTCAACCCAGGCTATATTACAGAAAAATGTTAGCCTTTTCTTTTTTAGAGTTTGGGGGTCAAACTTTTCCCAGTTCTTGAGGATGCATCTAGGGGTGTGTCCTGTCATATGGAGAGGCAATTACCCATCTGTGAAGAGAGAACAGAGGAGAAAAAAAGAAAAAAAGAATGCATTCCCTCTTATTCCCCTATCATCCTTTCCTAAACATTGCATCCCCCAATTCGTCCTTACAGTTCCAAAATAAACCAGTCTCACCAAGTACCCCTAACCTTGGTCCCATCTCATCATGATTACCCACTTGAGAACAAAGGAGATACTGGAGTAAACAGGGGGCCCCTTCTTCATCCTTGGGGTCCAGAATGAACTGGTCTTATTGGGAACCCCTAACCTTGCTTTCCTTCATCCCTATTCTAATGGTAATCTGTGCCTATAGCTTGGGACCAGCCTTCATCTCTGTCCTATGAGTACTTTTGTCTGTTGTGCCTGAAGCCTTGGGCTGGCTCATATCTGTCTCTATGACCTTATGGTGACCTCACTTGGAGCATTCTAGCAACAAAATGATTATTTCTTTTCTGATATTCCTATTTTGGGGGGCATAAAATTTGAATAAACTTTAATGAAAAAGGCAAATTAAATGTAAAAACATTGAAATTATTCTTCAGGCTTTCAAAGAAGTTGTTGGGTTTTTTAAAATTATACTTTAAGTTCTGGGGTACATGTACAGAATGTTCAGGTTTGTTACATAGGTATACATGTGCCATGGTGGTTTGGTGCACCCATCAACCCATCATCTACATTAGGTATTTCTCCTAATGCTATCCCTCCCCTAGTCTCCACCCCCTGACAGGCCCCGGTGTGTGATGTTCCCCGCCCTGTGTCCATGTGTTCTCATTGTTCAGCTCCCACTTATGAGTGAGAATATGCAGTGTTTGATTTTCTGTTCCTGTGTTAGTTTGCTGAGAATGATGTGCTTTAAGTAGACGGGAAGACTGGTTCTCAGCCAACGGCTGCAAGGGGTTGGACTTTCCTCCCTTCAAATATGGCCTTGAAGGTCCTTATACCTATTGAGAAGAATCTGGAAGTGATCAGAAGAATGGGGAAAATTTTGTATTTGGGGTTCCTTATCCTCCCGGGGTAACATGGAGAACAAATGCTTCAACAGGCAAGATAATCCCTCTGCTACAGGAGGAAATGGGAAGAAGCAAGAAGAATTCCCACGGAAAGCCTTCATGTGCTTGCAAAACCAGCAGCCCTTGGATTCAAAAGGGCAGCATTTTTTGCCTTCTTAACATAAAGGAGGAATCTCCAGAGGACTTGGGGCTTGGAAGAATAAGGGTTTGCAAATGGCAAAGGAAGAATTTTCCTTCCTCCCTAAGGATTGCTTACTCAAAAAAAAAAAAAAAAAAAGGTGGGGGGGCAGTGGTAGTAGGTGGGGTCCTTAAAAAGCCACAGAGTGAGATCCTATGCAGTGGATAAACAGCATCAAAAGACACCAAAAAACTTGGCCCTGGAGCATAGCATAAACGAAATGCATATGGTAAGTCATAAGGAGCTGGCAGAGTCAGGGTTCTGGTAAGTGTCTGTCCTAGAAATGAGCCAACAGACATCCACAAGGAAGCCCATTTCTTTGCTGCTATGCAAACAGCAAGAGCTTCAGGCATATAAATAACAAACTGGGAGTGTGTGTTTAAGGCAGAGTAGGAAGTCGTGTGGCATGCAAAGTGAAAGCGGGGAAAAGGCAGACTTGCCCCCTGGTGGGTACGCAAGACCATTTCAGAATTCACAGAGAGAAAACAGAATAGGTGGTGTTGGTTTTAGGAAAAAAGCCAATTTTAGTAGGAAAAAGAGAGGAAACCCCAGACATTGCACAGTCTTAGGCTTTAGCCCTACCCCTCTCATGAGCCTCCTATCCAGGAGAGCTGTTATTGTCTCAGGTCTACTTGGTGCAGTCTCCAAGGTTTTATTCACCCCTGTGAGCCACCATCAGGGCCAGCTGAGAGATCAGCTATGGGGACCAGAGCTACTGTGACTGAGAGGAACCATTTTGGGGGTTAGTTAATAAGCAGGAGAATGAAAGGGGAGAAGGAAACCATGTATGGGTATGGGGGTTGGATGCCTCCAGCCTAAGAAGGCAAGGCATAGAGATGTCTTACCAGTAGAGAATATATCCAAGTCATGGTAGCAAAGTATTTTTGCACTGGCAAATCTGTACAGCTCTACAACAGCTCAATTCTTGCCTCCTCAAAGGAAAGAATTCATCTTACTTGTATAAGGCAGAGTGAGAGACTGAGGCAAGTTTTTTAGCAGGAGTGAGAGTTTATTTAAGTTTTAGAGCAGGAATGAAAGGAAGTAAAGTACACTTGGAAGAGGGTCAAGTGGGTGACTTAAGAGATCCAAATGCCTCATGTGACCTTTGACTTGGGGTTTTAATACATTGGTATGATTCTGGGGTTTGCATTTCTTCTCCCCTGATTCTTCCCTTGGGGTAGGCTGTCCACATGCACAGTGGCCTGCCAGCACTTGGGAGGGGCCGCATGTGCAGTGTGTTTACTGAAGTTGTTCACATGCTCACTTGAGGTGTTTTTCCCTTACCAATCGAGTGGCAGGTTATATACCAGTTAAACTCTGCCATTTTACCTCTTAGTGCGCATGCTTGGACCCACTCACCCAAGCCAAGATCCTGAGATCTTATCAGGAAGCTGCTGATCACCAGCTTCAGGTAGTTTCTATCTATTGGGAGACTGGCTTTCTCTGGTGCCAGCTGCATCCAATTATTATTTTAGTGAGACAGTTTAATAACCACCTGACCATCACCTCATGGTCACCTGACATTCCTGGTGGTGGGCAGTGGGAGGGGGAGGCTCTCCTTCCCTGCACATGTCTGCCTAACTACCTACTCTAACCCCAATACCGGAATCCCAACATGAACCCCAACATCCTCACTTCCTGGTATTCATGCCCTTGCATATCCCCCTACAACATCAAATAGGGCTGACCTGTTTAACCAATAGGATACTCTAGAAATGATGATGTGTGATTGTCAAGGTCAGATCATACAATAACGCTACCATTTCCACCTTGCTCCCAGAAAGAATGTGTTATGATAAACATTTCTGATTATTTTTAGCTGCTAAGTTCCAAAGTAATTTGCTACGATAACCAGTACAATTAATGAAATAGAAAATGAACATATAATGGAGTGATTCAACAAACCTTAAAAGTTCATTCTTTAAAAAGATTGATAAAAACTAATACCCCTGTGATGAGACAATGAAGAAAAATAATGGCTCAAATATCCAATTTTAGAAATGAAAACTAAAACATGTAGATGCTATAGACAGAGAGGGAAAGAGGAGTCAATGAATCATTTTATGCCAACAAATTTGAAAATTTAATGAAATGGACAAACTTCTAGAAAAAATATATCATACTCTATTAATTAGGGTAAGACGAAATTACTATAACACATAGAACAGAAATATAGTAGCTTAAAAATCATGGATGTTTATTTCTCTCTCATCTAACAGTTCTTGTGAGAGTTATTAGTAGGGGAGTTTCTCTTGAGGGGGTCATTCAG
The DNA here is from genome assembly GCF_000001405.40 of Homo sapiens. NCBI lineage: Eukaryota > Metazoa > Chordata > Mammalia > Primates > Hominidae > Homo > Homo sapiens. Next base: position 95,341,210 of record NC_000007.14, on the reverse strand, counting down.
AGACCCCACTCATCAAATCCTTCAGGAAAGAGAAGGCACACTCAGAACGGCTATTGAGGGAAGTTCTTTAAGGGGACTATTGATGTAAGGATGGGAAAACTAAGGGAAATTAACAAGACACAATACAATACTCCAGTGCTAGCAATGGGATAGAAGAGGTGGGGTGAGGGGAAGGCCAGGAGCTCTTACCATCTCTAGGTTTGAAGGAATAAGGAGTGGAAGCAGATACTGGCACAAGAAGAGGGTAGACAAAGTGGAGACTCTCCCAGTAGATGCTGTGGCCATTGGTAGAAGGATGAAGCCAACCTGTGACAGCTCAGCACAGAGGGCATGGAGGGAATAGATATCCTGACTTAACTTATTCCACCCTTTGAACTAGAAGCCAGAAGGCAAGGGAGCTATTGGTGGAGTTCATAATGCCTCCAGGGACGGAGCATTGAGGGGGCTGCATAGAGAGTGAATCTTGAGCAGTGAGTGGCTCTTTCATATTGCTAACCATTCCTAGGTGACTGCGGTTATCTGCATGGTTGAATCTAGGTCACTACTGTGTCTGTGTTCTGTCAAAGTGGAAGAAGAAAGACTAGAGGGAATGTAAAGAAGTACCCAATGTCTTAAGGCCCAGGACCAGCAATGGTACTCAGCACTTCAAATTCCCTTCTAATGGTAAAATCTAGCCACCTGGCCATACCCAACTAATTGCAAAAAAGAAATGGGTAATGTCAAATGACTGGAGAGACATGTTCAAGGAAAAAGAAAATAAATTTTAGTGAGCAATTAGCAATCTGTGCCTGCCATTTGGCCACCAAATAGCCATCTGCACCCTTCTCTCACACATTGACTCCCTCATCCCTCACCAAGGGATAAAACCCCAACCCCCATCCAATTTCTGCACCCACTTCAAAGTACAGTATCTCCAGGTGATGTTCTGACCTCCACGTTAGGTCCACTAGGGCTGCATGAGGAAGGCTAGAAAACAAAATTATTATCCACCAACACATCTAGATTACAATCTAGAGTGTGATCAGAGTAACTATAATAAGCAGTCTTAGGAAAAGAAAGGAAGAAGGGAATACACTTAATAGTCACTGAAAAGTTGTTTCTTTTCTTTTCACATTGCATAGCAATGAGATTATTATTCCACCAGAGAGGAAGTGAGATGGTCCCCTGTCCTGACCATGGTGTACTTCCCCATGTTCTTTATGATTTCAAATTTTGCCCTTTGGAAATTCTTCCTAGTCTGTTATGCTTTAAGGCCACCTCTGAAGTGGGTCTTGAAAAGACCATGTAATTTTAGTATCCATTTCCTACAGGTATAGGTCTGAGAGTCTGAGGACATTTTCAGGCCATGCTTCTGGTTGCTTTTGAAATATCAATACCTTAGAAACTTGATAGGCTTCTGGGTCTGTTTGGTTCCATGTGCCAGCAATGTCACCCAGATTTCATTTCAGAGCATGGTGTTAAAGCCAACTTTACTTCCTGGTTACCATGACCCATTTCCCTCTCTCATTTAAATGCTGTCTCTTTTGAGGCCATCAGAATATATGGGCAAGAAGAAGCAACACCTTTAATATAATCTCCCATGACTAGTTTTCCTAATTTGGAGGCATTGGGAAGGGCTGTGAGCCATAACAATCTTACCTCCTGGTGTTAAGGACATAGCACCATATTTCTAGACATTCTCTGTAGCTTTTTCCTTTATACCTGCTAGTTCTCTCTCTCTCTCTCTCTCTCTCTCTCTCTCTCTCTCTCTCTCTCTCTCTCTTTTTTTTTTTTGAGACAGAGTCTCACTCTGTCACCCTAGGTGGAGTGCAGTGGCGTGATCTCAGCTCACTGCAGCCTCCGCCTCTTGGGTTCAAGCAATTCTTCTGCCTCAGCCTCCTGAGTAGCTGGGATTACAAGCACACACCATCACACCTGGATAATTTTTGTATTTTTAGTAGAGACAAGGTTTCACCATGTTGGCCAGGCTGGTCTCAAACTCCTGGCATCAGATGACCAGCCCACATTGGCCTCCCAAAGTACTGGGATTACAGGCATGAGCCACCATGCCTATTCTACTAGTTCTCATTTGAAAACACAATTTTTCTTTTACTGACCTCTGCTAAAAGCATCAAGGAATGGCCAACACACATCAACATTCTGGTTGCTCTCTGGGTAAATGATCAATCTTTCAAGTTACTGCCAGAGAGAGTTTTACAAAATATTTTGTGATGACAGTACAAGAGTCCCCATTTTTGCAGCCTGTGTGTGAAATCTGTTTCCTCAGTTCTGCTCTAACGACGTATTTATCTAGGTTCAAGTTTCTATATTTTTAAGGTCATGCTAAGCTGTTGTAATGAAGACTCCAAATATAGTGGCTTACAGGACGTAGACATTGCTGGAAGGTAGTGCATCACAGTGGGTAAAAGCACAGATTTGGGAGTCCAATTTTCTGGATTTGAATCCCAGTTCAGTCACTTACTAACTGTGCAAATCTGGCCTTCTCTGAGCCTCAGTTTAAAAAAAAAATTAGGTAATAATAGTTACTACTACCTTCAGCTGGTAATAAATCTTTAAAATTGAGGTAATAATATTACCTAGCATTGGTAAGAATATTAAAAGAGTTAATACATATAACATTTAGAGTTAATGTATGTTATATGACAATGCCATAGAAGTATCTGCTAATTTTTTTAGAACATTTATATTCTCTTTCACATAAGAGATCTCAGATAATTATTCCAAATCAGTGTGAAAATTCTGATACTTCAGGGGACTAAGAGCTTTCCATTGAGTTGCTTACACTCTATGGGGCATTGTCATTAGCTTCCTGATCAAAATTCGCTCACCTTCACATCAGATTCCAGCCATGGAAAGAAGAAAGAGAGGATGAGAAAACACGTCAAATATCTTTGGGCCCAATTTGGAAATGGCACAAACTACCTCCACTGACATTCTATTGATAAGAGAATAGTTATACAATTATAGCTAATTGGAAGGAAGCTGGAAAATTTAGTTTAGCTGGTGGTATGGTTTAGCTGTGTCCCCACCCAAATCTCATCTTGAATTGTAATCCCTATAATTCCCAAGTGTCAAGGAAAGGATCAGTGGGAGGTGATTGGCTCATGGGGGCAGGTTCCCCCATGCTGTTCTTGTGATAGTGTGTGAGTTCTCATGAGATCTTATGGTTTTATAAGGCAGTTTTCCCTGCTCTTGTTCACACTCTCTCCTGCTGCCTTGTGAAGAAGGTGCCTGCTTCCCCCTCTGCCATAATTGTAAGTTTCCTGAGGCTTCCCCAGCCATGCAGAACTGTGAGTCAATTAAACCTCTTCCCTTTATAAATTACCCAGTCTTGGGTCTTTCTTTCTTTTCTTTCTTTTCTTTCTTTTCTTTCCTTTCTTTCCCTTCTTTCCTTTCTTTCGCTTTCTTTTCCTTCCTTCCTTCCTTTCATTCATTCATTCATTCATTCATTTTGAGACAGAGACAGAGTCTCACTCTGTCCCCCAGACTAGAGTGCACTGGTGTGATCTCAGCTCACTGCAACCTCCGCCTCCCGGGTTCAAGCAATTCTCCTGCCTCAGCCTCCCGAGTAGCTGGGATTACAGGCGCACACCACCACACTGGGCTAATTTTTGTATATTTAGTAGAGACAGGGTTTTACCACTTTTGGCCAGGCTAGTCTTGAACTCCTGACTTCAGATGATCCACCCACCTTGGCTTCCCAAAGTGTTGGGATTACAAACGTAAGCCACGGCACCCAGCCTCAGGTATGTCTTTATAGCAGTGTGAGAATGGACTAATACAGCTGGGTAGCCTCTTGCCAAGAACGGAAGGATTTTGGTAGGCAGTTAGTACATTCTACTACAGTTCCTTAAACTGACTCGAAAAGAGCTTGGAATGTATTATAATTCTATAATGATTGAGGAAATTAAGTTAGTGAATTAGTATAAAATATCTTTATATTAAAAGAAACTAAAAAGTCAAAACAATGAAAGGTCTATAAACATTGAAATGGATAAATAAATTATAGTAGATTCATACAATGAAATATGGACAGCAATTTATCCCACAACTAGAGATACATGCTAACAACATGTATGCATTTTACAAATAATGTTGAGCTAAAGAAAACAAAAGCAATTCATGTAGTATGATTTTGTTGTGGGGGAATTCCAAAATAAAAATCAAACAATGTTGTTTGAAGATGCATACCTAGGAGGTTAAACTAGAGAGAACAGAAAGGTGATGATTATCATAAGAGTTAGGACATTTGTTGCTTCAGGGAAAGCTGTCAAGGGAAGGTACAGGGGAGGCTTCTGGGTTGTTAGTAATATTATATTTTAACCTGGATGGTGATTTACATTGGTGTTTGTTTTATAACTGTCCTATAGAAGGATATATGTATTTTATACACTCTCAGGTATATATGATGTATGTCACAATTTTCTAATGGATATGAGAGAGCAAAGTCAGCTTCAAAAAATAAAGGGCAAGGGTAGGCCTAATAATAAATTAGTTTAGTATTTGTGCAAGAAAAAACAAATAGACCAATTGAACAGAAGAGAGATCTCAGAAAACAACATATTTATGTATGCAGAATTAATATAAGATAAAGTTAGCAGCACCAGTCAATAGGGAAAGGATGTTTTGTTTAGGAGATGGCATTGGGAGAATGGTCTCACTCTAAGGAAACAAAACTATATCTTATCCAACATCTCTAGATAACTACCTAAGAAAGGTGGACTCTGGATGGGTTAAAGATCTTAAGGTGAAGGATAACTCTTAGTTAATAGAAGGCAATAAAGGAGAGTATCTTTATGACCTAAAGGTAGGGAAGAACTTCTGAAACAAAATTTAAAAAGCATTAACCCTAAGACTAAAAAACCTGATTGAATTTGAATCATCAAAATTAAGGATTTCCACTCCTTGAAAAACACCATGGCAAAGATAAACTGACAAGGTATTAGTAAGTAGACTATATTAGGAACTCTTAAAAATAACGAAGTGGGGATAATAACCCCAAGGAATAACAGACAAATGGTGTGAAGAAGCAATTTACAGAAGAGGGGGAAAAATGACACACATGAAAGATGCTCAGAATCCTAGTAATCAGAGACGTGCCAATTGAAGCAGCACTTTTAAATTACTTTATACCTATTAGACTAGCAAAGAATTAAAAGGCTTGATATTGCCAAGTGTTGATGAGGAGGCGGGGATGTAGGGGACCTTATGCATCATTGGTGGCAGAGTAGATAGTTGTACCCGTGACAGTTAAGATCCAGAGCTCAAGGAACCACAAGAACTGTAGGCTCCAGAGCCACTCCTGCAGCCACAGGCCTCCCTGCAAAACAGATGCTTGCAATATTGCCTCTTTCCTCAGTTATTTCTAAATTTAATTTTGCTCAAGTCCTGGCTAACTTAGATACAAAATTACATCCTATACTCTGGCTTCAAGGCAGTTGAAGGAATATAGCCTTTAGTTTCTATCTCTGCAGGGCAGGTATGCACACTAGAAGAGTGAGGTCCAACCCCCCAGTTGGGGTTCAGGAACTGGTATTTTATAAAAACTCCATACATTATTCTAATGTATGAGCCGATATTTAACAACACTTCACCAAAAGGATGCTGGAAAAGAGCTTGAAGGTCCTGATTTAGTGTCCTCACTACACATCACAGAAGTAAGACCTAGGTGCACACTAAGTATTATTGATGTGTTCATGTTTCATTGTCACAATACAGCAGAAATTTGTCTACAGCAAGAAAACAAATCATTTACTTTTTGCCAAAGTTCATTTTTATTGTGCAATGAGATTTTCTAGAAGAGTGATTCACTAGAAATGTAAATGACCATATTAGCACAGCCAAGGGCAAGTCATCCAACTGAGGGAAACCAAGAGGAATGTTCTTAAGCAGAAGCAGAGAATGTAATGAAAATTTTTAACATATTCAGTTTCATATTCTGTCTAACAGATGTATCAGAAAAAGCTCAGTCCTTTAGGGATGACTTTGGGAAATGGTGAATGAATAGGTATCACATACTTGTGTTCATCAAGCTCCAGGCTTTGCATACCAGAGGAGTTCTGTGGTTTCTGACAGCTAACTGGTGAATCACATAAACCATAGAATGTAATTGATTCTATCAAGAAGTAAAATCAAATGAAGTATAGATGGAGCATTCTGTGGACTGCTATCAATTTTCTCTAAAGAAAAAAAGAATTGGCTTCTGCCATGAATCTGAAGATTGTCTGTGGGTAAAATGCAAATGGAAAGTAAATTGTTCATGAATGAATTCTAGAAAAGCCCACTGGTATTCATAGAGAGAGAAAGTAAATATCTATATAGAAATTTTGGGAATAATAAAGTCAGATGTGCCCTACTATTAATAGGTTTAAACATTTTGATCATTTCCCTATCTTTATCTTGCTTTACTCACTACTTTCCAGGACTTTTCCTACCAGGCACTGTCAATAAATCATGTGCTTCTGAATTCCTCTGTCTCCCATTCTAGGGAACCAGACAGACATCAAATATGTATCTAAGTTGCCCAAGACAGGAGCCAGATACTCACTTTATCAGCCTTTGTGGTACACTGGACAACTGTTTTCCATATATTCCATTTCTCTTCTTGCTGTGCCACTCTTAGTGGGCTGAGTATACATCTCTGTGTTATTAAACTCAGGAATGGCCATGTGACTTAGTTTGGCCAATGAAATACTGGTAGAAGTAACACAGATCACTTTCAGATAGAAATTTTAAGAGCCACTGTAGTTCACTGTGTCTCTTTTCTCTTTGCCCCCAGACTGGTAATGTTGTAGATATAGCTTGCTCTGCCAGACTGGACCCTGGATTAGTGATAATCAGAAGCAGAGCCAGAGCTAACTTGCAATGGACAAGTAGCATGAGCAATAAATGTTAAACATAAACAGTAAACCATTGCTGTTACCAGCCTCTGTTGCAGCATGCTGCAGTAGTTCATTCTTTTTCATTTGCTGTGTGTGGTATTTCATTGTATGAATATTTCACAATTTATCCATTCCACTATTGATAGACACTTATATTTATCCAAGTTTTTGTACATTATGAATAAACTGCAATGAATTTTCTTGTAAAATGTATTTTAATGCATGTATGTAAACATTTCTTTTGACTATATAGAATTGGAATTACTGATTAATAAATCACATATATGTGCAGCTTTTGCAAGTACTGTCAAGCAGTTTTCCAAAGTGGTTGTAGCAGCATACTCCTTCACGAATAATGTTGGAGAGTTCTAGTTGCTTCATTTCTTTGCCAGCACTTAATAATATTAGTTTTCCTTCTTTAACTTTTAACTATTTGGATTGTTATGTAAGAATATCTCATTGTGGTTTTATTTGCATTTCTTAGATAACTAATGGAGTTGAACACTTTGTCTTATGGTTGTTGGCCAGTTGGAATCCTTGTTTGTGCAGTGAATATTTAACATTTTGTTCATTTAAGAAATTAGGTTGACATTATTTTTCTTATTGATTTGTAGGTATGAATCCTTTGTGCATACATGTATTGAAAATATATTCTATTTTTTAGAGTCTTTTTCTTAATCACTTCTGTTGATGAACAGAAAGTCTGCAATTTTAATGAAATCTAACATCAATATTTTTGTTTATGAATGTTGCTTTGAATATCCTCTTTTAAAAATCTTTATGTACCCCAAAATTATGAAATATGCTTCCTTGTGATCTTATAAAATATTTATAGTTATTTTTCACATTTAGATTTTTCATCCACCCAGAATATACTTTTGGTTGTCCTGTGAGTAGGAATCAAGATTCATTTTGGCCATATGTATATCCAATATATACAGCATCATTTTATTGAAAAGAAAATCTTTTCCCCACTCATTGCAGTGGCACTTTATCATAAATAAGGTAACCATTTATGTGTTGGTCTACATCTGGACCTTTTTTTTTTTTTTTTTGAGATGGAGTTTCACTCTTGTTGCACAGGCTGGAGTGCAGTGGCACGATCTCGGCTCAGTGCAACCTCTGCCTTCTGGTTTCAGGCGATTCTCTGGCCTCAGCCTCCTGAGTAGCTGAGATTACAGGCGCCCACCACCACGCCCAGCTAATTTTTGTATTTTTAGTAGAGATGGGGTTTCACCATGTTGGCCAGGCTGGTCTCTAACTCCTGACCTCGTGATCCACCCGCCTTAGCTTCCCAAAGTGCTGGGATTACAGGCGTAAGCCACCGCGCCTGGCCTATATCTGGACTTTTTGTTCTGTTCCGTTGGATTATTTGTCAGTCATTCAACAAAATCACAGCGTTTTAATTATAATAGATTTATAATAAACCTTGATTTTTGGTATTAAAATCCCCCAAATTTGTTCTTCCTCAAAATTTTTTATGGATATTCTTAACTCTTCGTATTTTCACTTAAATTTAGAGTCAGATTGCCAATTTGTACAAAACCTTTCTAGGATTTGTGTTGGAATTTTATTGAGCTCCTTATAGATCAATGCGGGGAGAATGTACATCATTAAATTGCCACCTTTCCAAGATCTGAAGTTGGTATATGTGTCTCTTTAAATGTTTAGTTTCTGTTAGTGAAGTTGTAGATTTTCGTGTAGAGATTTTGAACATCTTCTGTTACATCCTAAGAGTTTAGCAGTTCTGATGCTCTTGTAGATAGTATCTTCTTAAAATTTCATTTTCTAATTGTTTGTTACTACACAAGAACAAATGATTCTGTATACTGACTCTATAGCTAGCTACCTTAGTAAATTTATGTTTTTATTTTAAAGTTTATCTGTAGAGTCTTTCGTATCATCTACATACCAAGCACATTGTCTGTAAATAATGAGTGTTCTAGATCTTCTTTTCCAGCCTTGACATCTCCTCTTTCTTTTTCTTACCTTTAGTTTAATATTGGGCATAAGGGATAATCACAAATGTCTTTGTTCCTTTCTCAATCACCAGGGAAAGCTTTCAAATTCTCATCGAGTGTGAAAATTGCTGTAACTTTTTCTCTTTGGCAAAATATTCTTCACCTGATTAAGAAATTTGCATTCTCTTTCTAGTTTACTAAAAATGTTTTTAATTGTAAATGAGTGTTGGATTTTTAAAATACTTTTTCTGCATCTATTGAGATCATCATTTTTCCCCTTTATTCTGTTAATTATATGTTGATTTAAAACTTCAAGCCAAACTCCCATATGGTGTATAAACCTTACTTGATTATGATATTATTATGTTTTTATAATTGTGGACTTACTTGACTAATATTTTAAGATATTAATGTCCATGTTCATAATAAAGATTGGCCTGTAATTTTAATTTCCCTTTTTTGTAATTAATTGTCAGGTTTTAGTATCAAGGTTATATTCACCTGGTGAAAGACTTGAGAGTTATTTCTTCTTTTTTTATTCTCCAAAAGTTAGTGTAAAATTTAGCATTTTTTCTTCCTTAAGTGTTTGGAATAATTCACTTATGAAGCTACCTGGGACTAAAGATTTCTTTAAGGGGGATTTTAAAGTATAGATTACATTTATTTAAAGAATATAGAAATATTACAATTAAATGTTTCTGCTTGTGTATGCTTTGATAAATTTAGCAATTCATTCTTTTCATTTAAATTTGCAGATTTAGTGGAATAAAGTAGTTCATAATATCCTTTTGTTACATATTTAGGATCTGCGGTAATATCCTCTTTATTTCTCACATTTAGAATTTGTTTTCTTTCTCATTTTCTTTCTGTCAGTCTTACCACAGTTTTATATCTTTCATTAGTCTTTTCAATAATCAACTTTTGAATGTTTTGTCCTAAGTTTTTATTGTAGTAAATTTCACATAGTATAAAATTCATCATTTAACCATTCAATGACATACAATTCAATGGCATTAAGTATGTTCACAATATTGTTCAACCATCACCATGATCTTGCGCCAGAATATTTTTCACCATCTCAGAAGGAAACCTATGTGCATTAAGTAGTTATTCCCCATCCTCCTCTCCCCTGCAGTTCCTGACAACTACTAATCTGCTTTCTGTCTTTATGGATTTGCCTTTTCTGGCTATTTCATGTAAATGGAATCCTATAATATGCTGCCTTTTGTGTTTGGCTTCTTTCACTTAGCATAATGATTTCAAGGTGCATCTATGTTGTGGCATGTATTAGGACTTTATTCTTTTTTTATAACTGAATGACACTTCATACAATGGATAGTCTCTCTTCAAGTTTGTTTTTTATTTCATTGATTGCTGATTTTATCTTCATTTCCATCCTTCTCCTTTCTTTGGATTTTTAAGCTTTTTGAGATGTGTGCTTAGACAATTGAAGTGAAGTGACATAGTTCTGTTAGCTTTCCCTTTTCGTACTTTCAGTTTCTGTTTTTAGGTGCACGTCAGTTTTGGTTTGCCCATATCTAGACATACAAACTTAGGGCTCCTACACTTCCTAATTGGATGACTTTGTATGAATGGGGATAATCGTATTGATCCTATCTCCTTGTCCAGGGTCTTGTGAGAGAATGTAAGGTAAAAGCATTTTGTAAACTAACTTCCAGACTTGGATAGTACCTTGTACTTTGCACTGCCATTGCTTTATATCTGCATAGTGCTTTCACAGGTTTTTAAAAATTTAATACAGCAAACCCACAGGAATTATCTCCATTTTACAGATGTTATTTCTGCTACTATAGAATTTTCAGGAAGTGACCATGAATTTAGTATTTAAAGCCCAGGGTTTTTGGGTTTTTTTTTCTTCCAGCTTTACTATAGCTGCCTCATGCAGAATGGTATTATTGGCATTCTTAGAACATTGGAATTTCACACTTTCAGAAACTTGAGAACATTGCAACAACTGCCAACAGGGCTCAGCATCCTCTGCAGATGAACAACACCAAGTGGTATAGTTACCCAATCAATCCTTTTGCACTTCTACAAAATTAAGCTTGGCAAACTTGGCTCTGGCTTTCTACCAATTCATTGACAGTTTTTACTGACTACTCCGTGAATTAGGCTTTTTGTGGGAAAATAAAAGAATGGGTTGATGTGATTGTTACCAAATATATTTAGGAAGAAGTATTTGAACATGTGCAAATAAATACTTAGCACATGAGGATCAAGGGAGGAAAGGAAAGGGATTCTAATAGTCAAGGTGAGATCTGAGTTTTTAAAGAAGTTTGCTTTTTAAATGTTTGGTTATACATTTCTGGTGATAAAAAAATTCTAAGTTTAAAACACCTTCATAACTTCTCATAACATTTAAAATCTTCACATAGCATGGACTCATACTCTTGTCTGCACATTTTAACATGTGTGAAATAGGAAATTATTGTATAATTAATAGTTTCTTAGAATTGTGTTGTAGATTAATTATAGTTTTTCTTTTTTAGTAGTACATAAAATAAAAGAATAATAGATAGTTATGTATTTAACACTGATGGCATTACAGTAAATAAAATATGGAACATTAAAGTATTCCAGAGGATTCTGTAATAACTTTTAAACATTCATTCATTCATTCATGTATTCAACAATATTTATTGAGCACCTAGATTTTGTTAGGTGCTGTACCAGGCGTTAGAGCTATAACAACAAGCAAGGCATTTTTATACAGGCTTCTGGTCTAGTGAGAAAAACAGTACCGTGATAAAGTATTAACAATACAGAGTGGCAGGAATAATAAAGAAGCAGCATGGTGCAATGAGACATATGAGAATGGTATCCAAGATTTAGACATCAGGAAAAACTAGTAGAAATAAATTGCAAACAGGTGCCTGAAGGAGCAGGTAGGATTTGATCATGTTAAGAATGGGGACTAGTATTCATACCCTCGTGTAATTCCTTCACCTTGAGAGAACAGAATGAATACAACATGGAAAAAATGATATGTCACTTTGAAAATTAGGTTACAAAGAGATGGTGACTTCCATCTGGCTTGTTAAAATGAGATCACAGTCCTGGCCAATGCCTGGGCTACGACCTTGGGAAAGACCCTGAGGCAGAGGCACCAGGTAAGTTGTAGTCATACTCCTGGCCCACAGAAAGTGAGAGGTGATAAGTGTTTGTTGTTATAAGCTGACACATTTCAGGCTTGTTTGTTACATGATGGTAGATAACTAATACATCTGTAGGGAAGTGGGGTGGACGTAGGTATGAGAGGGATTGCAAATAGGCATGAAGAAATTTGGAGGCAAAGGATATATTTATTACCTTGATGCCTGTGATGTTTTCATGGGTGAATATATATGCCAAAACTTATTGATTTATATATAATGACATATATTGAATTATAAACACATATAATTATATTTATATATTATAAATGTGTGCAGTTTATTGTATATAAATTATATCTCAATAAAGACGTTTGTATTTTAAAATGGGGAATAAAAAGCTTATGGAAAGACAGTGTTTCAGGCAAAAGAGCAAATGAAAACAAAAGCCCAGAGCAAGAGCTCCAGAAAAAGCAGACCATTTCAAAGTGTGCATTGACATGGGAAACCTTTGCTCTTGGATTTGAAAGAGATAAGTAGGTTAAGGGAAGGAAGGAGGACAAGATTGGTTGTGAAAAGAGGTAAAAGAGAACAAAGAGAACAAATAGTCAGTGACTTCAAACAAATACCATGGATTTTTGTGCAAGAAAGACCACTTGGGTTCTTTAAGGCCCATAGGACAACTGGGTCAGAAAAGGAGAGAGTGGCATCTCTAGTCTACTCCCAAACCATCTTTCAATCCCTGCTCCTCCTGCCTCCTTTATCCCCAACCCCTTGCCATTCATTTGTACTTTCCTTCCCTTTACAAATATTTGAGCATTTACTATGTGCCAGAAACTGTTCTAGGAGTTAGAGAGAAGGTAGTTAGCAAGTTAAGGTCTGTGACCTCTAAAAGTTTACATGCTAGTAGGGGAAGGCAGGTGGCATTAAGTAGGAAGATGATTTCCTATGGAGTGCTGTGAAGACAGTGGTGATAGAGTCCTTAACACCAGGTATGGCACAGCCTCAATCAGTCAGTTCAGTCCCAGCTGAACAAAACACTATTTGGGAGAAGAATCCTAGAGACCCTACTGTGCCAGGAAATAATACCTTGGTTGCTAGATCATGGTAAAGTGAGGGAGGATTCCAGGGAAGAGAGAATGGTCAGTATTGTGGAGGACCTCTTGGAGGGTCTGAGGAAGTGGTTATTTAACAACCACTGTAGAAATATGTCATTATTCTAATAACCAGTAATTCTGTACTGGTGCTAACCATTTGATATCAGCACTGAGGTCTTAGTAACTGGTGCAGAGAGAGGGTTCAGGAGAAGAGGGTGTGGAGGAAGTCTACTCTAGATGGTAATATTGGGAAAGGCCTCTCAGAAGAAGTGACATTTAAGCTATGACCTGAATGAAGAGAAAGAGAAATGCAAGGGGTAGTTGGGAAGTTAAGTCAGGGGGATGGGAAGAGGATTCTAGCCAAAGAATAGCAAAGACAATGATGGTGAAGTGCAATAAACTTGGTGTGTGTACCGAATGGTACAAAAGCTAATGTTGCTGCAACGTTATGCTGAGTGAATTATAAGAAATTAGGTCAGATGATAAGCACAGCCCAGATCTTGTGGGGCCTTTCAGGCCACAATAAGAAAATAAAATGAGAAGCCACAAGAGGGAGGATTTTAAGCATGGAAATGATATAATCTGATTTACATTTTTAAAGGATTACGTGGGCCTTGGTAAGAAGAATGGATTTGTGGGGAGGGTGATTAGGGAGAGAACAATGGAGAATCTGTTCTAGCCTGGAGATGATAGCAGCCTGAACCAGAGTAATGGCAGTGGAAATGGGGAAAATTGGGTTGATTCAAGATTATTTGAAAGTTGTAGTGGTTTCAAAGAGCTATCTATACATTCTTTGATATGTGGGCTAGGCATTTTTGCACTGCTATAAACACCTGAGGCTGGGTAATTTATATAAAAAAAGTTTTAATTGGTTCATGGTTCTGTAGGCTGTACAGGAAGCATGGTGTCAACATCTGCTCAGGTTCTGGTGAGGACCTCAGGAAGCTTAAAATCATGGGGGAAGGTGATGGGCATCACTAGCATGTCACATGGCAAGAGAGGGAGTGGGGGTGGGGGGAGGTGCTATAGTCTTTTAAACAACCAAATCTCACGTGAACTCAGAGCAAGAGAACTCACTCATTACCATGAGGATGGCACCAAGACAATTCAGAGGGATCTGCCACCATGACCCAACACCTCCTACCCTGTCCCACCTCCACCATTGGGGATCACATTTCAGCATGAGATTTGGAGGGGACAAACATCCAAACCATATCAATATGCCTCAAGGCATATGAAGGGGAGCCTCAAAAGGTGAAGTTTAATTCTTCTCACCTTGAATGTAAACTGGAGTTAGCAGTTTGCATCTAACAAACAGAATATGACAGAAGTTAGGGGATGTCATTTCAGAAGTTAGGTTAATAAAAGATTGTGGCATCCATTTTGGAGGCATGCTATCTCACTCTTTCAGATTGCTCATTCTAGTGAAAGTCAGCTACCTTGTTCTGTTGTAGTTCTGTAGAGAGGCCCACGTATCAAGGGACTGAAGTATCAAGGGACTGAAGTCTCTAAAGAGCTGTGTGAGTAATCTTGGAGGCTGATCTCACCTCCTTCACCCACTCCAGTTGAGCCTTCAGATAAGATGGCAATTCACACTGACAGCTCAGCTGCTAACTCATGAGAGACCTTGAGCCAGAGGTATCTAGCTGTGCCATGCCTGAATTCCTGACCCACAGAAATGATGAGATAATAAATGTTTGTTGTTTTTAATGGTGAGACTTTAGTATAATTTGTTATGCAGCATACGATAACTAATACAAAATAGAGCCTATAGGACTGACTGATCTGTTTGGTGCAAGAGGGTGTGAGGAAAAGAGATGGATGAAAGAAGATATGTAGATTTTGGACTTGAGCAACTGGATGGTAGTGATGCCATTTATTGAAGTGTGAGTTTGGGCAGGGGGGATTAAGAGTTTTCCTTTGGACACATTTTGAAAAGACTGTTAAACACCCCAGTGGGCATGTCAACCAGGTAGCCTGCTGGGCCCTGCCCAAATTCCTTATGCACTGTTTATGAGCATAAGAAAATGATTGTTTGGTTTAGCAGCTAACCTTGTGAAATATCTCCAATCTTCCATTCTCACCTTAACCCATTCTAATATGGTTTGTGTTCTTTTGACTCGTGTAGAATTTGTTCTTATTAAACCACCTATTGTATCCATGTTATCTAATTCAGTAGTTACTTCTCTGCCATAAGCATACTCAACTCATAGCCACATTGGACACAGATCATCATTCCCCCTCTTTTCGAATACTCTTCTCTTTTGGATTCATTGGTTCTACTTCTTAGGTAGATTCTTCTGCTCCACCTGGTGTTAACCAGGGTGGCTTAGCCAGTGGTATTCAGTTGGTGGCCAGGCTGTGGTGGCTGGGCTTGTCTAATAGCCCACTTCATTCATTTCTGCTTCCTTGGTGCCGATGGTTAAGAGGTTGGCTTCAGCTGACCACTTTCCCTCTCCATATGTTCATGGCCTTTCATGTGAATGCTCCAGTGGAGTGGTCAGGTTTTTTACATAGTAGCTCAAGGCTTAAGAGCAAGTGTTCAGAAGGAGCAGAGAGAGAGGGCAGTAGTTACAATGTGAGGCCAAAGAAGCTTCCCCCCAGAAAGCTAAAGGTGATAAGTAAAGCATGTTGGTATTGGCTGGCAATATTCCACAAGAGATGAAAGGACAGATATTGCAGAAGAGAGAAGGTATAACTGGGACCAAAAGCCTTGAGAAGGAAAGAGACATGGAGCAAATCATTCACAGTAACAGCAGACAGCAGAGAAGAGAGACATGGTTGTACAGAGGCACCTCCTTTGGGTCTTTACTCAAATGCCCCATTATCAGTGAGAACTTCTCTGACTGCTATTCTTCAGCAGAGGGTATTCCTTATCCCCTTTCTTGCTTTATGTGTTTTCTCCATAACATATGTGCATATCCATAACACACACATGCATCACCTAGAGCATTATATATGCCACAGTGACATGTTTTGCTGATTTCTCAATTGACTCCCCCCATTGGAATGAACGTAAGCTTGAGGAAGACGTTTTGTCCTGTTCTGTAGCATCTAGAACAGCGCCTGGCACATAGTAGGTACTCAATAAATGCCAGCTGCATGAGGAAATGAATGAGCTGTGTGGGGGATGTACTTGAGTGAACTCTAAAGTCAGAGTGGTGTTGAGAGAAAAATGCTTGAAATCCAGATGTTGGAAGGTGACACAGAGTAGTAGCCTGGTGAGAACAGTTAGATCTTAGGGGTTCCTACTACAGCCCTCCCTTCCGCACCTTTTTGGCTGTCACCATGATCAAGCTACTGAATCTCTCTGAGACGCAAGGACCGGGATGGCACAAAGTGAGTGCTCACCAAAGCTTGACTGTCCTTTCCCATGGCAATTTACTTCAGCTTGTTTGATTTCCCCTCCCCGACTGGACTAGGCACCTATTCTCTGTCTTCTCTCTTTACAGTTGGAAGGAGCAAAATGGGACTTTTGGCTGAAAGTGCTGAGCTCCTGCGGTGGGGGCTGACCGCAAGCCACGCCTTCTGTGCACCTGGTCGGCCCAGCTAGCTGCCGACCCGGCGGGGAGGGGCGGGGCGGGCCAATCGGCGCTGCCCCAGCAGGGCTGCGGCTGCAGGCAGGCAGAGCCTCCTAGCCCGTCGGTGTCTGCGCCCATCGATCCCTTTGTCTATCCCCGACCATGGCGAAGCTGATTGCGCTCACCCTCTTGGGGATGGGACTGGCACTCTTCAGGAACCACCAGTCTTCTTACCAGTAAGTTGGGTTGTGGTGAGGGCTGCAGCCTTCGTCCTCCTCACTCCCTGCCAGCTCCACGAGCCCCCAGAAAGTTGGGTCCAGGCTGTTAACAGAACATTTACAAGCAGGTGCTAGATGCACACTCTGCGGGGGTTTCATAAATGTTTGTCCAGCCGTCATGTGTCACTTGAAAACAAACTCTTGCTCATGGCCTGAGACATGGGATAAGGAGGCAATTGCCAGGGGTGTGAGTGCCCAGGTTGTCAGCATACACGAATTAATTTTTCATGAAGATTTGTGTGCCCTGGCTACAGATTCACTTCTCAACCTGGAAAGAAACAAACTAACCTGGCTGGGGGTTCTCCTGATATTTTGTGTATTAGAGAAAGGAGCCCCTGTCGCTTCTGCGCCTTGACTGCCTGGCCATGGCAAACCTTCCAGGCTTGAAGATTCTCAAATTGAGGCTACTGAGGGCCACAGCAAAACTGCGTGTGGACCCGAGCAGGTGGAGCTAACGTGTGCTGTGATGGTTCGCTTCAGTGGGGGCAGGCGGGGAAGAGGGAACCCTGGAGCCAGCATCTGATGTCCTGGGGTTTAGCTCTGCCCCATGAGTATGCGATTTGGGCAAATCACTTTACATCTCTAACCTTAGCTGCTTCAGTAAACTGGAAATAGTAATACACACTGCCTGCGACAGAGTAGCTATTCAATAAATGTTAGTTCCCTGCTTCCCTTTAAAGTATTTAATAAAGGGTTAAGTGCTATACAAGGGGGGTGGGGATATTTTAAGAATGTATCAAAAGTTTCATAACTTTTAACAGGAGTTCAAAGTCTACAGATCATCCTAGTCTCTAAGGCTTAGTCAACAATGCCTTATTTACTTTAAAGTAAAACCTAATAAAAATTAAATATAAAAAAATTATATGAGCTTATGGACTAATTAGAAGCTTACATTCAGAATGGGTTTTTACTATTTATTGTGGATGTTTTTCTAATTTTTTTAAGTTACAGAGTGCAGAAAAAAAGTAAGAAGCAGTTGGTATTCTTGGCTTTTAAATCATGTAAAAATTACAGTTTGTGAGTTTTTATTAATCACAGTGCTGGTGGCTGCCAAAGGAGATTATAGGTATAGATAAAAATATATAGATAAAGGATGGGTTGCTGAGCCTCCTGGAGTGACCCAGACAGAGGAAGGAAGGGAAATTTTACCCACTGTTGGAAACCCCTAAAACCTAGCTACTCAACTGGGTCTGGGGACCAGATGCCTGAGCATCACCTAGGGGCTCCCTGTACAGGCAGAATCTCAAGCCCTACCCCACACTATTGAATCAGAACCAGCGTCATGGAACAAACTCCCTGGGGGATTAGAGATCATGAATCTGCCCCAGGGAGAGAAGGCAAGAGATGATATCATGAGGCCTGCATCAGGAGCAAGCCAAATCCCCAGGATAGATGCATCCTTTTTTCTTCAGACTTGGAGTGTATGTGTGTGCGGCTCACAGGAAGCTATATATGCCTGGGCTGGAGGGAACTTAAGGAAGCACACAAGGGATGCCTCAAGAGATTTCTGAGTTTCCCAGGTGGGAGCAGTACAGAGAAAAGAACTGAGAGAGTTCCCCTAGACCACGAGTCTCCCACCCACGAGTCTCCCACCTTTGTAGTCGGCTGTATGTGCCGCACAAGTCCAGGGAATGCCTTGGATGATGGTAGAAACAGCTCCCCTCCCCTACCCCAACTTGGGCTATGGAATGTTGCAGCATCTGTATGGCAACTTCCTTGTCCCTACATTGCTAATTGCAATACGTGAGTCCACTGAGTTTCCCTTCTCAGAAGGAAACCACAAAGCTAACGTTGGGCCTCTCGATGCATTTCTGCCATTCCATGCTTACTGTAGGCAACACACAGTTGTGGGAAGAGAGTAGTTGTGGATTCCTGATGACCTGGGTTAGATATCATTTCTGCAACTTTCAAGTTATTTTACCACTTTATTCCAGAAAAGTTCCAGCCAGTTTCTCCACCCGAAAATTAGGGGATAATAATACATATTACAGCATATATATATATATATACACACACACACACACACACATACATATATTTATATTTATATAAAACATATAAATAAAACTAAGTATATATATATATATAAAAATCAGGCATATAGCAGATGTCCTGTAAACGTTAGCTTTTATAGCTGTCATATGTGATCTCAAAAATATAGAGTGATACTTGAATATGTATTATAATCATACTTCATTGAAAGTCTGAGATAAGGACAAATAATCCTCCAACCCTCCAGTCTCCCCTATGAATGCAACCAACACCATCTTCTCAGTCTGATGTACTTGCCTAGTATCTCCACAAAACACTTCAGTGGACATCTGCAGAGTACCTTCTCTTTGCAAACGTTGTGTTTCTGCTGGAGGTTATAGGAATGAATAGGTTGCAGTATTCACTCACCAATTTTAAAGTCTACTGGGAGCAAAAGAACAAAAACTGACAGCTGTGAAACTGACAACTATGACAACTATGGTAAGAAAGTTGACAGATGTATATGTGAAGGTTCCTGAGGGTAAACTAAGGAGTTATTAATCCCAATGCAGAAGACTGGAGAAGCTACAAAGCATCATGAGTAGGGGTCTTTCCAGTGGGTAATGGGCTAAAGAGCATTCTAGGTGAAGGGAAAAGTGTGAGCAAATAAAAAGAGGTATGAAAGAAATACAGGGAAGAGTCCTTAGTATCATGACACTTGATTTCAAATCCCAACTCTACCCTCTTAAATAAGCAACCACATGCAATTTACTCAGCCTCTCAGTGCCTCCATTTCCTTACCTACAAAACAGGGTAAATATTCATCTTTTTCTCAAAGGTGGCTAAAAAGATTAAATGAGGAAGTATGTGTGAGAGCCCTTATTGGAGCTTGGCACATAGTAGGCCATGAAAAGCAATTTGAATGAATGAGGCGTGTGTAGTAGCAGAAAATAGACTGATTAGAGTGAATTTGGCCCCAAGAAGAGTTTGAGAATCGATACGGATTTCTTAATGCCTAGGCAAAGATCTCTGCTTTTTTCTGCGAGCAGCCAGCATGTATTTTCACCGAATACTTCTGCCTTGGTTTGGATGTTCGTCCTCTCCAAACCTCGTATTTGATCTCTAATGTTGGAGGTGGGGCCCAATGGGAGGTGTTTGGGTCATGAAGATGGATCCCTCATGAATAGATTAATGACCTCCTTGGGAGTGAGTGAATTCTCACTCTATTCATTTCGAGAGAGCTGGTTGATTGAAAAGAGCCTGGTACCTCTCCCCTCTCTTACATTCTCTCTCATCCCATGATCTCTGTGAGTACTGGCTTCTCTTCATCTTCTGCAATGAGTGGAAGCAGCCAGAGCCCCTCACCAGATGCAGATACCCAATCCTGAACTTTCTAACCATCCAGAATCATAAGCCAAATAAACCTTTTTTCTTTATCAGTTGCTTAGCCTCAGATGTTCCTTTAGAGTGACACAAAGCAGACTCAGACAAGTTCACAGCAAAGGCTGTATGGTTTCTGCGCAGAGTTCAGAGTCTAGTGAATCAGAGATATATCTCAGACATTGACCCTTATCTCTTAGGCCCAGAACATTTGGACTTAAGCCTTTGACAAGATATTTCCTAATAAATTGAAAATGAGGTAGAAAAAATATGAGTTGGATGATAATAACACAGGTGGGTCAATTTTCAGGTGCATCTTCCAGCTTTTAAGCAGTGTTCTCTGTAGATTTTGCCTGGTCAGAGAGCTAAATGTGAGCTTTGTGTTCATACTTGAATTCCAATCCCTGCTCAGCCACTTTATAACTCTGTGGCCTTAGAAAGCCACTTAATCTTGGTCAACTATAACTTAGGGAAAATAACACCTCACGGAGGTGTTTGAGGATTAAACGCGGGCATATACGGTACCTGAACTATAGTAGTAATGATTATCCTGTTGAGATATGACATGTTTGGGCCACAAATTGGAACCCAAATCAACAAGTGCTGACTTAATGCCCCCTTGCCCACCCTGGGCTCCCTTTAACTGTGATTATTCTATGTTTTCCAGGCTAGAGATCATCTTCTATGAGAGAGAAGCCTGAATTAGAATAGGAGCTGACCAGTTCTGCCTTTCTCCATCTTTTGTGAACCCATATGTTTAGTGACCCTTGTGAGTCAGGCAGCATGAGTATTCTTCCCATTGGTTTTGAGTCTAAGAAAAGTGAATTTGACTATCCTTGGTGTTTTTCACAAGTCTTGGCCCATTCAGTGATTTTATGTCCTTGAATCTCTCCTTCCATGCCAGTCTTTGTGTTGTCCTCGGTTATGACCATCACCCTTAACATCTTGTACCTGCCCTTTGGTTCCTTGAGGGCATGCTACAAATATTCACTACACTTTCCCTAGACCAGAGTTTTTTCAAATGGTGGGTAACAAAGTCAATTTAGTAAATAATTACCAACATTTAAAAATAAATAAAACAGAATTGAACAGAAAAGTTATGAATGTATGACACAGATTAGGATGAGTATTGTTTTGTGAAGCTTGATTCAGATGTGTATGTGTATGTGTGTGCATGTGCTGGGTGTTCGCACCATATAAAATACTTTTCCTACTGTGAGTCTCTGTCTGAAAAGTTTGTAAGCCACTGCTTTATCACTTCCCCTTTTATTTCCTTATTGTCAATATTTGCAATTATAATGTCAGATTTTCATTTTGAAAATACCTTTCCCTTTCTTAGGTTATGGGACAGATTCCAACTTTCCTTTGAAGCCTGCTTTCTAAGTTCACATCTATCAATCAGGAAACCACAGTCTCCTCACAGTCCAAGCCTTCATCATCTATTCATTCATCTCTGTATTTCTAGTACCTAGACTGGTGGCTCTTTACTCTGGTTATACGTTGGGACAAACTGTGGCACTTTTACAAAGCAGATTATTAAGAGGCACTCCTTGCCTCTTACGTCAGATTTTTTTAGACAGCGAAAATGATAGCCAGTGGCCTGATGGTAGGAATGTACTCATTTTTTTCTGAATGAATAAATGAAAGATCAATCACCCCCAAATTCCTATCATTTTGTACCACGTCGGTAAGAATTTTATCTAGCGTGTCTGTTCCGCCTGTAGCCCATCCGCCTCCTGTGAGTTCAAGTCATCAGGAGGACAAGTAAATTTCTTAGCCTATCTGAAGCCAAATAAGATTTCTAGGGATATTTGGATAATTGTCACTACTTGCTATGACAATACTGTATCACTAGTTCTCTAAAAAAAAAAAAAAAAGTTTATTGTTTAAATCTCTTGGTTGTGCTAACGTCGTCTGTTTCTTTCAAATGCAGCATCAGTAGCTTCGCTCTGCTCAGGCAGCCGGCTGGCACTTCCTTCTCACATCTGTTCATTTTTCCTTTGTCCTTTACTCAGACATTTTCTATGGTGTTTATGCACTCATATCTAATAAGTCGCTCCTGTGTATGTGTGTGAGTGCACCTGTGTGTGTGAAATGCCTTTTTACATGCAGGCCTTGTGTATGATTTTCTGAAGTTACAAATCCTTTCAACGTACCTGTATTTTTCAAGCACTACATCACAAAGCAGATGCCCAGTCCAGGCTGCGGAGTCAGATTGGGCAGATGAGTAGGAGGCTGCCCATCTGTCAGCAACT
The DNA here is from genome assembly GCF_000001405.40 of Homo sapiens. NCBI lineage: Eukaryota > Metazoa > Chordata > Mammalia > Primates > Hominidae > Homo > Homo sapiens. Next base: position 95,318,753 of record NC_000007.14, on the reverse strand, counting down.
CTAAAACATCAATGGAATAAACTGGAACCATGTTGCCATTTACCCGGACTTTCCACCTAGGAGTCCTTACACACTGATGAAATTGCTCCTGTTCCTGCCAAAGTACACAGAGCCCTAGAGAGGATATTATGTATCTCTTATGTGTACCTATCCACCTCTGCTAAATAAAAACTAAATATTGTACCCAGAGTTCCCCACTTGTCTTGCCCTGGCCTTGCCTGGAAAAATTGCAGGAAAAACTCTGGAGTTGAAACTCAGGCAAAGTACAGTGAAGGAGAACTTTTGTGGACTGCCTACCTTTGCAACTTATTATAATTTCTGAATAGTTTTGTGTGTGTTTTATTTCTTTCTCCCCCACAGAACACGACTTAATGCTCTCCGAGAGGTACAACCCGTAGAACTTCCTAACTGTAATTTAGTTAAAGGAATCGGTATGTATGTGAGAGGAAGAAGGGTCTCATTTGAACTTCCGGTATTTTTTTGCTCTTTGTGTGATTAATGTGCCTGTTCAATTCTGTCCAAAAATAAAATTTTGAATCAGGAGAGTCAGTGGTAGTTAATGATAAATACCATGTTGTTTGACTTTTGACTTCACCAACATACTGCCAAGGTGTTGGGAGTTTTGGTTGTTTGTTTTTGTTTGATCAATAGAGCAAAAAAAAAAAAAAGAAAAAAAGAAAAAAGAAAAATAGAATAATGTTTGATTCCATGGCAATCTAACCTGAGGAGATGGCAGAAGAGGGGAGGGAGAGCCAGATAAAGCATTGAATAAAGGTAACTTTTTTTTAGAAAGGCTCTGACAGGACTTTGCAATTACCACAAGGCTTCTCCTTATGCATCTCTCTTTTGATATTGGACAGGAAAATTTTTTCCAGAAGCTCTCAGCAGATTTCCCCTTAGATCTTATTTGTCAGAGCTGGAGGACAGGCTGGTGCCCTAGTTGCAAAGGATGCTGGGAAAGTAATTATCAAGCCTCCAATGTGGGAGGCAGGCCCTGTCAGCAAAGATAAAACGGTAGGAGAATAGCAGCTGGGAGGCAACCAACAAGGAGAGTCCCCGGGCTCAACTCTCCAGCTGGTTCCAACCAACCAGCTTTGTTATTTGAAGACAATTGGTTTGAGATCATGCTTTTGTGTGCTTTGGGTGTTTCTTTTTCTTTCTTTTTTTTTTTTTTTTTTTTGTTCTTTTAGAATTATTCATCTCAGTTGATTAAGGCTCAGGAGGCTAGATCAGATGACTTAGTACCACTAAATTTCACTAGATATCTTATGGTGCGATTGTTTTCTAGAAAAATATGATATTGATATCAAATATCACTGGGTTTTTGAAAAGCAAACTTTCCACTAAGTGTAGAAATACCTATCAAATAGTTCATTTTTCTCTAGATAAATTGAAATGTTAAAAATTTACATGTACTTAAAGTATAACTAACTTGAAGACAGTAATATTTAACCGATGTTTATAATTAGTAGTAAAAATTCATATTCTTGATCACCTAAAATGTATCCCCATTTTAACTCAACTATTTGGAATTTGCTTATATCTTCAATATGGCTTTCCAAGGGTTTAATTGATTTGGAAGTATTAAGTATCAACATATATTTGTAATTTACCTTGTATCTTTAGAAAACAAGTTCTTTTCAAATAATCATGGCTTTTGTACGTTTTGTGAATTTCCATGAACTTTAAGAGGATTCAGTCTTTGAGGAAAAAGCTCTAGTCCATCAATTTAAAACAAATATACTAAGTGTAAATTTTAATTAAACTTGTTAATGAATTAATATATTTTTAATTTCCATATAATCGCATTCATCAATTTGAATAAATGAAAGAATGAATTATTCTGAACCTATTAAAGAAGAGTGATGTATAGCCCCAGTTTCAAGTGAGGTGTGATAAAGAAATGGATCCACATCCTGCAATAATATGAAACAACCTGTACTTTCTGTTCTCTTTTCTGGCAGAAACTGGCTCTGAAGACTTGGAGATACTGCCTAATGGACTGGCTTTCATTAGCTCTGTGAGTGTTTTCTTTCACTTTTCTGTGTTCTAGAACGTTTTCTAGGACTGGCAGTTTAAGTCTTTCACTTAGGCTTTCTGTATACCCATGCCCACTTTCAAATAAAATGAACAGTCATGGTTTAAAAGACAAATTGTGTATGCATTTACACTTGTGCTATAATTATGATCATGCGTGTTCTATGCATATTTGTGTTCTTCGGTCTACATTGAACCATATTACGTTAGCTTCTATTGCAGCAATTTTTTTGTGAGTTCAGTGTATTCAAGAATTGTTTTCCTCTCAATTGTCTATTCCCTAAGCACTTAAAATTGCCATATTCAAATATTTGCTAAATTAAATATACATTTAATGTATACTACTTCACAGGTCATTTCAACTTTCACATTTTTAAACAAATTTCAGAATAAGCCCTTTAATTTAAAATTGTTGATAGGTCCCAATTCCCAATTCCCAAGCTTTGAAGACAGAATCCACCATATTTGCTGAAACTGTCCTGCATATAGATCGCTATGGTAGCTGATATAGTGCAAAACAAAAGAAGTCCACCATCTGGCCTAGGGATCATAACATAACAGAGTTGATAGGAAACGACAGACAATCATCCAGCCATTTAAAAACCTTTGCTACCCCTTGTAATTTACTTAGTCCAGTTTTCTCTTACAAAGATGATAGACTAGTCATCCTGCAAAGCAATGTCTTGCAAACTTTCTTGAGCAACATAAGGTGTATTTCAAGCAAAATCTTATATGGGAACACAATATATAAAACAACAGCTTTATTGTTTTGATTGAAGGCTAAGAAAGGAGTAGTTCCTCTGGCCCACCAAAACTCTGTCTTTGAGATGCTTCCAAGGACCTACCAGGGAACAGTTTAAAAGCCATAAGCAATATTCTCTCTGTATTCCTTGCTTATATCATTGAAGACTATTATTAATTGCCTTTTTGGTCTGCTCTTCCATTTTTGATCTTTCTCATGGGCTGGAAGCTGTAGTGTCGTGCACATATGACTTTGCTGCAGGGGATGAAAGGGTTTGTGTGGGGTGGCCTAGTGGAGCATGTGGCTTCCAGAAGACTTCTCCTGGGGACCCATTACAGAAGCTAACTAAGAGGCTTCCTATGTGGCCATCTGGCTAGCCCTGTGGTTTGGAGCAGTCAACATGAACCCATGGGCCATGCAGCGCCTCTATTAGCATTTGAAGTACTGGTATTGTGCTTGATTTTTCTCCTCCATGGTTTATAAGGGATTAAAGTATCCTGGAATAAAGAGCTTCAACCCCAACAGTCCTGGAAAAATACTTCTGATGGACCTGAATGAAGAAGATCCAACAGTGTTGGAATTGGGGATCACTGGAAGTAAATTTGATGTATCTTCATTTAACCCTCATGGGATTAGCACATTCACAGATGAAGGTAACAATATTTACTATTTATTAAAACCAAAACCAAACTTAAAACAAAAACAGAAAAACATGCCAATAAATGAATTATTTTTTCTCATTCAAACAAAGCATAGTCATGAATAATGTTCTTACTCTGGGTTTTAAACTTACCCTCTATGTTAATTGAACTTTATAGTAAAACCACTTAAATACTTGAGAATGCTAAAATATTTAAGATTTGTAAAGCATCTAATTTTGTAAAATACTAACATTCACATTATCCCTATAATTACCATAATAATAATATCCAGCCCTGATCATTATAGCTTTTCCATTTTAAACGATTTTCAAGACTCGGGCATTTACAGGAACAGATTTTTCTAACCCAAGGCATCTGTAAGCTATAGGTCCAGTGACAGAAAGTCACCATGGTCAGCTTTCTGCCGGTCCCATTATCTTCAATGCCTCCTGTCCGCTGGTTCCTCTGTTCTGTGTTCAAAATGCTCCTCTGCATGTTGGTCCCTTTCAACATAACTTGGTGTCATCCTTTATGTCTTTACTCCCTTTCTCCCTTTCCATTTGCTGTCACTTCCTTGTCTCTGTATTAATTTTCAGCCCCAGTTGCACAATGGTAGCACCTGAAGAGTTTAAAAAGACTCGATGCCCAGCCCCCAGCTTGACAGATTCCAATTCCGTTAGTCTGAGGGAGGCCTGGATCACAGTAGTTGTTAAAAGTTTTTCAGTTGATAAAAATGTCAGGCTAGGGTTAAGAACCACGTTTATACCCATTACCTCCATTTCATCATCAGACGATCCCTCATTCAGTTCCTCTTCTGGACTTTCCCCACTGTGGGTGGCTAAAATTGCTACCTTGAGAATCATCAGTGATGTTCCTACTAACAAATCTCCTCTCTTCCCTTCCTCCCTCTCCTTCCTTCCCTCTTCCCTTCCTTCCTTCCTTCACCTCCTTTTGTTTTTTGTTTTGTTTTGTTTTTGAGATGGAGTCTTGCTCTCTCCCAGGCTGGAGTGCAGTGGCGCAATCTTGGCTCACTGAAAACTTCACCTCCCGGGTTCAAGCAATTCTCCTGCCTCAGCCTCCTGAGTAGCGGGGACCACAGGTGCATGCCGCCATGCCTGGCTGATTTTTCGTATTTTAGTAGAGACGGGGGTTTCACCATGTTGCCCAGGCTGGTCTCGAACTCCTGAGCTCAGGCAATCCTCCCATCTCGGCCTCCCAAAGTGCTGGGATTACAGTTGTGAGCCACCGCGCCCAGCCTACTTCACCTGCTTTTATGCTGTTTACCATTTTCTCATTCACAAAACTTGCTCTTCCCTGATACTGCAGTGCACCTAGCTGTTCCAGTTCTCATCCTACTACAGGTTTTCTCCCCAATTCATTGTTTTGTCACTCATTGCTACTTCCCTGAGCACTACCCCAGAGGTTTGATCTTTTACTTCCTCTATATTTTCTCTATTTTAGAACTTTCAAACCAGTGTCACACTGCCTGCTTTCTAGGAGGACATCCCCAAATAGGGGTATTATTATTCTTCTTCTTTTCATTAGCCCTTCACTTTTAATGCCGCAGGTGCTTACTGGACACTTCTATTTGGATTCCTTTCCTATAGACACTTTAAACTCAAAATGTTGAAAGTGATTTTCCATCCTTTTATCTTTCCTTCTCTTCCCCATGTGAGACACACACACACACACACACACACACACACACACACACATATACATATATATCCCTTTCAATGGACTTTCCACTCATCCACCCATTCATCACCATTATGTTTTATTTTAAAAATATTTTTAAGTACAAAGAAATATAGTGTTTGATGTGTGGATACTTTTTAAAATAAAAATGAGGTAATATTACACAACCCCTTCTATAAATTTCTTCTGCATTAAACACTACATCATGGACTCCTTTATATATAGCACATTTGCAGTTGCTTTGCCAAGGCAGTTCGGGATTCAGTTGTGTGGGAGCACTGTAATATAGCTCATCTGCTAACAAATATTTAGGTTGTTCCCACCTTTATGCTCATTGCAAACAATGCCAAAATAAACTTTCTCGCACATGTATTTTCTGAGACTATATCCTTAGGATACATTTCTAGAAGTAGAATCCACTGCACAAAATGTGAATTCAGGTTTTAATCCTCACTTGAATTTGATTTCCAACACCCTCCTTCCTCAGCTGTATTCAGGGCCTTTGGATTCTTCCTGTCAAATGCCTCTCATGACCTTTCCTGCCTTTTATTGCCAGTGGCATCCTCTTGGTCCAGTCCTTTCTCTCCACATTGCTGGATTACTGCTGTAGCCTCAGCTCATGTTACTCCTTGGTTCAAATACCCCAGTGAGCAAAGCTTGGATCTTCATCTTAAGCCCTAACAAGACTGATTCTGGCTCCCTGTGGTTTCAGCCCTCTCACTCTCCCACTCTCTCTTGCCTTCACTCTGCTCCCAGCACAACCTCACAATTAAGTGAATATGTCCAGGAAGTTCTGCCCCGGGGCCTTTGCACACTCCCAGCACAACCTCACTATTAAGTGAATATGTCCCGGAAGTTCTGCCCCGGGGCCTTTGCACACTCCCAGCACAACCTCACTATTAAGTGAATATGTCCAGGAAGTTCTGCCCCAGGGCCTTTGCACACTTTCTCCCCTCAACCTGGAATGCTCTTTCCCTAGATATCCACATTATTCGTTCTCTTATTTCACTTAGGTTTTTGCTCTAACATCCCCTCATCAGAGAGAACATGCCTGACTCCCATGAAGATAATACTTCGTTACTCTCTATTCTTTTATCCTGTTGTATTTTTCCTTTGTAGCATTTAACGCCAACTAAAATAAATTAAACACTTGTTTGCTGAATGGGGTAATGAAAATCATTTTAGCAGCTTTCTCTGTTCAAATCTTCTCAATTCAACCTGCCAAATTTTGCATCTTAACATGGTGAAACCCCATCTCTACTAAAAACACAAAAATTAGCCAGGCATGGTGGTGGGCACCTGTAATCCCAGCTACTTGGGAGGCTGAGGCAGGAGAATCGCTTGAACCTGGGAGGCGGAGGTTGCAGTGAGCCGAGATGGCGCCATTGCACTCCAGCCTGGGCAACAGGAGTGAAACTCCGTCTCAAAAACAAAACAAAACAAAACAAAAACGCCAATTTGATCATGTCAGAGGTTTCAAAAGACCTACTCTTTCTTAAGGCAAAGACCATAATCTAACTTTTACTTGCCAGCTCTGATCACACATTCTTGACCGCTTAGACTGGTCACCTTTGTGTTCTTAAAGTCCCACTTATCCAAGGAAGCTGCTTCTGTTTGTTTGCTACTATTTCTCAGATGTTCTTCTATGGAATGTATCATCTCACACTGTGTAAATTACACCTGATCACACCTTCTCATATTGGGAGTTCCCATGGTTTTTATCCCTTTCATCGCAACTGTGCATTTCGTGGAGACCATTTGAACTGGAAAACTTAAAGGATTCTTTGGAGTTTTAGTGTCAGTGATACTCATTCTTGAGAATTTTTTTTTCTCCTGTGGAGTTTTGAGTTTTCAGAGACTGTCACTGGTTCTTCCTTGAGCCACTTTTGTTTGGAACAGGAGCAATCACCAATGCTTCTCTCTACAAAGAGATGAAAATATTCCATCTGCCTGACATCCTAACTACTAGCTGGAGGTGGGTTGAAATTGGTTTTTGGAGAGAGGGCTGACAGTGAGAGCTTAGTTAATGTTTCATTTTTGTTTTTAATCTCCTCTCAGATAATGCCATGTACCTCCTGGTGGTGAACCATCCAGATGCCAAGTCCACAGTGGAGTTGTTTAAATTTCAAGAAGAAGAAAAATCGCTTTTGCATCTAAAAACCATCAGACATAAACTTCTGCCTAAGTACTGAGATATATCACATTTCTATTTTCCTTTAGCTGTAGCGGATAGTTAATCCACTTTTAGTTTTTCCTTTTGGCCAGAGTAGGTATGGCTGTTCAACTCTCATTTCTAATGATCACAAACTCCTCCACATGCTCTTCTGAAGAACCTTCTGAGGACTCAAGCCCCTCAGAGACGGCCCATTCTTTTCCTCTCTTGTTTCTCGAGCTGATTGGATGCTGGCTCCTGGCCTCAGGATCTCCATTCAAGTTATTACCAGGAAAAAAATCCTCTTCTTCAGAACCAGACTTAGTATTTCAAACCCAAACCGGCTTCATAGATAAATTTGACATCATGAGCTTATTTATTTATATTAAAAAGTAGACTCTTAGATGTTTCCATGAATTAGAAACACAGACCCAAGAGGAGACCCTGAATCAAGTGCATCTAAGACCTCCTTATACTGCCTCCGCTGCTGTTTGATTGCACAAAATTTATGCAATAGCAGATCTGTGGTAACACTCAATTCCCCCTAGGCACCTTGTTCATGTAACATATGGTGAAATAAAACACTCAAGAATCTCCAATCTCAGTCAACTTCCTCACATGCCCTGTGAAGATTTGGCTTGTAAGGCCAGTGATGGATTTAGGAGAACAATCCGACTCTATCTTCTGAAACATTTACCTCCAACTGATTACGATTTTCTAGAATCCCAACCTATTTTTATATAATTTATGTACAGCATTTGACTACCTCCATATCTGTAAATCTAGATTTGTACTCTTTGCAGGTACCTAGCTAAGGGCCTGGTATGTAGTGTGCACTCTGTGTTACCAGGACCCCTTCCTCTTCTTTCTTATCTGGTGGTTTGAGGATGAGGAAAATGAGATTGGAGAGAAATTGAGTTACTGGATGAAGGCCAATCAACTCACTAGTGGCCAAGTAGGAACCCCAGCTCAGGTCATCTTCTGCCCCATCAAGATGAATAAAAGTTCAGAGAACAGCTTTTGGTGGAAGAGTTTATTCGTGCATTTATTTAACAAATATATTTTGGAGAGAGAATAAGGTCACTGAGTGGAGAATGTGAGGAACACCAAGATTTAAAGTAGAGAACAGTATGTAGAATGGAGAAGCTGGGCAAATGATAACACTAATAAATGAGCTTTCTCTGTAAGTCAGGTGCTACACTAACTAATTCAAACAGATTATTTTATTGATGTTTTACAAATACCTTCTGAATTAGGTGTTATTATTATATCCATTTTGGATTTTTAAAAAGTTGAGGCCTGGACTAATTGTTAAGTTTCCCCAGATGACATCATCAGTAAATGGTGCAGCTGTGATTCTAATCCTGGTAACATGAGTTCAGAGCTGGTGCTTTAAACCTCTACAAAATAGTGAAAAAAATTATGTGTTTTAACATTTAATCTTGGAAATCTCAGATTGGTCTACGTTACCGGATTGGAGTATTTTTTTCTTGAGCCAGTTGCAAAAATATTGGTCTTAGGCAGCATTGGAGACTGAAAATAACCACGGTGCCGTAATTAACTAGAGTTCTGCTCTCTCAATCCAAGGATTAGCTGTGTGTATTTTCTTCTTTGTATTTTATGGTTTTTTATAACATTAATATTCCAATAACTAAATCTATTATAATTTAAACTTGTTATTATTCATATATCACAACTGTTATTATTGGTCATTTACTGTATGCCAGGCATGGTGTGAAGGCCTTTGCATTCATTATTTCATTGTATTCTTACTCTAGCCTTTCAAGGTATACAGAGAAAACAGAGGTTCAGAATAGTGGCTCAAAATTTAGTGACAATGCTGTGGCCCCACATTATAAGGATAGCAAGCAGTGTCAGGATGCAAATGAAGTCCATCAGATTTCAAAGCTATTACTCTATTACCCTTTAAAAATTTGTTATTTATTTACTTATTTTACTACACCTGGGGGTAGTAAATTTTCAGCAATAAAAAGCTATTGCTCTAAACCATTCCACTCTGCCCCTTTCTGTGAAAAACAGACAAATGATAGTCCAGCATACTAATTTAAGAAATTTACTTTTAAAAAAGAGAGAGTAAAATCAGATTGTAGATTTATGTCTGGAGCCCATCCAGACTAATCCTAAATTCCGAGACCTTTTTTTTTTTTTCATGTTGTAATAGTGGCTAGCATTGATTGAGGGTTTATTGAATGTCATGCTCCCTGCAAAGCACACAACAGGCATTGTCTCATTGTAATTCCCACTGCAACTCCACAAATTAAGATCCTGACCCTTAGTTTTCTACTAATGAGCTGTATGATTTTGAGAATATCATTTAACCTCTCTTTACAGATGAGAAAACTGAGGCTCTGCATGCCTGTCTAACTTGCCTGAGAGCTCAGAGCTGCGTCAGAGCTGATGCGCTGGCCATGACGCCTCTGCAATAGAGCAGAGATAATTTTCTCCCAGATCATGCCCTGGGGAACTTCCATCACCTCAATCAGCAAAGAATGACTCACTTATGTGTTCCCTATTGTATCCATTAAAGCAGAAAAATAGACTCATATATCTTACATTTTCAGTAACAGAGAATCCTAATCAGAAAGGAAAAAAAAAAAGCCATAGCATTCTATTTCTGAGCATTCTTGTTCATGGACATTTCATTCAGTTTAGAATCACGAAATCTTAAGGCTGGAAGATCAACCAGTCTATCATCCTGCTTTCACAGATAAGAAAACTGAGGTCCTGACATGTGAAAAGATTGATTTTTCTTAGATCACACAGCTAATAGTAGCAGAGCTTAAACTAAAATGCAAGTATCCAGGCTGCTGGTTCAGCATTTTTTCAATTTCTTATGGGAGTTAGTTCTATGTGAGCCCAGATATGTGAGCACATTTTTGCCCTGACAATGATTTCTGGCTTAATTTAATTTCTACTGAATTTAGTGTATTTACACACAGACACACACAGATACACACACACACACACACACACACACACACACACACGACGTAACACTATTTTAAGATACATATAATAGGATTTTTATGTTACAGTGCTATAATCACCTCCTCAGATTTCTTAGACCAATGATTGTCTAAGGATTGTATCGGCAGGACTAATTTCATATTAATTGTGTTCCATTATAGCTAGCACGAAGGCTCCATCCCACATCTTGATTTTAGGAATAGACAGTGAGGAATGCCAGTTAATAATCCTGTAATGTTCAATACCTTCACCTTATATATTATGTGTGTATGTTTTAATTGCAGTTTGAATGATATTGTTGCTGTGGGACCTGAGCACTTTTATGGCACAAATGATCACTATTTTCTTGACCCCTACTTACAATCCTGGGAGATGTATTTGGGTTTAGCGTGGTCGTATGTTGTCTACTATAGTCCAAGTGAAGTTCGAGTGGTGGCAGAAGGATTTGATTTTGCTAATGGAATCAACATTTCACCCGATGGCAAGTATGTGAACTCTCTGAAATGTAGTGGATTTACTCAGATTCTCAGGAGATATCTTGGAATATATTCTTTTTTTAAGTAATATGATACATTTTAACATGTTACCCTAGTGAGATAAAATTAGGAAAAATGTAAAATGTCTTAATTTTTCAGGGGGTGAAATTTATCAAATCAAAAATTTCATTGTGAAGGCATACTGGTTTTATTTCCTTTTTGGAAAGAAAGTACATTTTAAGAGGGGGAACTGTGATGAAGATTTGATATGTCTGAATAGCTTTGTTTTGAGTAAAGATGTGAGTGTATAATGAGTTGAATAGTATGCAGGTATAGATACGTCAGTAGTGCAGGTTTATGACAAGATGAGGAATTTGTACCAAAATGTAAATCAAGGCAATACTTCCTTCATCAAGAAAGTATTACTGTGAAAAACAAGTCAGTTTAACTAAGCAGTGTGCTTAGTGATGTATTTGATTTATAATGTTATCTCATGGTGAGCTATAACAAACAATTTGCAAACCAACATTGGTCTGGAGACTGCATTTTGGGTAGCATTGGTATATACATGAAATATCTATATCCATCCACATATATGCCCTTTCTCATCTTGTGTCATCATCAAGGATTTTAGAGTCCGTAACATATGCTTAGAGAAAGCAACAGGGGCCAGGTGTGGTGGTTCATGCCTGTAATCCTAGCACTTCGGGAGGCCAAGGTGGGTGGATCACCTGAGGTCATAGACCAGCCTGGCCATCATGGCGAAACCCCATCTCTACTAAAAATACAAAAATTAGCCAGGCGTGGTGGCGCACTCCTGTAATCCCAGCTACCAGGGAGGCCAGGCAGGAGAATTGCTTGAACCTGGGAGGTGGAGGTTGCAGTGAGCTGAGATTGCACCACTGCACTCCAGCGTGGGTGACAGAGCAAGACTCTGTTTTTTTTTAAAAAAAAAAAAAAGAAAGAAAGAAAGAAAAGAAAAAGCAAGCAAGCAAGCAAGTGAGAGCAACAGGGACAGGGACAGCTTTTAATTATTCATATCATAGACCAGTTTTCAAAAAATAGAAGATAATTGAGCAGTAATTTCTTTTTTTTGTTGGGGGGATGCACAGTGCTTAGACTAACCCCAGATCTTTGTGGGGTATGACTAAAGCCACAGGGTCAGGACCACACTCAGGGCAGAAGAGGAGGAAGACTTCTCTTGATCCAAGCCAAGCAGCTTTTCTTCTCTCATATTTTCTCTGGATTAAAACAAGGGGCTGTTGTCCAAGGGCTTTCCTGCAACTTTCCCGAGAGAGAACTCACTAGCCCCTGAAATGCAGAACCTGGGCCTTGACACTAAATTGTCAAACCAAAAGAGAAACGCTGTAATGCATTTTACTCCCAGATACTAAAAGTTAGTGTTAGGGCTAAGTTCCTCCCATACTGATAAGGACAACTATGTCCCCTCCTTCAGAAACAACTTTTCAGAGATTAAACCCCTCTGTCACTGTAAACTCACTGAGTTCTTTCAGAATTTGGTGTGTTTGAGGTGGGTTCCATTTTCCATTCCTTAAGCAAAGTTCTTCCCTATGAATAGGTATTACAACTTCATCTTAATCTCTCAAGTTGTGTTACTTCTAGTACTTTGATGTAGCTCTTTCTTCTTTGAAGGTATGTCTATATAGCTGAGTTGCTGGCTCATAAGATTCATGTGTATGAAAAGCATGCTAATTGGACTTTAACTCCATTGAAGGTAAGACGTATTAACACTGTAAGTCTGCAGAGTGATAATTAGATTCTAATTGATTTGTGAAATTAAATGTGAAGAAAAAAGGACTGCTTAATTGGGGTGGGTGAGAACCAATTTTTCACTCCTTTATTAAGAGTCATTAGCTTGGTTATGTGTTTGTTGTTCATTTTTACTCAACTGCAGAGTGGCAAACAGCAAACCCCACCTCTTACCCGTGAACCTTGCATTCTTTCTGCTCTAGCAAATTTTAAGCTTGGCATTGTGTTCCCAGATCCTCCTTCCATCCCTCCCTTCCTGCCTTTCTTCTGATCTCCCTCTCCTCCACCTTCCTTCCCTCTCCTCCCTTTTCTTTCTCTTTTTTCCTCTATGTTGATGGAACAGCCAAGAAATAGCCTCAAATTGTACTTTATGCAGGGCTGCTCTCCACAATGTTTATGAAGTCCACGTGCTCACGATGGCTGCTAGGTGACCTGGCTGCCCCTCACCTCTCTGCCTTTACCTCCAACCATTGTGTCCCTGCCCCACGTCTCCTGCCACTGTCTCAGAACGGGGCACCATTCCCTCTGCTAGGAGGAGAAACCTTCCTCCAGATCTCCATGACCCCCTCCTTCATCTCCTTTCATTTTTACTAAAACGTCACCTCGATCTTCAAAACCTGGAACTGCTCCCTCCCGCTACGTATTTTCCCTCGCCTTTCCTGCTTTATTTTTCCATTCAGCACGTATTGCTAACATACTATATATTTTATTCATACCCTTTATTACCTGATTCCCCAACTAGGGTGTAAGCTCCACAAGGACAGGCTGTTTTTCTATTTGCTTCTGGTACAATTCACATTGACTAGTTGGCACTTAACAAATACTTGTTAAATTACTGCGGTGGGGCTGGGCATGCTTCAGGGATTCACCTGCTGCCCCCACCAATTCTGGTCATCTGAAGGTTGGAGTCAAAATGGGTGAAAACACAAAGGAGAGGAAAAAGAGACCAAGAGCAAACTAGAGCCCTAAGAAAGCAGCCCTCTACCTCCGAAAAACAGCAAGACGTTGCTTTCCTGCCATAAACGCCCACTGCAGGAAGCACTGTCAGCGCCAATTGTATGACTGTTCCTGTCAGCACATCTGAGAGACTGTCATGAGGGGCCTCACTCAGAGAAAATTACCTTAAAGCAACATCAAATGTAACATCGTGTTTGACATTAAAAATCACTGGCAGGGCTAGTTTGGTATTAGCTCAAGTAAAATGGAATTTCACACGCTCATACTGGCTAAGGGAATAAAAAACAAGCTGCGGTTTTAACAACAGGTATTTCTGTAAAACAAAAGTTAAAGAATTTTATGAGAATAGAACCCAATGTAACAGACATTCACCACAGAATGTCAAGGCTCTGCTCTCACCAGGGTGAGACTGAGGGCAAGGCCAGTTTCAGCAACAGACCAGGCCTGTCTCCCATCATGAAAACCCCAAAAAGGTTCTCCATCAATTGTCACATTATTCTTTCTTTTGAAAGACCGTATTAATTAATATCAGTTAATTAATGCCCGAGAGTGCCAAGTAATTTGATAAACTAGCTGAGGCTATTCTTAAATTTGTGATGAGGTGTGGATGGGTTTATGTCCAATTGGATATTGTTCAGCCTTAAAAAGGAATGAAGTTCTTGGCCGGGTGCGGTGGCTCACACCTGTAATCCCAGCACTGTGGGAGGCTGAGGTGGGTGGATCACGAGGTCAAGAGTTCAAGACCAGCCTGGCCAATATGGTGAAACCCCGTCTCTACTAAAGGTACAAAAAATTAGCCAGACATGGTGGCACATGCCTATAATCCCAGCTACCTGGGAGACTGAGGCAGGAGAATCACTTGAACCTGGGAGGCGGAGGTTGCAGTGAGCTGAGATCACACCATTGTACTCCAGTCTGGGCAACAAGAGCAAAACGCCATCTAAAAAAAAAAAAAAAAAAAAAAAGGAATGAAGTTCTGATACCTGCTACAACATGGATAAGCCTTGAAAAACATGATGCTAAATGACATAAGCCAGCAACAAAAGGATAAATATTGTACGATTTACTAATAGGAAGTACCTAGAACAGGCAAATTCATGGAGACAGAAAATAGAATAGAATGGTGATTGCTAGGAACTTGGGGGAGAGAAGAATAGGGAGCTATTGTTTAATGGGTACAGGATTTCTATTTGGGGCTGATTAAAAGTTCTGGAGAGGGATGGTGATGATGGTTGCACAACATTGTGAATATACTTAATGCCACTGAGTTTTACACTTAAAAATGGTTAAAATGTCAAATTTTTATATATTTTACCACGATAGAAATAATTCTCTCCTCTCTCCAAAAAAAGATTCCAGGACTTAGTCAATGAATTAGTCACACTTCAATGAACCTCAATGCGCAAAAACCTGGAATATTTGTTAACAGAGAATACTCTGTTTTTCCCAAAGAGAATAATTTATTATGTTTTCTTGACCAAGGAATGCGAATTTTTCGAGTTGCCTTTGTGGGAGTGTGAGATGTGATACGCAGGGGTCTTGCATGAGTTAGCATGGAGAGGAATTATTTATTTGCAAGGCAAAGAGTTCATTGCTGGACTCAGAACAGGCTCCCTGCTAGACTGTCAGCACTTCCATGGCATGAGCTGTGTCTGCTGGGTACCTGGTGCTCTCCAGGTGTTGCGTTCCTTGCAGAGCTCATGTAGGAGCTCAGTAATTGTGTCTTGAATGAATGGGACCCCAGGTTTCTGTGTCCTTCTCCCACTCCCACTCTCATCTCAGGTTTCATCTGCCGTGGAATTCACCAATTGGCTGTACTGCTTCCAAAGATAAGAGCAAAGCCCTGAAACAAACATTTTCCTCATTCAAAGACATTATGGTATCAGAGTGGTGTGCTGACACTGGGATGGACAGGGGTTTAGGGATGGAGAAAGCAAGCATGGAGCCGCCTGTCTTGCCTGTCTCTGGGGTAAGAAAGACTGATGGCTCTGCATGGTGGCGAGACTGAGGCTCTGCCATGATGCTTGAGCCCTCTAATCCCTCCTTGGGCATGTGAGGAACAGCTCTCATTTTGAGTAGGAGGCACAGGGAAACGTTGGTTTTCTGCAGCTGTCTGCTTATGCCCTGGCTTTTTCAATGAGTCATGACCAGTTATTTACAGGTTCTCTGGGCACTGAGGTATGCTGGCCTCTGAGGTACATGGTAGATATTATTTCTCCAACTGAGAATTAGAGGTAAACAAATAGATGGGATTTCTCCCCAGTAGAAGGCAGCCAAGATGATGAATGGTGGAATTAAGAATCATTGGTATTATTTATGATCCTTGTACAAAGCCTCGACAGCAATCTGTGCAGTCATCAAATGCTTGCAACTTATATTTAGAGAATAAACAGCAGAAGAACGGGGAGTTGAACAACATCAGGAAACTAAAGAACAAACTTTTCCTCAACTACAAGGCAAAAATGAGACCCTGGGTGATCATTTCTTCTCTGGCTGCACAGCCTATGATTAGCCATTAAAGAGTCCACATTTCATT
Source organism: Homo sapiens (assembly GCF_000001405.40). Lineage (NCBI taxonomy): Eukaryota > Metazoa > Chordata > Mammalia > Primates > Hominidae > Homo > Homo sapiens. The sequence continues at coordinate 95,302,756 of NC_000007.14, read as the reverse complement.
GATATTCTTCTGAGAAAGAATCTACATTTCCTGGTTGTTTTCTGAATGCTTATAAAAATATCATTACCACATGCCATTTTAGAAGGAGATGTTTTATGATGCACCGAAAACTTCTTTTTTTTTTCAGTTTTAGGTTCATGCACAGATGTTGGTACAAATGATTTTGTCTAACTTTTAACAGTCTTTCTTGGCTTTCTGTATCTTCACCCTACCCAATTCTGCCCTGGAAACTGACAAAATACTAGCATAGATGAAAGGTCAGAGAAATTTTGTGAGTCTTATTGAAATGGGGCAGAATTGTATCCTTGGAAGCAGCAGCGTGGTGACCAAGGACAAGAGGCAACTTTTCTCTGATATATTTTGCTCCATCACAATTGTGTTTTACTTTATGTCTTGTTCTTTTCTTGTTTTTAATCTTTTAAGTCCCTTGACTTTAATACCCTCGTGGATAACATATCTGTGGATCCTGAGACAGGAGACCTTTGGGTTGGATGCCATCCCAATGGCATGAAAATCTTCTTCTATGACTCAGAGAATCCTCCTGCATCAGAGGTAAGTTTTAAAAATGAACCAGATAAGTGACTTTATTCCCAGCTACTGTTTTTTCAGTTGACAACATAATTCTCAATTCTTGGTTTTTTTTTTTTTTTTTTTTTTTTTGTGACAGAGTATCGCTCTGTCGCCCAGGCTGGAGTGCAGTGGCGCAATCTTGGCTCACTGCAAGCTCCGCCTCCCGGGTTCACACCATTCTCCTGCCTCAGCCTCCCAAGTAGTTGGGACCACAGGCGCATGCCACCATGCCTGGCTAATTTTTTGTATTTTTTTTTTTTTTTAGTAGAGACAGGGTTTCATCCTGTTGGCCAGGATGGTCTTGATCTGCTGACCTTGTGATCCACCCGCCTCGGCCTCCCAAAGTGCCGGGATTACAGGCGTGAGCCACCGTGCCCGGCCAATTCTCAATTCTATGTGCAAATAAAAGGGGGGACATGGATAGATGATCCAAATGATCAGAAATGAAGGCTTTTGGAGGTGCTTTAGTCAGAGTCTAGGCAAGAAACACATGGCACACTTAAATTGGATAATTTGAGGGGAGTTTAATCAACGGACTATACACAAAATGTGTGGACACAGTGTAGGGTAATCAACAGAGTTATAATGCAGTACCCCAGGGCTAGCAAGGGAGGGAGGAAATGAATACCAGAAGCCAGAACAGGTAGACGGTGGTGGGTGGAGAGGGTTGCCTGACAGGAACTTGGCCTCTGGTTAAGGGATCCTCAAAGAACATAATGATGCCATACTGCTATGGTTTAATCATTCATTACCTGCCTTCCTATTCAACTCCCCCTTCCTGTGTGGCGGTATACGCACAGGTCCATGCAATGGACCAGTCCTGGAGCACACTGGCCAGCCTCTCTAGATCTTCCTGCAGGTGGCAAGATAAATAGCTGGAATTATTCTGGCTTAGAAGATCTCATCTTCCACCTTAGTTACAGTACTCAAAGGTCCCATTTTTTGTCCACGGTCTTTATTCAGTGAACTATTTTGGGTACAAGTAAGAATTTGCAACCTACTTCAATATAGGTATTTGCACATTTACTGAGTTTTCAGTATCTACTAAGGATACTTATTACTTACATCATATATATGATATCATCTTGACATATTTGTCTACTGCTGTGTATTGTTAAAGCTCAGTTTTAAGAGTCCATTTCACCTGCCCAACAGGAAAAAAAAAAGTGTTAAAGCCCGTATCTCTTGGGTTAAAAAAAAAAGAAACAAATGTGTATTTCCATTTACATTATGGCTCTCTTACCTTTTATCTCTAGGTTTGCAGGACAATTGTGATCATGTTTAATGGCAACCCTTTGTGCCTTTTGCTAGTTTTTAGCTATTAGGGTTGCTGAATGGTATGTTTAATAGAATTGAAGAAATGTATGCTGTGGAGTGTTCAGTGCTCAGAACTGAGCAGAATGTTAGATTCTAATTTGTTCTTGCTTGTTAGCTCATTTAGTAACCTTGGGTCATTTGCTATAGCATGGACTTGGTTTGTTGTTCTGGAGAAAATACTTCATTTCTAATGATTGATCTGCAAAGGAGTAGCAAAAAGTAGTAACAATTCCTTATCCAATGCACTGCCCCTAGATGAGTGATTTAGTTTTATTAACAAGAAGCTTAGCTAAGCCAAGGTGTACCATCAACTATTTCCCTGTAACTACTACATGTTAATGCTATGGCAACTTCCTAAGACATCTGTCTTTGGTGCCAGCTGTTTTTAAGAGGTCATTTTGAACGTTCCCACAGACCCTTTTATATCCACGCAGTGGCCTTCACCGTCTGCCACATTTGTGATGTAGATATCCTTTCTTCAAGTCATTATATATTATCATAAAGGCTTAATAATAGAAAGCTAGAGCTGAAGGGGAATTTAGAGATAATCTAGTCCCACCCATTTCATTCTACAGATGAGAAACAAATGTGAGTGGAAGATCCAAGACATGACCCAGGTCTCCCACCTCAGTGTAGTGCTTTTCATACTAAGTTGAATCACACGCTATTGCTATTTTTTACAGTCAGAATGATCAGATATTGGCTATTTCATATGGTTGGCTTAACATGATACTACACTGTTATTATTGATACAATCACATTTCTCCTCAATTAAGTGAAGGAAACTGAACTTACAAAATCTTATACATTTAGAGACAGGAGGTTAAGTTCAGAACACATGAGTATGGTACACAGATATGGTTTTTTGAGGGCCACATTTTTTTTCTTGTCTGCATTTTAAAAACCAGGAATTAAGTGTAAACATCCAGTTAGTTCCCTGGCTTACCTGAAAATACATGAAAACGGACCTTAATTACTGCATGGCAACAGTTTGGCTATTGCTGAGTGTATTAGTCAAGGTTCCCTAGAGGGACAGAACTAATAGGATATATATATATGTAAAGGGGGTTTATTAAGTATTAACTTACCTGATCACAAGATCCCACAGTAGGCGGTCTGCAAGCCTGAGGAGCAAGGAGAGCCAGTCTGAGTCTCAAAACTGAAGAATTTGGAGTCTGATGTTTGAGGGCAGGAAGCATCAGCATGGGAGAAAGATGTAGGCTGGGAGGGTAGGCCAGTCTCTCCTCTTCATGTTTTTCTGCCTGCTTTATATTCGCTGGCAGCTGATTAGATTGTGCCCACCCAGATTAAGGGTGGGTCTGCCTTTTGCAGCCCACTGACTCAAATGTTAATCTCCTTTGGCAACACGCTCACAGACACCCAGGATCAATACTTTGCATCCTTCAATCCAATCAAGTTGACTCTCAGTATTAACTATCATACTGAGTAACAGCTTCCTCCCTCCACATTTACTGAAATCCCCACTGCTCCCTAATGTCCCACATCCAGGATGCGCTGCTCATTTGCATTTCCTGCCTCATCCCTGTAGGTCTAGATACTCTCCACCTCTGCTAAAGATCACTTGAGATCAGTACCCACCTGTTCCCAAATGAAGAAACAGGTGTGTTAAGTGTAATTTTGGAACAAAATAGGATTTATCTCATTGTATAAGATTATATGGCTTCTTATGGAGGATGACCCTATTATGCATAAGGTTGTTTTAAGTGACTTAACAAAAATATTAACCCAATGTTATTTCTTCCACAGGTGCTTCGAATCCAGAACATTCTAACAGAAGAACCTAAAGTGACACAGGTTTATGCAGAAAATGGCACAGTGTTGCAAGGCAGTACAGTTGCCTCTGTGTACAAAGGGAAACTGCTGATTGGCACAGTGTTTCACAAAGCTCTTTACTGTGAGCTCTAACAGACCGATTTGCACCCATGCCATAGAAACTGAGGCCATTATTTCAACCGCTTGCCATATTCCGAGGACCCAGTGTTCTTAGCTGAACAATGAATGCTGACCCTAAATGTGGACATCATGAAGCATCAAAGCACTGTTTAACTGGGAGTGATATGATGTGTAGGGCTTTTTTTTGAGAATACACTATCAAATCAGTCTTGGAATACTTGAAAACCTCATTTACCATAAAAATCCTTCTCACTAAAATGGATAAATCAGTTATGTCAATTGTCAGATATTAAATAACAGTGTGTGACCCCAAAAGTACTTACCCTAAAACATGTGTTGCCTGGAAGCACATGTGTGTATCGCTGCCTTGCCATGTCTTGTTCAGAAGACACAGGGGAGCAGGGTTAGCTCACGTGTCTTTAGAACTCCAGTACTCACCCAGGGACTCCAGTTCACAGGCCAGAAAACATATGCATTATGAAGTTCCCCTCTACTCCATGCACATAGTAAGTCTGACTATGGCAGTCAGACTTACTTACTCCCATTTTCCCTTCGATATATGACTTTTTCTCAGTAAATATTAACCTGAATTATTCCAACTCCCCTTGTACTCTTGCTTTTTCAATTCTCCTGTTGCAATGACACATAGGAAAATCTTAAAATTCTTGGGAGTGTTGTCACACCTGAAAATTATGAGTCTCTATGATCTTGGCACAAATTGTACATTTGAGTGTCTTTGACTTGGTTAAAGGAAGTTTGTTCACTTCGATGACTGGATACAGAATGAATCCCATAATTGACATGGGCGAAGCTAAAAGTGTCCCCAAAGACTACACTGTTGTTGAGGTGGTGGTAGTGCTGGTGGGTTTTTGTTTAATATTTAAACTTCTTGTTGTGGAGGCTGAAAAGAAAAAAAATAATAGAAAGGTAAACAAACAAATAAATAGAAAAGATCAACAACCCCTTTGGCTATCTACTGAGACATGACTAGGAAGAAAACATGACTTTATCATTTTGTTATAGAAACTGATATATAAAGGTTACACATTTTCATTTATTTGTTTTTCTGATTTGAAGGTATAACCTTCATGATGAATTACTTCTTCAGGGTGTTAAGGCAGTGACTTTAGAAACAAATTTTTTTCTTGTTTTTGTTTTGTTTTTGAGACCGAATCTCACTCTGTTGCCCAGGCTGGAGTGCAGTGGTGCGATCTTGGCTCACTGCAACTTCTACCTCCGAGGTTCAAGAGATTCTTGTGCCTCAGCCTCCCGGATAGCTGGGACTACAGGCACACACCACCATGCCCGGCTAATTTTTGTATTTTTAGTAGAGACGGGGTTTCACCATGTTGGCCAGCCTGGTCTCGAACACCTGACCTCAGGTGATCCACCCGCCTTGGCCTTCCAAAGTGCTGGGATTACAGGTGCGAGCCACCACACCCAGCCAGAAACGAAGTTTTTCTAAGGCACTTGTTATGATGATAGTCTGGCATTTCCGGGAAAATGTTTTGCCAATAAATTGAGAACCACCAACAGTTGTTTAAGAATCACTGACTTGAAGTAATAAACAGGAACATTTTGTTTGGGTCAAAAAACCACTTTATTCACAGCAAGATTGGAGTTACTCATGATTCCAGTGACATAATATCCCGTGCCCTACATGGGCTCAATTTTTCTGAGATGCTGCTCACAGCCCAGGATGCTGGGTTCTCTGAAAGACTGTCTTGAAATTATCAATGAGTGTGATGCTTAGGGAACACCCCCAACATATTTCATTATTTAGAAAGAAAGAATTTCCTGAGTAGTTAGGCTCCCTAACATCTTCAATAAAATGACCACATTCTGTTCTTTCTTGTTCTTGATGATAGATAAGCAAATTCCACTGAAGAAACAAAAGCCTATCCAATTTGACACAGCACATACTCAAGATCACTCAAAAAGGGACATGGCTTGGTTAGAAATTTCATAACATACATTGTGAAAAAGAGGAAAACAGCTTAATTCATGTATTCTGTGATTCCCAGATCTAAATTTTCGCACTGACATAGGCTTAGTCACATATAAATTATAGTTTGCGTGTGTAAGAATGAATGAAATTAATAGCCCTCACTTATTTTTAAGGCTTTAGAAAGAATATTGTTTAAAATAACCCCATACTCTACGATGGTCCTGATTCTTCCTTAGCTTGCCCCTCGCTATGTGAGACTGACTACTTAATGGATTTGTCACAGAGGTTTTCCTGGCTGAGAGATATCAGAGACTTTGATGGTGAAGCAGCGACAGGGGAACAAAATGACGGGCGAGGAAGCTTCGAGTGCAGGCTTTGCTCTTTTAACTTTATGCCCAGTTCCATAATTGTGCTTTCAAATGTAATTTCTAGCTGCCAATTTACACTTTACCACAGTTAAGACTTAGTTTCATTTCCATGAAAAATGTGCACTTTGCTCTTGATTGACAGATATATGCTTTGACAATTGATACAGGTTTACCCAGTCAAGGCTTGTTTTAGTTGAAGGTGAAAATGGAAGAGGGAAAAAAAATTGCTTCAACAGACCTCAGTATTTCTTTTTATTGCATTCGTTGTCTAACAACAATAATACTCATTGGCAAGAAATTTATTTACACTAACAAATTAAATTTAATCACAGGTATTGTTAGATTGGTCAGAAAACAAAAGACCACTGTGATATTTTGCTTGAATGCCTCTGAAAACCAAAGAGTAAGGAATGTCATTTGAAACTTTTTGAACAATCTAGAGAAGTACATATTAACCAAGCACAAGAGAACAATTCAGACGTGGCACTATTGTCTCTTCCATGCAAATGATCAGACATCAAAATGTACAAATTAAAAGCTTAGGTAACATGCTATCCATACTTATCAGACTTAAAATTATTTTCAAACAATTCGTGTTCTTTACTGATATACAAAGAAAGCTGAAAAGAAATCAACTTCTTACAGTGGAATAGAATTTATTCTCTTTTATTTTCAGCTGCCCAGTTTTGTCAGTAAGGTGTAGCAGGTGTACAAGTGGTTGCAACACCATTAAAAAATATAAAAGCAGTAGTTATATTAAATAATGTTGAAGAAAACATATACATATATATTTAAGGAATTTCACTAAGCACTAACTAAATTTCATGTTGTTGGGAGGTGTTATCTGGCTGGAGTGCCTCTTAATTCTTTTTAAGGTAATTTAATTATTTCTTGCCAATTGTTCTTTCTTGAATGAATGATTACATCCTTAACAGAAAACCTGGGTGTATAAATAATACAGCTGAAAGAAACAGAAGTGTACACCTTCCAACAACATACACTCCCAACCACTTGTGTTGTTTTTGGCAACAACCAAAATGCCATTGCTTGCACAAAAAGTAAATAAATGATCATATGATGGCAACATTCATCATAAGAGAGCCAGTAGGCAGTGACTGTAAGCATCACAGCCACCAATTATGTCATTTTAGAATTGTGAGCAAATTCACAAGAACACACAGTGCAATTTTTAGCTGCATACATTTCTTCTGAGCTCCAACTCAGCAATATGCAATCTTGACATCAAAGCATTAGCCAAATATTTGAGGAAATTTTCTTACTAAAATACCAAGTATCTGATAAATCAATTTTACCAAAATATATAAACATATAGAAGGATAAGTGCATTTAGTAGAAATACTTACAATAAAAAAATCTCTTAAAATCTATGAGCCATTCAATGTATACACAACGCAAGAAGTGGCAATAAGGCTATGATTACAGCTCCAGGTCCTGACTGACCTCGCCAAGTTCCATACACAATATATTTTTTAATGCCATGTGATTGCAGTGTGTGTGCGTGTGTAAGGTGGGAGTGATATTCACACATATGTAGTTCTGAACATCTACACAAACGGCATGCACATTGTTGAGAAGTTATCTGTTCTCTTATTGCATACATCTTACTCACTGTTGAATCCCTAGCAGTTTTGGGGTTGGGTTAGGGTCAAGCATAGGAAATCATCATATTTCTTTCCTTCTCCACTCTTGAGGATCTGGAATCAGGTCACAGACTGTGCTGGGTCCACACGCTTACATATGTGAACCTTCAAGTAACTACCATTCCCTCAATAGGCCCACATAGACACCACGGACAAGCAAATAAGGACCCTCTGTCTACCATAAATAGAACTTGATGCTTTCACTTTCCAGGAGAAGCTGATTCTGTCGGCTTTCTCTTTGCCCCTCCAACTTCTTAGTTGGGCCTATTCTATGCTGCTACTTCAAGTTACTCAAATGTGTTTTGTCTGGTGTTATTTTTTTCTCCAGTGTTTTGGACCAAGACTAGATTTCCTGAGACTTTAAATACGCAAGACAAATGCAAACAAAATCTGCCAACATACCCAGGCTGCTTTTCAGGAGTGAATCACTGAAGCGCATTTGGATTTCCTATAACACTACTTTCTTTTGGGAATGTACAGCCCTCCCCCAGCTCCCCATCCCCCATCATAATGTAAACCATTCTAATAGAAAATATGGATGTTTTGGCTGGGGGTGGTGGCACATGCCTGTAGTCCCAGCTACTTGGGAAGCTGAAGCAGGAGGACCACTTGAGCCCAGGAGTTTGAGGCTGCAGTAAGACATGATGGCACCACTGCAGTCCAGTCTGGGTGACAGATGACAGAAAAAAAAAAAAAAAAAGAAAAGAAAAGAAAATATGGACATTTTATTTCTGGACTTTATCCTTAAATGCTTAGCTTTAGAATAGTGCACAGGTACATCCTTAATAAAAAGTAAATTTGAAAAGACAGGAAAGGACTGTGCTTTTCTCTTCCATTTTACCTTTTCATTCTGAGACCACTAAGGTCTTTGCATTAAGTAGGTGACGTGAACCCTAGTGACCACTGCCCACCAAAATGCCCCTCATCTCCAGCTCTGTCAGGAGTACCTTTAGTTACTCAAATGGAAATATCTCAGTGTAATGATGGGGCTACAACATATCCAAAGTATAGATGGTTCTCTCAGGGCTGCTGGGGCAGCTTCCTTTAGAATCCTCTAGAACACTATTGTTAAACACTGGATCTCCTCTTGAAGTTTAGTCTGCATAACCTTTAACACTTAAACATGAATCAGAGTATCTATATAAATGCAAATTTTCATTTCCCTTTTATAAAATGCAATTTTCAAGCACATGCTAATTCTGGTGCACAATGAACCCAGACAAATTTGTCTTCAGCACAAACTCTAACGGCCGAGGTGCTAGATCAAACCACCTGTGACCATTTTTGTAGCTTGGGACTGGGATATTTTAAGATTTCAGGCTAGTGATGATTACAGGGTCACAGATAGTGGCAAAGGTAAATCTGGTTCCTCATTTTCCCTCTTGCCACTTTGTTTCCAACAACAATGGAGCAAAAGGTGACAGTCCCATTTTGTGCCAGTTGAAAGCTGAGTTTGGCTTTAGTACCTATCATACTGCAATCATGAACTGCTGTGGGTTAAAAAAAGCTTGTGATGTTGAGGGTGTGAAATCAATTGTCAATCCCAGCTAAAGGATGATAGCCACAGAACAGCTTTATTGTCATGAAACTAAAGGGGGACTTCATCAGGAGTGTTAGAATGGATGAAATGAGGTTTCTTCCCTAACTTAACATTCTGCAGAAAATTCCTGATTCAGGTAAAAAAAGAATGAGATTAGTATTACATAAACTGTGAGTTACTTGAAGGGAGATGGTCTTAAACAAAGTAATCTGTTATAAAACTAACATCCTTTAATGGGAAACCCTGACCCAGATACAGCTCATACAATGCTTTCTGTCTGCAGCTTGGCCTCCTCACCACACATTCCCTCCCAACAAAGCATAACCTATACCCCAAAACACTTTTGGCTATTGTTAGAATCATACTGAGCTCTCCTTTAGGGAATCAGTTCATAGCAACCAGATATTCCCTTTTTGTTCATTTTCTGATAATAAAAACTGCAGTTTTTAAGGTTGATGAAATAACAATTCTGTGTTAAATTGTAAGGACACTGAAAACCACTAGCATTAAAGTAGGAATTGTGCAAGACATTGGAGCCTTGATTAGGTATCATGCACTACAGTCAATAAAAGAAATAATAGGAAAACAAAATGTGCACAAGATCTGAGGTCTTTCACTTTGCTTTCATACCCTTAATCAGTTTACATCTTATGCTTTGTGGGGCAATCAAACCAAATGACTTTTACAATTTCATCCGTTTTAAGTGGTAATGTTAAAATAACTCACTTCGGCCTAAAATTACTATAATTTAACTTAAAAAATCAAAATACTTATAATACTAAATGATTTTAGGAATAAGAATTTGATTTATAACATTGTCAGTTGGACATTTATCTAAACATTCAATATACAAAGTTATAAAGAAAAATACTTCTAAGATATTTAAGAAAATGCAATATAATAGATCATAAATTAGGTGCAAAAACAAGACACTTACAGACATTTCCAGTATATACATCCATTTTCAAATATTACCAAAGTGTAAACATAACTTAAGATAATCATCCTTCTATTTCTACTCTTGAATACAGTGAAACTTCCAGTGTGATCCAGGTCACTTTTTTCCCAAAGATAAGCAAAAATGGCAAAAATTTACAATAGCAAGCACTAATATTACCAGATTTTTACTAATTTAGTGTTTTAGTATTTGAAAAGTTTTGCCAAATTGTATCACTCATTAATAGTGGCTTCTTATTTCTCATGATGTGAAAAAATAACAAAGCACCAGACATCTCAAGACATTAATAGAGTATCCAATACGGCAGTTTCATTATCATACCCCTAATGAAGACAGACAGAAAAACATAATGGTGACTTTGATAACTGTAAAACACAATGTTACTTCATGTCAACGTTTCTGAGGATTGAATGAAGGGTCTGTACCTAATGACAAAAGAGCTGACGCATAACCGACAATACTCTGGCAATGAAAAGAAAACAGGCCTTGGGGGTAAAACAGAATTAAAAATGTCCAGTTTAGATAATTTCTGAATTCAGATTTTCAGATAAAAAAAAATCACACTGTTATTAAAATACAAGATGGGGCTACAAGGGAGTTCCCTTAATCTGTTACACTCAAAAGCCTTGCCGAGGCTCTAAATATGGAATACTTCTAGTGGAAGATACGAGATGCTGGGAACAGAGCAGAGATTCCCATAAAGTAAAAGAAGTAAAATACTGTCCAAGAATTCATGTGGCCTCAAGTCTTATTCTGAAACTTGTCCTTTGGAAAGTGGATAACCTCATTTTTAGAGTCAACGCAGCAAAGAGAACCAGATACATGAGCATAAAAAACAAAAAACCCTCATCACATGAAATTTCTCAAAACGAGTTTATTTTCTCCTTCTTCTGCCCCAGTCTCCTGCACTTGACTTAGTTTGGTGAAACATGGAAATCCTTAATGCTGGCTTAAAATTAGTATAAGTTCCTCCACTACTAAAGTATACCTATGCACTGCCTTAAACAAACTTTTTCTGTAAAATTGAGAATCTTTGAAGTATGGAAAGGAATGGTTCGGAAAAACCATTCAAAATCTCTCTAAAATGTTAACTGACAGTTTCCTCTAACTGGTATTTCTATTTTTCTTAAAAGTACATTTGTTAAAATACTAACTGAGCCCACCTGGGAAATCTTGAGTAGAAAATATGTGATGAGTTCCTGATTGTGACATAGGCAGGCTGAAGACCAGCCAGAATGTTCCCCAGGAGAGGAAACCTGAAAATGGTGGTTTCCTTAAAAATCAATTTCCTGTTCAATTTCTTGGGTTAGGTAGGGGGAAGAGGAACTGTGTTGTGTTTGCCAGTGTTGCTGAAATGCTGAACACACAGCAGTAGCAAGGTCAACAGATCCCAATATCCCATGGCTGCATTAATGTCTGATTTTTTTCTTTCTTGTTCAGCCGTATCTAGAGGATAAATATTACCCTCAGAACCCCAAGGTAATACCCACATCCACATTCTTAAGGCTTTTGCTTTTTTCAGTGGTTAACAAATAGCTATAATTTATTTTCTTTCTTTTTGATGCCTAGCAAGCAGAATGACTTGCTTGCCTTTTCCCTTAGTAGGTAACTACAGAGCAGAGCACCCATGTTTCCACAGCGGGGTGGTCTCACTGTCCAGACTGAGAATTAAGAGCAAATCTTTCCCACACATTGGAGTAGGTGTTGCAGTCCTAGAAGTTAAGTACTGGTCTCAGATCTCATGGCAGGGTGCTCTCTGCCATGCAGACATGTGCAATTGCCATTTCAGGATCCCACACTGAAAATTCACGGCGCTCCATTAACAACACCAGGGTGTGTCATGCTCTTGGGTGGGGTCACACTAGTTCTCCAAGTGACAAAACACACCCAACACAACACAAGATGTTGGTAAGTTAGAGAAGAGCAAAACACAGCTACTTAAATGAAATCTCTGGTTTGTTAATGAACCAAAGGTGGCTTGGGATTATTTTAGTAGTTAAAATTAAGAGTGCATTCTATTGCAGAAAATGCAGTTATTCAACACACAGTTCCTCAGCCGGCCTAGAGCCGCATTACCCTTATCATTTAGTTTCTTTTTCATCCTCTGGAGGAGAGCAGGGCAGGAAGAGGTGGGGACTTCTCTTGGAGCATCTCCATCATCTGTAAGAGGGTATGTGTTACTGCTCACCAGCACCCTCGGCTGTAGTTGACGTCATCTTTTCTGTCTTTTTGGACTTCCTCTGCATTTGCTCTTGCTCCTTTCTCCTTAGCTTTTCTCTTTGTTTTTCCATTTTCTCTTGGGCCTTCCGAGCCTTCTCTAGAGACATCTTCATTTCCTTGAGTTTCTTTTTGACCACTGCTCGGTCCTGGGATGCTGTCATTCCAAGAGCCTAAGAAAGAAACACACACACAAACTGAATTTGAAAACCAATGAGCCCTCTGATGGTGTTAACATACCATATATCCAAGTTCGTAAACTAATTCAAACATTGAAGAGGTAAGAACAGAGGAAGAACTAGTTACATTTGCTAAAAACCAACACACTGGGGGCTACCCTTTATTTTTTCTTTTGTTCTTTGAAGTCCCTTGCAAAGTATACCCTAAAGCTCATTAATTAAATGCTTTCCAAATGAGTAATTAATGGGTGAATGAATGGAAAAAGGGCACAATTCTACTTCTCCAACCTTTGGGCTGTAGGCATTTACGGGTAAAGGTATTGCTAAACTCATCAATATTTTCAAAGCATAGGAGTGAGCACCTGCTGTCACAGAGGGCTCCAAGAAGGGCAAGAAGAATTGAAATGGCTTCCTTTCTGCCAATGTTTTCATTACAATGAGAACCAAAAATGTCTTTGGGGCCAGAATGCTCGTGTCAGCATGACTAGCCATTCTTTCCCTGTAGGCAGACCTATAAAGGAAGTTGATTATAATGAGGAGGTTGCTCGATGAACTTAGAATTCAGAATAAGGGGAGTTGCTTATGTACTTTAAATGTTTCGTGACCTTCAGAATCAACAGCAGGATGCATCTATCTATCTCCCCAACAGGGACAGCCTTGTCAATGAGGCCTTCATATTCACAAGCTATTGATTGATCTCTAACCTTTTCAAGATTGTCAAGAGATACTCGTCTGCCCGTCAGCCCAGCAGGGGGCTGAGGCGGGGGTGGGGCTTGGGGGTACATGGAGTTGGCTGTAAGCACCTTTTTCCCTTTCCCAAAGGGATGGATGCCACCTTGGTCTCTAAGAGAGATGGACTGGACAAGTGGAAATGAAAGTGCCATGGAGGGGAGGGAAGATGTGTGTACATATTTGGGGAAAAAACTTCTGGGGAGAACATCATCCCAGTTTGGGAGTGGTGTGTAAGGAAGAGTGGAGGTGAAGGAGAAATGAACAAGGAAAAGAAGACTCGTGGATCTGGGTCTTAATTCTAATGTGATGAAAAAGTCCACAGTGGCCATTATTAAAACTCATACTACATCAGATGTAAGGAGAGTTAATATATGGACCATGTGTTGCCAGGTGGAAGCAATGGAGTGGGTCCCTCACTCTCCTAATCAGCAGCCTACCATTTGATTTGGAACCCCTGATGGACTTTCTGAGACTTCATTTACTACTCAGAAAGAATTCAACATCCTTTCTGCTGAATATTGATGAGAATTACCTCTCAGATATGCAGAATGCTCTTACCTAATGAAAACATTTTAGGTGATATGAGTAATACAAATTATACCTGGTAACCTAAGACAGACATATAATTCTTTACCTTAAGTTTATTTCCATCCAACTGCAGGAGCTGTTCTCCAGTGATGTTTTGGGCACTGAATTCAGATACATACTGCTCCAGATTTAGGCTCATTAACCAGTGAGAAACCTGCTGCACACTCCATTCCTGAACGGCCCGATTCTGACACTGACTGTGTTTGGGAGACTGTCCATCATCAAGGATCTAAGATAGGAATGTTACGTAGTGTTGTTAAAGGACCAAGATACTATGGCTCATATTATGCTATCAAAAGGAATTTCTTAACCTATGAGAGCCACATTTATGTTTAAACCAAAATATGATAAGCTAATGGTTCTAGTGGTGTTAGAAAAAATACTTATTACCTATATGTTTTTATGTTTTTAGAAGTTTAGAAATTCCCCATAATAAAAAAGCACCATTATTAATGTAGGAAGTTTAATATTGAAGAAAATATATTAATGTTGCAAGCTTTTACATCAAAACAGTCTGGACAGATTATAAGATGTAGAAAATAAATATTTCATAAATTTCTATATGCAATGCATCACTTATCCTCTAATAAGACATTGGAATTTTGTAAAAATATATTAACAAATACTGAGGTATCTTTCACTTGCAAGAGGAGAGCATTAAGCTCTCAAGCCTTCTTAGGGGAAGTTTCACAACCATTATTTCACTTGAGCAGCAAGCAAACTGTGAGGAAGGTAGGGCATATAATATCCATCATTACTTTCAAGAAATGAGGAAATGGCTGGGCATGGTGGCTCACATCTGTAATCCCAGCACTTCGGGAGGCTGAAGTGGGTGGATCACTTGAGGCCAGGAGTTCAAGACCAGCCTGGCCAACATGTTGAAATCCCCTCTCTACTAAAAATACAAAAATTAGCCAGTGTGGTGGTGGCGCATGCCTGTAATCCCAGTTATTCGAGAGGCTGAGGCAGGAGAATCGCTTGAATCCAGGAGGTGGAGGTTGCAGTGAACCAAGATTGTGCCACTGCACTCCAGCCTGGGCAACAGAGTGAGACTGTCTTAAAAAACAAAAAAAGAAACAAGGAAACTGAGGCTGAGAAAGTCTATGTGATCTGCCCAAGATCACACAGTTAGTAAGTGGTAGAGCTCAATAGTTAGGAGTTTATTCTAAATTTCTGGCTCTGTCCACTGCAGAATATTCCTTTTAATAGTGCAAAGGGACAGGTTGGTTCCTAGACCCACTAAGCTGAGAGGAGATGAAGGTGATGATAGGTCTTGAAGGAAAGACAGGAGTCACCTTGGTGACCCACACAGGGAACACAGAAGAAGGGATAGGGTAAGCTGAGATGAAGGCAAAGGAGAGGAAGAAGAATGGACCATGTCAATGTAATGGTGATGGAAGAGAAATCGAGGAACTCTGGAGGTGCAATGCGGAGATCCTCTTAAGTTAGGAACATCTTTTAAACTAAGATATGACAAAGGCAGAGAGTAAAGCTATTTAACACAAGGAAACCCTTCACTACAGAGGAAGATATTCTTGTATTGTCTGATTTTTCAGTCATCTCCAAAGAGCGAAAAAACACATTCAAACAATAGCACACAAGCCACCACACACAGCCCACTGATAGCTCACCTCGTCATCTATCATATCCAGGCTCTGAGTGAGGGAGCAATAAAAGAATCAAGAAGAAAAGTGTTACAGAAACAGGAGACACAACATATATAGTACATAATTTTAATAAAATTAAAATTGCACCAAGCTTGAAGAATACGGGCAGAAAAGCTTACAAGAAAAAAAAAAGTTTTGTGAATAAAAAATCATGTTAGAAAGAAATAGTAAGAACAAATATTTAGAGCAAAAATATCTTTATTTATGGTGCCTTCTGTCCTCCCTCCATTTTTCAAGGAACTAAATCACTAACCTCATTTCCTGACTCTCTTGTACACATTTATCTCCTGATAATTTGTAGCAATACTAATTTTGACCCTTGTTTTTAAATAAATGGTTCTCATGCTATTTTCCCTCTTTATCAAAACTATTGATTCTCAATCAGAGACCTCACCCTAATCAGAGGCAGTATCAGAATCTTGGAGTGAGTGTGGTTGTCAGGGGAGGCAAGGAAAAAAAGAAAGGAGTAATTAGGAAACTTCTATGTGATTTCTGAGCTGTTCCCCCATGTTTAACTCTGCACTGCCCAGCCTCCCCATCATGTGTGTTTACATATACGTGTAAAAGGGGCCCCTGGAAAGCTTAAGAACAAGACTTTGCTTTTCTGTTGAGAAAGGGAGGGAGAGAAATCATGAAGACTTCAAATTAAACATAAACCACAGTCCTGATGATTTCTATGCAATATCTACCCTAAAAACATTTTCCTGGTGATGGTTCATGGGTAAAACGTCAGATTTGACAAAGCAGCTCTGTCATAGTGCCATGGAATTACCTCATCTGATGACAGTGCTAAGGACTGAGAGAGCCCTGGTGTTTTAGGTTCTGCTCCTAAGCCGCTGAGGTCTGCTGAACTGGTACTGCTGGGACTGAAGTCATCATTGAAGGTAAAATTCTGTAAAAATAAATGAAGCTCAGTGTTAAATGAGTGCAGTGAGTGAGCAAGAGGTAGGTGTGTCTACAAGCTCTAAAAGGGCTCTTTTAAACAATCTTAGCAGAAATTCATGTATGATTTGGTGATGACCTTCAATGGGGCAGCGGTTGAGAATGCTGCACCTTGTCTGGTTGAGGGAATTCTGGGTGCTTTCTCCATGTGATGAAAGGATAGATGTTTTAGAGAGACAATTCTTCAATTGCTCTTCAAGGGTACAGAATTCATTATCCTCTGCAACTGCTCAGAGGAATAATATTAATAAGCCTATCTTCTTTGACCCTAATCGTGATGAGTAACAGTGTAAGTAAAAATACAAGATGGTGTGGAGAGGCTGAGTTATTAGGAACAGATGGCAATTCATATTAGAAAGGTAGCTAGAGCACCTCCTGGGAAGGATCGCTTATTGTTGGCTGTGATAAATACTATGAGAAATGGCAGATCCTCTCCTGGATGTACCCTTCAAGATGATGAGTTCTGGGGGAGGTCACAGCCTGACAATACACTAGTAGTTACATGCTGAAATACAACTCTCTCACTGCACCCGCAGAGCATCAGAGAGGCTGCCACACAGCACAGACACAGGTTTCCAAATAATCACCTGGGGGTGGGGGAGGTGGGAGCGTGTAAATAAAACTTCCCCAGAACTTCATTAAAATATTCAGTGGATATGAAAATCAAACAACAATGACTACGTAGCTGCACTTGTAAAAACATTTTTAACCAAATCTGGAGTCTCTACAGTGCAAGATAATGGCAGAATTCTTCGAATTGCATTTAGATGCCTCAGATCCAATACTGAAAATGTTTCAAGACCAAAGTGATGTGCTGCTATCAAAACTTCTTTTGCTAGTAATTCTAAAATGGATGGATTTCCAGGAACTCTAAGCACTTGACCAACACCATCTTGTTTCTATTGCATTTCCTTAGGAATTGGACTGTTAGATTTCCACTAGGTTCCCTTATACTGGGTTTAGTTGGTTATCAAAAATAAATACCATGCCAGAGGCTGGAGAATTCAGTACCGAACAAACTCCAAAGTTTGCTAAAACTTCAGAAAAGAAGTCTAGGTTAGAGCACATGGAGCTAGGCCAGCAGAACATTTAAGCAGCAGGACATTTAACATGAACATTACCATTTGGTACCCCAGTCAAAACCCTTTGAGCTGTTGAAAAGATTTAAATTGAAACTGAAAAGAATTAAATTCAAGTAACATTAATCACGTTTCTGTTTGAGAAAGAAAAGCGAACACAGATAAAAGGAGACCAAACAACGTGTGAAAGTTAGCCACCATATGTGTTTCAATAAAATGTTAGATAAGGTTTGCAGTGTCATGCTGGAAATAACCATCATGCATTTAAAAACAAGTAACACCCATGCATATATTTCCTAATTCTGTTGAAGAACTTTGGTGATAGAATTATACAGCAGTTGTTCAACACAGAAGTTTGACATTAAAAGAAGAAATAAATAAGGATGCTATGTCATCATTGGTTTGTTTTAAAGAGTTTCACTTAGATGTACTGAACTCGTATTCAGTCCCAAATTTATTTGCTTTTCAGTAAATCTTGAGAAGCACAGTGAAATAGTTTAGTAATGTAATTTAAAGTAGAATACTGGGTAAACAGATCTATCATTCTGTTCTATGATTCAAATGCATCTTTCCCAGCATGGCTTAACTGTCAAACTGAGATTAAATAGCAATATGTGAAAAGATAGGCAAATCAAAGAGTAATGTACAATCTACAATGAAACAGCATTAAAGAAGGTGGTAGTTAAATGAGGCTTTCTTTTCCCCACATAAGAAATACCATGCATTGTTTATTGCAGTGTTATTACATTGGTTTCTTGGATCCAGACTACAGACATAAGTTGAGAATGCCTTCCAAAGATTGAAGAAGAGGAGGGATTTGGGTTTCTCTTGTTTGCTTTTGTAATCCATGTGTTTTCTACCTTGGACCCCTTTTTATCTGAAATTAGAGTCTCAGGAGAAGGCTGAAGGGAACTTGTAGGCGCAGGCAGGTTCCTGAAGGAATAGGATCCTTTCCGGCTGTCATTAAACCATGAGAAAGGCATGCAAGGGGAACGAGTGGAGGTCTGAGCTGTTGAACATGGCTTGGGTGTCCAGTTTTCCAGTCTGCCTCTGAAGATCCTGTTTTGTGAAAAGAATGGGTGTGTTAGATAAAGAAAGGGCGGATAAAAGACCTACTGAACCCAAGGACTCTGAATATAGTTTGAAGTAACAATTTGAGAAACTGTTCTATTCAACAGAGTAAAAAGTTTGCACTTTTGACTACAACACTAATCTTAATAGTTATCTTTTTGCCTCTAAATGGATTCTGTGACAATGATCAACATTTTCGTATTGCTATTGCCATGGTGAATTTTTATAAAATGTGCCTAATAAGTGTACGTAGATGAATTATAATCAGGGAGGGGCACAGTCTTTTAGGAACTGCTATTAGGTTAATCATCACTGCATTCCCTTTATCTGGGTGACATGCCTCACAGCTAGGGACATTAGCTCATAAGCAGCATTCTTTCCTGTCTTCCTCTGGACTTGTGTTCCGAAGGGTCTGAGACTTAAGAAAATGATATATTTAAATAATTTTGAAATTTCAGGGTTCAAAATACTTTAGGTGGAACACGTAGTTTATTGGTTTTTCACCAGAATCTTAGTGCCTTTTCACAGGAGGCGTAGGAGATCTGAAGTCCTCATCTCCCACTTGGAGGGCCAGGGTTTACCACCTCCTAAGTACATGGTCTCAGGCCTTCTCTCGGCTTTTAGTTCTCCATCTGTAAAAAGTGGATATTTTTATGTATCTCATATGTGTTTGTTAAGAATTAAATGAGATATGTGAAAGTGCTTACAAATTGTCAATGGTCTATGTTTATTGTTTAACATTTAAAGGATTCAAAGGCATTTGAAGAACGCAGTTTGAAAACAGATTTTTTTGTCTTAATGTAGGTTCTTTCATATCTGTAATTATCTTTTGGTTAAGAGAAAAAATAACTATCAGAAACCAAAGTAGGAACAGGCAGCAGTTTATGTGCATCTTGGAAGAGGTCACCCTTGCCGTTTGATGGAATGCCTATTATTTGATAGCTGCTGATACCACGATAACACAGAGATTCCCTTTCAATTAAAAGTGCCTGGACACCACAGCCAGACAACTTCTGTCCCACCACATGTATACTGAATTTCAGTCTTCTTACATCTCATTTCAAATATATTTTGAAATATATTTCCAGTTTATATAAATAGTATAACACCTAACAATTCCCATTTATTTGCAAATATTATTGTGAGGATCGACTGGGACATAAATGTAAAAGCATCTTGTAAACTGTAAAGCAAGATACAAATGTAAAGGGATTATAAGGCTGATAACTGAAGAGAATGAAGAAGTCAGTGAGGTTCTGATAAAATATTGAGATCAGCATGCTGGGGGAACCAGATGTCATCCTACACATGGTCTACACTCTAGGTGAGGAACTCCAAAAACATGAATCTGGTTGATTATATAGGAGAGGGAAAGCTGTCCCCTCTGCAGCCTCTGGGGAGGGTGGAGGGAGAAATCTTATCTCCTTAATGTAAATTCAACTTGGGAAGGATCTTGGGCTCTGACCCTTTGGGATGTAAACATGTGTCTCTAGGGAAAGATATGACTAGTGGCTCCAGCTTTACAACTCTAGGAATGTCTCCATGGAGATGGTCTCATCCCCCTCTTCCACTTAGCCTCCTTAAAATGTAACCACATTACCTCTGCAGAGGTCAATCTCTCTGGAGTTCTCACTATCTATGCACCCACAATTCAACTTCTGTTTTCTTTTTTTTGAGACAGGGTCTCGCTCTGTAACCCAGGCTAGAGTGCAGTGGCACAGTCATGGCTCCCTGCAGCCTGGACCTCCTGGGCTCAAGCAATCTTCACACCTCAGCTTCCAGAGTAGCTAGGACTTATAGGCGTGTGCCACCGTGCCTGGCTAACTTTTTTATTTTTTGTAGAGATAGGGGTTTATTATGCTATTGACCTCCTGCCTTGGCCTCCCAAAGTGCTGCGATTACAGGTGTGAATCACAACACTCAGCCTCATAATTTATTTTCTGAGGCTTGTTTTTTAGCTTAGGTTCCACATTCTAGTAAAAATGCCTAGAAAGCTCTAGCTGTGTAGAAACATATAAATATTTTCTCTGCAGTCCCATACTCTTATAATTGGGTATCTCTGAGGAAAAACTGGACCGGATGATCATTATCTCCTCTGGTTATAGATTTCTGAATCAAGGGAATTTTTAAATGAGTTCATCCACAATTTTCAATAAAATATAGTAGTGCTTAAATATATGGATATTGTTTTAAAGTTTATAAATAGGCCATGATTAATGACAGCATGACAATCTTGTCCTACTCCCAGTGAACAGCCTTTGTAACAATGCTTTTAGAACAATCACTATTACCTTTAAAAGCAAATAGGGACAAAATAAGAATTGTTTTCTACTTGTGGTCATTCCATTGCTTTAGTTGAAAAGGACTTTTGGTAGTCCAAATCCTGTCCAAGCAACATTTGAAAAGAAAAAAATCTGAAGGTCACATCTAATTAAACTCTCTCACAACATTTTCACTGTCAGAAAAATATTCAAGACTAATAATTCCACATGGACCTGTGCATCCAGCACTGAGGAGGGTCTTGAGGCCATGTGGTTCTTACATGTGCGGTGAAGGAGATCACAGAAGCTGGGCCTCTGGTGATACCCAGAGGCTTCCTTTCCCTAGCTTTGCACACCAAGTAATAGACAGGAAGGAGGAAGAGCCAGGCAGAAGGCAATGAGAGGCCACTTCCGAGAAGACACCTACGTCTCTACAGTGGCAAATCACCAGATTCAGGGATATTTTGAAGAATATTTTTCAGTTTCCCATGAGGCTTGGCTGTGCCCCTGCTGAAGTTGTATCCTGTATCTCTCATTCCTCTGTGAGTATCTGTGATTTTAAAACCCCATGAACTGATGTAACCCCTGGGTACTTGCTAGTATCCTTAAAGAACTGAACAGTGAGTGGTATGCTTTCATTTCTCGGACCTAGAGAACATTCATTTAAAAAACGAAATTTTTGCTTTAAAATTACAGACCTATCAGCTTAGCAGACATGCTTTCTAAAATAAATGTCAATTTCCTTCTGAATAAATTGAACTCTTGGGCCCACAATAGAAGCAGAAAGGGTTTGGCAGCAGTTATTCCATGTTGACCACTCTTATAGTCTATTTCACTTTGTGGAGAAATCCATTAGGAATAACATAAAATCCTTCTTTCCTTTCTTATTTGCTTCCTCCCTCCCTTTCTTCTTCTCCTCCTCGTTCCTTCCTTTTCTTTCCTTTTCACCTTCCTTTCTCCCCAAAATCGAGATTGGTAGAAATGAACTCTTGATGAATCTGAAAATAATTTTTCCAGTGGATCAAAATAGGTAGATAGTCTATATTCCCTTCACCTTCTTTTTTAGCTATAATTTACTGGCTTGCTATCATTTTTGGAAAAAAGAGAATCATAAGTCACTCCTAGGAACTGGGAGAAAGAATGGCTTCAAATTCGTCCTCATAATCCAAAGATACCATTTCAGAGGTAGCTGTTTCCTGGCATTTAAATGGTTTATGTAATATCTCTTATAAGTAATGAACTCATTTACATATATCTTGAATCCAGTGTATCCTGGGGCTGGCATCCCAAAATTAAATTGCCAGCTAAACATTCCAAGGTGATCTTTGTTGTTGTCATTCTAACTTTGAATACAGGTGTGTGAAGTATTCAGCATCTAACTGGATGTCATCAAAATATCATTAAGAGTTCAGAAACTGCCAGAACAGATGAAGTATAAAAGAAATACAGAATTTAAGCCCAGGAGTAAAAGAAGTTAATTGAAGAAAATTAGTTGCAACCAGAGGAAGATTGCAGACTTGTATTTACCTAAATCGAATGAAGTAATTCTATAAGGTTCTAACATCCACCAAGGAGTTTGAGGTTGTAAAGCTAGCCTCATCTAAATGGGATCTAGAGACCCTAATGGATAACAGCTGTGAGAAACATGTCCATCTAAAGCTCAGGGCCAACCCCCGCCCCCTACTCAGACATATCCTGCTCCCAGATCCTGAGTTCTGATCTAATCAATAATAGTTCATCTGAGATGGTCACTGTAGTGTTCAACTCTGAATCATTCGAGATGGTGAAACTATTCCCTTAATGAGTCTTCCCCATACTGGAGGGGTTTAAAATGAAATAGAAGAGGATCACGTAAATAAAATCCATACTATCAAAATCTAAATGCTAAGTTTAAGAATAACAGATATATTGCTTAGGTGTTTAAGAAAATTTGTATGAATAGAAATCTGAAAGAGAAATGTGTCCACTGATTCTACCTTAAAATGTTAAACTCATTTTAATGATCTAAACTCATTTTAAATTTGAGTTTTTAACAAACACACAATATATTAAGCACTTTGATAACTATATTGGGACGTTTAGAGTCACTACAGTTAAACAGTAACTTATTAGATTTTCAAGAGCTTTTTTAAGTATGGAAAAGTGTTTGCCTGTTAAGAATGTAAGTTTGTCAGGCTTCAGGCATTTGAAATACTGTACTTAAAAAGAAAACTGAATATTAAATTGATAAATGCAGCTAAAAATGGGCTAGACAGTTATGGGGAATAAGTCCGATCTACTAGGGCTAAGCTGACATTATTCAAAGGTCTCCATGAAAATGACTACATTCACTGGGCCAGGCTTAGGCAGAGATGGGGTGTTTTTCTACTCACACACATGTGCTCATCTCCATCAATTCTTCTAAAAGGTGTGTTTCCAGCCAGCTCAGATGATTCTTAAGCAGGGGTTTTGCTCTTACTCAGCAACAGGGGCAGAGTGGACCCTCCAGGTACTTGTCATAGGATATAATTTCAAACTCACTGTCATGCCATGATTTATCTAAAGCCTCTTTGAGAGAAATAGCCTATGAAGTACAGCCTGAAGTATAATCCATATAGCCCATTCATTCTTCAAGATATAACAAAAGTCATCCTTGGATGAACAAGACTGCCAGCAAAATACGCAAGAAGAATGTCATTTTGTATCCTTCCCATCAAACCTGCTTTAATAAACAATGATAACAATAGACATTTTTATTTAAGGATTTGAAATGTACTTCAATGTGACCATCTTAATCCTCCTAATAACATGAAGAAGTATGTGAGGGGCGGGTGTGTGTGTGTGTGTCTATGTCTCCATTTTACAGATGAGAAAACTGAGGTACAGAAAGGTTAAGAAACCTGTCCAAGAAGTAAGTGGCAGAGTTGGGATTTCAACCCAGGCTTTTAACCATATTGACATTGTGTTTTTGGCTTTCACTGGAAGGTCACTCTTATACTTACTATGAAGATGTTATTGAAGATGTTGTATTTTAAGTAACAATTTTACTTACTTTTTAATCTAACTTTTCCCTATTCAATTTACTTTTTAATAAATTATATTGTTGTAGCATATGTACTTTTGTATGTAAACAAATTATTTTGGAATAACGAGGAGTAGAATATAAATAAGAAAATAAACAATAAATGAATAGACCAACTGAATAATGGGGTAGAAATTAAAGGAAGATTTGTTTTTCATGGAATCCTACAGATCAACACTATCCAAAAAGAAATATAAATGAACCACATTGTAAACTAAAATTTTCTAGTAGCACCATGGGAAAAAAAGAGGTAAAATAATTTTAACAATAATACATTTTATTTACCCTCCAAACCCAAAATATTATTTTGACATGTAATCAATATTATAATATTATGAAGATATTTTATGTTCTTTTTGTTCATACTAAGTCTTTGAGTCCAGCATTCATTATTCTCCTACACATATCCCAATATAGACTAGCCTTATCTGACTAGAGGCAACCATACTGGACAGTGTACGCAGAGGTGAATGGGAAGTCAGAGCCATGCAGTGTCAGCCCAATCCACTTATTTTTTGGTAGGAAACCAAGGTCCCAGGAATTCAGAGACTTGCCTAATGGAAAAGTAAGGACTACTACCTTGGATTCCAGCTCAGTGTTGTTTCTGTTGTTCACACTTTCTACTTGAATGCAAATTCATTTCCATAGAAGACTGCCATCTCCTTTCCTTATCATTTTCTCAACATACTATCACCTAGCCCCATCTGAGATACACACATCTCCCCATCTGAGATACACACATCTCACAGAGTTTTCCATTCCGTGACTACACTGGAAACTTATCTACAGAGCTCCAAAGTAGATGCTCCACTGACATCAGTGGCTACTTACTCCAGAATACAGAATAGGATTTTATTTTACCCTTTGGTATACATTTTAAGGGGTGAACAAGCTCTGACAACTAAATGTTTCCTGCTTTTGTTATCTGCTATGCTGCCTGTTTAAAATCAGAATGTTGGCTGGGTGTAGTGGCTTGTGCCTATAATCCCAGCACTTTGGGAAGCTGAGGTGGGAGAACTGCTTGAGCCCAGGAGTTCAACAACAGCCTGGGCAACATAGCAAGACCCCACCTCTACAATTTTTTTTTTAAGCTGGACATGGTGGCACACACCTGTAGTCCCAGGTACTCAGAAGGCTGAGCTGAGAGGATCACTTGAGCCCAGGAGGTCAAGGCTGCAATGAGCTGTGATTGTGCCATAGTCCTCCAGCCTGGGCAACAGAGTGAGACACTGTCTCAAACAAACAAACAAACAAACAAAAAGACAATGCCACTGAGCACATATTTGAAAAGGGATGGAACCAAGTCATATTTCTTTGTTGGGTTTATTTGTTTATTATTATTAGCCTCATCCATTTTCTCTAGTTGTCTCATGTCGCGCATGTATCTGAGTCATTATGTATCCACAGAAACACAACAAGGTAAACTCTTTATAGAGAGGAAAAAACTAAAACCAAGACCAAATAGTGAAAGTCTTGCCTCTTTAAAATCTAACAGCCATAGGTTATAGCTGACCAATGATCTTATCAGAATCTTAGCCTAATAAGAATTGGATGAAATGCTTCAAAAAGATAACATTACTCAGTCCAAGGATCCTTCCCTCCTTTTTCTGAGGAAGTCTCCCAGGGTTGGTGAGTGTATTCCCAGTTGCCCACTACAATCATAGTGCGACCCTGCAGCTGATGGTGCTTACAGCCCACAGACTTTCAGGACCCTGAGAATCCAACTCAATTGCATTAAGCTCCTACTGGGCAGCAATTCTGTTCTTCCTGGGATAGGTTTTATAAGGTTCTGTACCCATTATCAATCTATACAGAAGAATATAGCTGTCCACAGATTTTATTAGTGTTAACCAATTACTATAGCAGCTCAAAATTTTTTTTCTTGCAAGAGAAAAGTGTCCTTCTTCTTTCCTTGTTCTTCTATTCCAATTATATGAATTCCTTTCCATCCTGCCAAAATTCTACTATAATTACTAATAATTATAAAACTATGATTTTATTTTTTTTGGGTATGCCAATGTCATAACAAGGTTTGAGGGAGGCCATCTCACACATGCCTGTGAACACCCAATCATCACACTTAGGAACTACAAAAGATCAAAATCATGATTCTAATTAGAAACTAGTTTGTAGTGTGGGTATGTGTACAATAATTTCTGACTGCTGAATCAGGGGGACTCCAGAGTTTTAAAAATACAGTGGTGGCGAGGCAGCCAATCTAGAAGTCTAGCTGTGGGTTCAAAGCAGGCATCGACTGTGGTGAAGCAGTGTGCTGATGGCCACCTGCCCTTGACAAGCTGTGGTTTTGCCTATAGTGAGGTGGGCAGGCACTCACCAACACAATCAAGATTGGCTTGACTTTCATTTGTGATTTATACAAGGAGGTGAATCATCTCTGGCTACTATGGCAAAATTCCATCAAACACCCTCCCCCTTTCTGGCTGCAGGTGCTCACATCCCTCTCAGGTGGTGCCTCAAAGATGAGAGGGAGTGACTGTCTTCAAAGCCCAGAGACCAAAGGAAGGACAGTGTCATTTTCAGTATCTGAGTTTCTCTCCCATCATGTATTTATGCATCTCTTTCTCCCCTAAACGGTTTCATTATTTGTTTTTTTCCATGAGTATGTTTGATTTTATTTTTCTATTCTTAATTTTAACACACAAAGTGGATCATTCTCACTCCCGAACCACACAAAGTTAAACTACTTTCGAGATGCATATAGCCTCAGATTTACCTTTATTTTCCTGAGATTGTTGTCCTCATTCTGAGAGCATTCTACCCTTTTCCAATGTACAGTATAAAGGAAAGCCACACTAACAAAGATAATTAATTTGGGAATTCTCTCTCCTCATCTCCCGCCCATTATGCTCCTTTAATGCTCCTTTAATTCCAAGAAGAAGGTACAATTTCTCACCAAGGTATATGTCAGAAAAGAGAAAAAAGAAAAGTAAACAGCAGTGGACAACCCATGAAGTGGAGAAGTGGTCCTTGCATGATTTTATAGTATTTTATTTTTAGTGTGTTTCTTCCTTAGTCTATGATATTGAGATTATTTCCAAATTTTATAAAGAAATTTAAGCATCATTAGATGCATAAGTAACTGAAGGTGGCATAGTATGTTGGAAAAACATCTACACAGGAGGAGCAAGCCCCAGGTTGACATTAACTGCCTGCTGCATAACCCTGGGCAAATCAATTAAATTCTATGAAGGTAAAGTTCTTCATCAATAAAGTATGGTATTATTATCTACTCTCCCAATCTTTTTTTTTTTTTTTTTTTGAGACGGAGTCTCGCTCTATCGCCCAGGAGTGCAGTGGTGCGATCTTGGCTCACTCAAACCTCCGCCTCCCGGGTTCAAGCAATTCTCCTGCCTCAGCCTCCCGAGTAGCTGGGATTACAGGTGTGCGCCACCACGCCTGGCTAATTTTTGTATTTTTGGTAGAGACGGGGTTTCGCCATGTTGGCCGGGCTGGTCTCAAACTCCTGACCTCAGGTGATCCACCCGCCTTGGCCTCCCAAAGTGCTGGGATTACAGGTGTGGGCCACCAAGCCTTGCCATCCTCTCAATCCTATAAGGATCAAATGAAATGATAAATATAAAACTACTTTGTAACTTGCAAATAATAATAAGGTAACAGTAATGGCAATAGCAGCAAATTGTTATCTTTATTATTCTTTGAATACCTCCTACATGCCAAGTATCATTTTAAATGTTTTACATGAAAACTCATTGAATCCTTACACTGACCTTATGTAAAAGGTACTGTTATTACTCTCATTTTACATGAGGAAATGAAGGCACAGAGGGTAACTCACTTGCCCAAGATTTAAAAGTTATAAGTAGGAGAGCCATGATTCAAATCCAGGCAGCTGGGCTTCAGAGCTTGATGCTTTACTGACTCCCTATACAAATCTCAGCTTAAAATTATATAATCTCAGAAAACAACTGGGAAAATTTGATAACATGCTGTTCAAAGCTCGCTCTTTATGGGAAGGTCTTTACTGAAGACTAAGCATAGTTGACAGTGCCCACAAAATCAATTAAATAGCCAAGTGCAGCAAAAGATGGTGGTCACTCCTACATACATGTGGACAAGACAATCTTGAATGTCAACAAGGTACTTAAATGCAAAATGATTATCCTTTTAGACTTAATACAATGCACTAGCATTGTGGGTAGCCAGGCAAAAAATCTGAAGTATCACATAAATATATTTGATATTTCTGAAGTATCACATAGATATATTTGTGCTGAATTTAGATAAACACTTATTGAAATGGTTCATGTGGCCATAATTCTGCAATTAAGAACCAATGGATATGCCCAAGGCTAGATGGAGGCTATAATTGGAGTAAGACCAATATAAACTAATTGTGCAATTTTTCTTCCATCTCAATTCTTGGCATATCACTTTAGCTCAAAGATACTGACCACTGATTTTGGTTAACAATAGAAGAGGGGGCCAGAAAGTTTAGGTATAGAAATACACGTGTTCTTAATCACACAACCGTACCTGCTACCTGCAGAAAACCTACTGGCTTCTTTTTCTTTTTCTTTCCACTTCTTTCCCTTGCTGGAATTCCTTCGCAAAGGCGCCCTGTAATGATAGTAAGCAGTCAGAAAGGGGAAGCTGAAATTTTCTCTTTCAATCCTCCTTTTACAGAGGGCTTTCTTTTTACATCGTGAAGTGCTTACCCCAGATCCACAAACTTCCGCTTAATTTTTCCTCCTTGCACCGCCAATGAACTGGATGCCCTTAGTGATTTGGGATCTTTGGCATCATCTAGGATATACACATTTGTGAAAAAGATCAATTATTATTATTTTTAAAGTCACAATTCAAAAGTCAATGCATCTCTGAATCTAAGGGCTTTGCCTAAATTCCTAATTGTAAAATAAATAATCAATGCCTTCTTATACGACCTAGGAGACACAGTTACATTGAGGAACTCGCAGTTAAGCAGGGGAGGTCCTCTATAGGACAGAGGCTCAACATTCATCACAAAGAGTTTTAGCTTCAACTGCATGGGAATGAACAAGGGAGAATAAATACTCTCAAATCATCCTCTGCATTCGAAGTAGGGACCAACATGACTTTTGTTCCTTCTCTGGCTCCAAATTCTTGGCTTCAAGTGCCTGGGCTCTGTCCTCCATTCCTTTCTTGCCTTGGGGTTGTAGTGCCTTCTAACAGGAACATAGCCCACTTCTCCCGTATCTCCAAAGCCCAGCGCAGAATATCACCTCTGAGAGTCTGGGAGATTTAGGGGGAAAGTCAGAGTCAAAGTTTTCTTCTCTGGCTCTCCTTTGCTAATGGCCTGTGGCCGGTCCTGGAACAGAGGAGGGGAGGACATGGGGGAGACTCCTTAAACAGGGGCTCAGCTACAAAACATTTATATCTTTGAAAGGGCCTTCTTAATAGTTAGGTTACAGCAAAACTTGGCTGGTTCCCCTTAATGTGGAAGATGCCAAAATCTCCTCAGTGTTCAGAGCAGACTGATCTTTGCCTCTAGGACTCTCAAAGGTAGCAGCTGCTGGGGAATGGGGACCCTCGAAATGATACCAAAAGCCAATAGGAAGACAGGCTTTGCAAATGGAGTTCAATGTCAAGGTGGGAACCAATTCCACTGGTGGCACTTGTTCCATCTCGGACAGGCTCTACCCAAACTATTCAGCAGAGGGTACTGATCGGCATCACGTTTCAGCATATCCAATTAGCTCAGATGATTAACAAATGCTGTTTTAAATTTGATGTTTTTTATGTGTGAAACTCTTCCTCCCCAGTTCTTTTTTGGTATCTGTTTTTCTGTCTCTTATCTTTTAAAATGTGTTTTAAATTTCTAGGAACTTTCTAGTATGGAAGGCAAAGAGAATGGCCCTCTTAAAAAAGTGTTCAATTAACTTTGCAGGTTAATGTTGCTCATGATTTTTGTTTACTTCAAGAGAAATTTCTCAACACACATCGACATACACCTTTAAAAAACATGAAGTACACACACAGTTCATGGATAGCAGTCTAGGTTCAAAGCTCTCAAGCAGCACAGGACACTGACAAATACTCCAAATGTTTTTAGCAATGAGCTTTTCATATTTTTAGTTAATGATACTTAGATTACAATAAGCAACTCACTGAAATGTACATAATGAAACACAAGAGTCAGAAATATGTCTGTGTCAAAAATCCACTTCAAGCCTCAAATATTTATTATGCATATTTGCATCATTACTCTTTGGGTAACTGAATTGTCACAGATGTGACACAATCATATAAAAAAATCCATAGACATAGACATGGCACAAACACCTTCTAAGGTGATTTTACTAATGGATTTTATTTTTAAAAGCAAGATTTAAATTTTCTTAATAGAAGCTGAAGAAAAGAAAGTGCCAAATTCTTCCAGATCAATCCTAAAGCAACTCTTAATGGCTAGGACTATGCAAAGTTAAAAGGAGACTGCCTAATTATTTCCTGAATGAGAGGTAGCTGGGAGATGTTACAATGAGCGCTGAGAAGACCAGCTGAGGCAATGTACACGAAAACACTCTGTAACCCATGAGTGTTGCAGTTATTTGGACATCATGCGACTAAAAGCCTGATTCTGCCTATCACAGAGCTTGGTGCTAGGCAACCTTACATCTTTATCTCACACATTTGCCAAAGTGCGTTCCCAGGAACACTGAAATGAATGCTTCCATAGGGCTGAAGATGTTAAGAATAAGGAATAATGTACTTTCCCATTTAAAATCGATTAAATCCATCTTTAATGCACACTAGAACTTCTAGTCTGCATAAAATCCAACATTAGATTGGTATGATTTCAGGAAAAAAGAAACATACATTTTGTTTATTTAGCTCTACGTAAGACTTCTGTTAGGCTTTTTAAAATCTCTCCAATACTACCTTTGTGACCAATTATACATCTGAGCCCCCAGATTGGGTGCCTCAACTTTAAGCTGTGGCAACCTGGTTTTCATTTTCAAATAATAAATGATCTCCTGATGGCCAAATCCTAAGGTCTTGTACTGGACTGCATCTCCTTAATCTCACTGTAATAAGATACTTGACTATCTCTTCCTTTATAATGGGGACTCCCAAATCTACCTGGCAGTCCTGACCTCTCTCTTGCGCTCATGACCTCCTCTGTTAAAAAAATGAGTTAATCCTATTTCCCCCATCATGTTGCTGATTTCCTATTTTCTGTTAATGACAAGACCATATGTTCTGAGGCGTGAAGCCCATGATAGTTTTGCCTCACTTTCTTACCTGTTACCTAGTCAAGGTATGTCTCAAGGGTCCTTGAATCATTCTTTCCTGTCACTGTCTACTGCTCCTCTTTAGAGGGCACCACCTCATAGGGTCTCCTAACTCAGCTTCTCCATACCTGGTGGTGTCTTTTCCTTTTTATTCCTCTGGTCAAACTTCTTGTGGTTTCCTAGTAATATGGCAAGTTATCTAAGATGTTTAACTTCTAAAGCTATATACTTAACCTACTGGCTCACTTTTGTGTGTAACTACTCCACCCTGCATAAGCAAACTGCTACAGCCAGGCTGGGATAGCCTTGTACCTTTAAATCATATGATATGTGCCTGTCTCTGTTAATGACATCACTTTACCCGCTATTCCCTCCTTACCTACCCTTTTTTTCCCTTAAGTGCTTTGATGGCTATTCTAATTGTACTTCCTTGGATAGGTTTTGTTTACCAACCTCAGCTGGACGCAATCTCTCTCTCTTCTGAGCGTTGATATAATTGTACTCTATCTATACTTGCAGAGGCCCAATGCTTTTAATAAGCAATAAATCCTGTAAAGCTTTAAAAAAGCCAGTTTCTATTTACTAGACATTAATTCAATGAATATTTTTGAACACATCTTCTGGGTCAAATAATGTGTTATTAACCACACAAAAAATTAGAATAATAATCTCTAGTAATTGTGAGTAGAAAATTGATAGTGTTCAATTTACTTTATTTAATCTTGACTGAACAAAGGCCCAGTGCTATGTAAGCCTCGGGACCAAAACTTTAGTATTAGGTTGTTTATATAACAGGAACGAGGAAAATATTTTCATGCCTTCTACTGGCATATAACCTGTTTTACAAATCTCTAGAAAAAAATCTTTTACTTCCTCTAATTTGATATTCCGTTAGATGCTTATCATTTAGCCAGTTATAATGGGACTTCTCCATCCTAATTTCCACTGATGTCCCTCAGATATGAAAAAAAATGATTTGTAAATGTGGTATTGACACAATTCAGAAAATCGCCAACTCCTGTTAGGGTAACCAGAGCCTTATCCTCAAGCCTGCAATCAAACATGGCTGTAATTAATCATCTTTGTGGTAACTTGATAGACCAAAAGTAAAGGTATAACACTTTTTAAAAATTCTAGATAAATGGCAACCAATGATGAAGCCATTTTCAGAGTTTATCCAGCAATTTTGAGTATAAGAAAATATACTTCTAGACCAGGCATCAGGAAGCTTTCTTTACCTTTCAGGGGCCACAGAGTAAAATATTTTAGGTTTGTGAGATACACAGTCTCTGTCACAACGACTCAACACTGCTACTGTAGCATGAAAATAGATAGTATGTAAGTAAAAAAGTGTGACTGTACTCCCATAAGACTTCATTTACAAAAGCAGGTGGAGACTACATTCGGTTGATTATCCCTCTTCTAGAAGATCTGCACTGGTTACGTGGAGAGGTATATTAGCAATTCATCCAAGAACATTATTAAGTATCAATTATATGCCTGTGTTACTTTGATCTTCGTCTTTTTTTCCTATATGACTACGTTAGTGTTTACTGAAACTCTGGGCTGCTATTCTACAAAATCGCTCTATATTTTTCTATATGACTATGTAGTGTTTTTTTCTTTATGACTGTGTTAGTGTTTGTTGAAACTCTGGGCTGCCCCACTCCCCTGAAGAACTCCCTTGAGTAGTAAACTTATAGAGAGCTGAAGAGATAAAAATACTGAACCAGATAGGAAAAGATAAAACTAAATTAAAGTAAAATACATGGAGGGGTTGTTTCTCTTATTCTATAATATAAAAAGAAATTAATATTAATTATTAGCTATGAGAAAACAAATGACTTATGATTATGAGAAAAAGTCATTTTTATACTGTACAAGCTGAGGTGTTATGAAGTCAGAAAAAGAAATTAACAATACCTTTTTCTCGTAATATTTTCTTGTTGGTGGTTTGGTGATGGCAAGGAGATTCTTCCACATCATGATCAGACTTTGAAGTAGAAAACAGTGAAGTGTCTCCCCACATAGAGGAGAGAGGCCCCATTTCTGGGTCCAGTGGTTCTTCTTGAAATTCAGCTATGTGGTCAGACGAGAAGGGCACATTGCTATCCACCGGGGTGAGGGGTGGAACACCAGAATCTGATTCTGGAGAAGACGTTCTCAAACCCTTAGGTGGAAGTAATTTGGTAATATGCATGTGGTTATAGAAACTGTTTGATGGCTGTTGGTATAAGAGATTATAAGGAAGGTTATGCCACTGAGTATCAGTTCTATGCAATACTTACTTTGAAATAAGACCAACCTTTTATTAGTGAATCCCCATGAAAACCAGTTTTTGTTGATTTACAGATGAGAATGCATGGTTCATACCAATTCACCATATTAACATCGTCACTAATACATATACCTAAGACCTACAGAAACAATTACTTGTACGTTCATTATTTCCCACTAAGTAAAACCAATAGCTGAATATCAAAAGCACCATCATGAAATATGACAATACAGATAATGCTCTTGGTTAGTTCACTGAATGAATAGACAAAATATTTTGAATTACAACAATATAAAGAATTCAGGAGACAAAGACGTGAACTATTCTAGCTGCTTACCAACTAGGACATAGACTCTGTTTGCAGAAAAATCATAATCTTCAATAAGCTGTAGGAACAATGATATACTCCAACAGTACAAATCAGGAAACGGTCAAGGGTGCTCACCTTTCTCTCTAGACTGTCCTCCCCATCTGTGGAACTAACACTATCATACAGTCTTGTCCTAGAGGGTCTCTGGCGTCTGTTCTTCACAGAGAGCTGGGCTCGAGTTTTCAGTGCTTTTGAATCCAGGCGCTCTGTCTCTGGGACTGCTTCATTCAAGTCTAAGAATATTGAAAGATAATCAGTGAGAGAAACCTTTGGAGAGAACTGATGAAGAGACCACAGACACTGATAAAATCTCAAGGTAACCAGTAACATCAGGTAAGGATCAGGTGACCACCATGACAGCCTGTAACCAAGAAATAACCAAGAAATCAGTGGGGCTTAGGAGAAATATACAAAGTCAAAGGAAGAAACCAACACTAAAGATGATGAAGGCGCTATAAAAATCCAACATCCGAAAAGCATACAACCTTCCTGCAATATAATTATAAAAATCACTAATTTGTATTTACTATTTATGTGTATGCATGTTGGGAAGTTAGATGACCAAAGATATAGAGGAGGGTATATCAAAAGTTGACAGATCTTAGAAACCAAGGACAAAAAACCTACAAAGTCAGGTTTCCAGTTCAACTACAGGCAACAGAAGGTAACTATCATAAATTTACTGTAGCAAAATTTACTAGCAGTCTTCAGGTACTATATCATTTTCATTTTAATATATAATTTTCAACCCAAAACAGTTTCTGAAAATCTACCTTGTTCCTTTTTGAAACCTGTAGAAAGACCAGTGAGGAATTTACCTAATCAGCAAATTGACGATAGCTGGGGAAAAGAAACAAGGTCTGGCTACACAAATGAAGAAACAAACAGTTAAAAAATCGTAAGTACTTAGTTTACTAGTATTGTGGATGAGGTAGGATAAACATTTCCTTTTCTTTCATTAACATCTAACTTTGTATTACAAGTTATTTGTATGTGCCTCTGACTCATCTCTGTGAATACCTTCTCTCCCCACCAGAAACGACACTGATTTTCGAAGGGTAAATACTTAAGTCTTTAAATAAAAAGGCTAAAAGAAAAAGAGAGTAAAGTGGGACACAAAGAAAATGAACTATTAACAGCAAAGGCCACAGAGAGAATTCAATTAGTCCTCTTTAGCCTGGCTCTTACCACCTTTAATTTTGCTACCTAGATTTTAAGTTAGGACCCCGAAGTTAACATTCTAAAGGAAAGGTACCCATTAACATACCTGGATATTGGTTAAGGAAAAGTACTCTCTGGTGGAACTTATTTGAAATGCTACTACTCCTTTCATTTGCATATGTAATCACTCCTTAGAAATAAAGGAGTTTGATCATTAATCCTATTTTATCTCTTCAGAGTGGCAGTCATTAGCTGAAGTCATGTTCAAGGAGTTAATAATTGAGTGCAAATAACTGAGTTGCAGAAAATTATGTACTTGTATTAACAGAATAAACAATTTCTTATAATATTATTAGCTCAGGCAATTCCTTTTTACAGCATTATTCTAGATGTGCTCTAAATATGCTATACTACAAAACCAAAGCAAGGAAGCACCTCAGTTTGTGCCTCTTGTCTATGAAACCTAGCACTTAGTATATGGCTCTAACAAACAAAATTAACTACATTTTTGCCCAGGAGATACATCCATTGAATGACAATATTT
Organism: Homo sapiens; assembly: GCF_000001405.40. Taxonomy (NCBI): domain Eukaryota; kingdom Metazoa; phylum Chordata; class Mammalia; order Primates; family Hominidae; genus Homo; species Homo sapiens. The sequence continues at coordinate 95,267,077 of NC_000007.14, read as the reverse complement.
AGAGAAGGTTTTGACTTTTCATTTCCTATATCTGAATGAAGAATGAATACTCAGAAAATTCAGACCATTCAGGTACTTATAAAGAACAGCTAAATATTTTCTAATTAGCAGTCTCTTTACTTTTTACATGTCAGGGGAGAAAAAATAATTCCTTGATCACTTTAATTTCCTCCTTCCGATAAAATCTATATTTGTAGCTGCCCATTAAGAGTTCATTAGTTGTGATAACTGGGAGAGAGTCAATCTTATAAGCTCTTGCTTAAATATAAAATGTGGAACACCACGTAGATGAAAGCTGTAATATAATTAGAAACACTGTATGTAGTACTTGCACGTTTTATGCCTTATCTAGCTCATATTTGGATTGTATGCTCTATAATACAAATCATGCCACATACTCTATCTCATTTGTTCCTTACAACAGCCCCATGAGGTACCAATCAAGTATTTTTTTTCTCTCCTGAAGCTCAGAGAACTTGAGTAGCATGCCCTCATTTACATAACTAATTAATGCGCTACCATGATTACTCTAGTGTCTTGATTTCCAGGCTACTAGGCTATCCACTATGATTTAGCTAGTGTTGATAAACCTCCCATTGCAAGATTTTAATGCCATTAGAGTTTGGTGTTTTGGGTTATAAAATCATATATGACGTGACTAGTCTAGGAAACTCATTTCTCCAATAGGCTCCATCTAAAATATTATAATTAATCTTCCCTATATGTTAGATAACATGATAAAAAAAAAGGATGACATGTTGAAAAGTATAGAATAAATTACTTCCTGGATGATTTTTTATTTTGGTCTGGTTGGTTTAATAACAGCTTTGGCTACTAAGTGACAAAAAGACCCAAGGAAGAATCTCACTCCACTTTTGTAAACATGGTTCCTTTTGCAGTAGAATGCTGGCCCTGAGGATCTGGTATGGAACCCAATATCCAGGACTACAATAGGTACTCCATCAATGGAAGCTGAACAAATATAAGTGAGAGAAAATCAGAACTACTTATTAGCAGGTTTTAATAGTGCAGAAAATTTACTCTGGGACTCCTTGCTCTATTACTATTCAATAATTTGCCTGGTGCTTGTGTCAGACAACCCAAAAATGGCAATCTGGTGTATCTGCTTTAACATTAGCTGACTAGGTGCAAACTGCTTGAGCACACACATAAAATTATATCTATTTATGATGCTGTTAGCTGGAATCTAAAAAGTTGTGCCTTATATCCGGTACCTAAGTAGCCAACAACACATTGTATGCAGTTAACAATTTTTGAAGGTCTGAAAGCAAATATCACAGAGCTACTTTATTGCAGTGATTCATGGATTACAAATCAGTAATTTATATTCCATTCTAAAAATAATTTTTTAAAAGAACCAGAAAAATAGGATGAAGTTGAAAACTTTCGCCTTAATAGCATTTACACCAGAAGGAAGCTGGAAGGAATACTGTCCACAAGAAGCACCTACCAAAGACACTACATGCAATATGTCTCCCTTAACAGTATTAGAGGACACGTGTGTACACGGAAGGAAAATGTGTATAAGATTTATGCTGCTGGGTAACTAGAAGGGTGACTGACCATCACATGCTATCTTTTTCCATCATGTAATACAAAAATCCTAATATTACAACTCAAAATAACCTTGGGATTCTGGTCCCAGCTTATTTCTCATATAAGAAAACTGAGGCTTAAAGAAGGTCAATTTGTGTATTAACTTGCACCACACAGTTAATCTGTGACAGAGAGTGAATAGAGCTCAGGCTTCAGAAGCCTATTCTCCTTCTGGAAGGTCAATCTCAAGTCTGGAAGTAAACTTCACATTCTTCTGCCTTCTTTGAGTCCTCTTTTTGGTCTTACTTTATGTTCCCAACAAAAGCACATGTCAAGGGCTAACTTTGCAAACTTGCAGAAGCATATAGCATCAGAGGAAACAAAAACCCCCAACACTGAGGGATTTTTTTTGGCTTTACATATATCCAAGAATAAAATTCTTACAAAGAAAAATAGCTGTCAGTTTTGTGGATGGCAGTGTGGCAGGGGAAATCCAACTGGCTCAGTGTTTCTAAGTTATGTGCTGCTAGATGTAAAGGCTTAAGTGGCCATTTCTCTCACTGTCATTCGTTCTCTACAGATATTTTAGTCAATAATATTACACTGCTTTCATAAGCCCAAGACCTCAGTTCTTTCTTTTCCTCGTTTCTCCAGTGTGCCTTGTTCTGTTGTCCATAAGGGTCAGCGGAAAATTTCCTTTTCCTCCTCTGCTTTCTTATCTTCCATTTTTCTCAGACCCTCCAGTCTCTGAAATAGCCTACCTCTGACGCAATGCAGCTAGAAATACAGAACAGGAGAAGACTGAGGTGAATCAATAAATACAGACAGATAAATACACAGAAGATATGAAGTAGCTAATGACAGAGCAGTTTTGAGTGAGAGAGACTCCACCTCTATACCTGCATTTTAAGACTATTTTCAATACTGCTACAAATTGGATCCTTTAAAAGAATTTAATGGATTTGATGATTTTAGCAGCTGTTATGAAAAATGCTCTAAGAAATTAGGATGCTATATATCATATTACACAGAGACCAGTTCCCTACAGTAATACTGTGAGTCATACAGTTTTTTTCACTAGATTGACGTTATTTTTGACGTAAGTGGAATGCTGCCCACAGATCAGATACAGGCAGCGAGGGAACTAGGGGAATGGAGCAGCATAACAATGGGGTCTGCTCCGCAGTTACGTGCACTAACCCACTCAGAAACAGCCATACTTCATGCCATCACACTGCCTCGCCTGTGCTATTACCAATGGAGGTGCTGAGCATCATGAGGCACTTGGTGGCATTTTAAAACTTGAACAGTATCTGCATATCATTTGCAGCCACTGCAAGTTCATAAAAGGTGGGCCCACTGGGGTTTGGGTTAATAGATAATTGCCTTCAGGAGGTAAGTTTATGTATCTCAGAGAGGCAGTGTAAAACAGTTACCATGAGAGTAGACCTGGAGTTGTTCCTTGAATAGAATTCAGAACAAGCGGCTGTCCCATTAAATTGGGCAATTTATCTAACCTCTGTCCCTCAGGATCCTCAATTGCAAAACAGTCATGATAACAAAACATAATAACTGTATTGCTATGAAGATTATATATGCATTAATAGATATAAAAGTGCTTAGAAGAGTGGTATGTAATAAGCACTCAATAAATATCTTTATAAAGAGATTAGCAAGATGTTAAGTGGGTAAAGCAAGTTGCAGAATAACATGTACACTCATTTAAAATATTTAGAAAACATTAACACAAAATACATTTTCTAGTGGTAAACATATGCATATAGTTGCATAGAAAAACTGGAAAGAGGCCGGGTACAGTGGCTCATGCCATGCCTGTAATCTCAGCACTTTGGGAGGCCGAGGTGGGCAGATCATGAGGTCAGGAGTTCAACAACATGGTGAAACCCTGTCTCTACTAAAAATACAAAAATTAGCCAGGTGTGATGGCGTGCACCTGTAATCCCAGCTACTCAGGCAGGTGAATCACTTGAACTCAGGAGGCAGGTTGCAGTGAGCCAAGATCGGGCCACTGCACTCCAGCATGGGTGACAGAGCAAGACTCCGTCTCAAAACAACAACAACAACAACAACAGCAACAACAACAACAAACTGGAAAGATATACTTCCTACTGATATAGTGCTTACTTACAAAGAAGGTATTAGATTAGGAGATGTTGGTCAAAGGGTACTTTAATCTTATTTGCAATGTTTAAAAATTTGGTATTATATTTTGTATTATGTAATTGTTTACATTTATGTATTACTTGCGTAGTTAAAATGAATAAAAATAGAGAAAAACATATATTTAGTATATTTTCTCTTAAAGGCACCTTAATTCTATTTTAATTTAATTAGATCTGGTGTCCTAGGACTCAGTATCTCCACATGTTGATATAAGCCCAGGGAACTTTGTCAAAATCTGCATGACTATCAGTCTTCCCCATGAGAGAAGGCTGCTCTTTCATTACATCTGTGGTGATTGTCTGCCTGGCTTGCTACCTTACTAACTGCCAGATAATTTGGCCTAAGGTCTATGGCTTAGCTTTCAGTTATTACTTCATTTTAGTATTGTATGGGGAAGATGTACTGAATTAGACACGGTTATGGAGGAAGGGTATCTTTCAACAGTTCCAGAACAAGCAGAAGATTATTGCTATTTTCTAATCTTCTAACTAGGTCTGAACTTTTGTTGTATGAGCTATACATTTAATTTGCTAATCATTGAAAGAATATTAAGAAATCCCTTTTTCAGTTTTTTTGTCAATACATGCAATCTCAAAACTATCTGTATAGCCTTCAAAATGTAAGTTGGTTATTTGTTAGTGTAGTGCTTCTCTGGTGCAATCTGATATCTAATATACCCTTCTTCAGTTTATGATCAGCCTACACTCCTGTTCTCAGTGGACAGAGAGGCTTAAATTCTGTTATCCATATCTCAGAAACAACTCTTCAGTAATACCGCTAGACTACCTGGAAAGGCAGTGACTACCAGTCAGAAAAAACTATAGGAAATGTCCTAACTGCTATCAAATATCATTTGAAACACTTGTAAGAGTTGCTTGATTCTAGACTATGAAAGGATATGGAATTTAGATTTAGACCACAGGGAAAGGCATTTAAATATCTCAGGGTTCTTTCAGTGTCAGATGTCTTTAGATTCTGATGGAAAAGAGATCTGCATAACCTAAAAGCCAGGGAAATACAAAAATGTAATCAAATGACAAACTAGTTGGGGACTGCAGGCATCTATGAGTAGAACTATGACATCATGTGGATAAGCTGGGTCATGGGAGCTAGGATATGTGAATGTCTTTTTCTTGACATTGATATTGTAGTGTCTTTGACATGGCAACAATAAGCAAGATTCTGTGTTTTCACTCAGGGTTGCCTACAAGAATCTAATCAGTTTCTCAATCAAAATCTATGGATATTAGGTAACCCCAAGCATGCTAAGTAGACACCCTCCCATTACATATTGTGATACAATAGCATCCTTGATTAGTACAGGAAGAATTCAGATTGTAGGCCTCTTACAGAAAGTAAACTCAGTTACCTGAGATGATAGTTATTTCCCTAAAAAGGAAAGCATCTTTCAATCATGGGAAGATTTTGTTATGTAAAGCATTAGAAAATGTAAGAAAACTGAAGGTTCACAATCCTTGGAAGTGTAATATAATAGATGTATAAGAATTTTTTAAGTACTTGCAAAGACTGTCAGTCTCCTAGTAATAGTACTTAATAGTACTTTAATAGAAAATGGAATATATCAAATTTGTAAATGTATCGTTAAATTTTTATAGGTGTTTCATTAGTTAAGCTTGGAAATAGTTTGTAATAAAGTTTGTAAATAAATAATAAAAATCCCTCAACAGTGACTTTCAACAAATTAAAAGATTTAAAGAATTAGGTTTTTGATAATGTCACTTGAGTAAATCAAACATTAACTTAAAACCAAAAATTAATACCTGAATGACCTTTTCAATGTTCAAAAAAAAACCCTTAGTGTCATCAAAAACTCACAAGCAACAGTGTTTTTTGGTATACCTATGTTCTAATGTTTCTTTAGTTTCCTTGTAAGTGGATTTATTCCTTATAGGTCTTAGACATGATTACTGTATAGTATTAAAACAGAATTATTTCATGTCTACTTAAAGGAACTCAGTCATAACCTGATGGACCTGATACTCTAATTGCTGAAATAATATGGTTGGCACAATTTTCAGAACCATACACAGAGCAGAATTTTCTGGTACTAAATAACTGTTCATCTGTTCAGTTTTAACTTTACAGATGCTTCAACCTCTGTGACTGGTCATGTTTCCCTCTTGGCTATTAGATATCTTACGTGAACACTGTGACCCACCTTGAAAACAATGTAGGAGCCCAGGGCAACACTTCATATACAAACCACACTGGGTAGCATCTTCTCCTTCATACTTTTAGATCCCTCTACCCTGATATCCTAGCCTAGTCAATTTTATCTTAGCATAGCTATATGGTTATTATTTAATCTATAATTAGAATTTCATGGTGAACCAGGTGAACCAGACCATAATATGTATATATCATGGTGAATCAGACCATATATCAATATAAGAAATAATTTGGAATACAGTAGTCTTCTGAAGTTTCCTTGAAAAGAAATTACTCACATTTGGGTTAAAATGATCTTTACTTATAAAAGATCATAATGTATCTTGTTCTATTAAAAGCAAGTAAAATTCAAAAGCCAAAACAAAGTAGCCCACTTTTCCTAAAATGAACAGAAAATTACTAAGTTAAAGCTCATTCTGACAAAGTAACATTGTGTTTCCTCTTGAAGCAACTTTTTTTTTTTTTTTTTTGAGTCAGAGTCTTGCTCTGTCCCAGGCTGGAGTGTAGGGGCACTATCTTGGTTCACTGCAACCTCCGCCTCCCGGGTTCAGGTGATTCTCCCATCTCAGCCTCCCGAGTAGCTGGGATTACAGGTGCCCACCACCAGGCCCAGCTAATTTTTGTATTTTTAGTAGAGACAGGGTTTCCCCATGTTGGCCAGGCTGGTCTTGAACTCCTGACCTCAGGTGATCCACCCGCCTTGGCCTCCCAAAGTGCTGGGAAGACAGGCATGAGCCACCGTGCCTGGCCTAGATATCTCCCAGTACTATTTTATAACTCAGTATGACTGAAGGGTCTGGTGGATTCTACGAACTTATGAAGATGCAGTGAGAAATATGAATGAAGCAGAGCTGTCAATTTGCAACTGAATACCTCCTTTAGAATGTCTCACTGATTTGGCAACAAAAGTTTTAATAGTTTACAAGTAGTCAGATTCAAAACTTGCACAAAACTAGACAGGCAATTTAGGTGCTTTGCTTTTTAAGTAAGAGGACAGATTTTGGCCTTAATGATACACCAGAAAATAATCAATAAATATTGATTTCTCATTCACTTGGCTTGTTCATTAAAATTTCCCATAGTGATTTACCAGGAATGTTCACCCTTTAATTATTAGTGCAATTCAATATTTCATGGTCAAAATTATTTATTGGGGATTAAACAAAATTGAAAATAAGTTTTCAGGAAAAATGAAAATTGTGAAAGTTTACATTATATCTGTATGCAAAAAATATATATATATTTTTAAAAAGGCTGAATCTACTCTAGAATTCCCTAGGCTCCAATTTAGAACTAAACAGTGTGACAGCATGAAATAATTACCTCATTGCTCTGTATCTAATGCTCTTGTATGAGACTCTCCTGATAATGCAGTGCAAGCATTCACTTTTCTTTTAATGACTTTCCATCTAATAAATTCTGGCTTTAATCATGCCTTTAACCTTATTTTAAAATTCTAGGTTCCTATGCTAAAAGAGAATGCTTAATGTACTCTCAAACTCTATCAGGAAATAAATCAGATATGGTGGTAGGGGTCTGGCCTGGCCTCAAACCCACAGGTATCTGAAAAGAGCTGCTGATTTTGAGGGCTCAAGAGAAAGGCAAAAAGGACAAAGGAAATGATTTCTTGGAGGAGTCCAATGACCTTAGGAGCACCCTTATGGATATAAATGTCTGGCTGATGCTATCCTTTTTTATTTTCTTACTAAACCTTAAACTAATATATATTTTTTAGCTTAAAAACTCTTTTGTGGTTTTCTTATTCTTACCTTTTAATTATTTTAAAGTTTCTAGTCTAAAACATTTATATAAAAATGTATACCATATATGTAACTCATATGAAGAAAGAAAAAAAAAAAGACAACCATGTACCTCCATCAAGCCTAAACTATAAAATTATTACTTTTGAAGCCCTCTCTGTTCTCTATTTCTAGTTGTAACCCCTGTATTTTCTTCTAGTTATTCCATAAATTTATCCCTAAAGAATATATTGATTAGTCTTTCTTGCTTTTAAACTTCAGATGCGTGGTAGTGAATTGTATATAATATTCTGCAAATTGTTTTTTAGTTAGCTGGTTTGTTTAACATTATGTTGAAAGGTGTAACTAAAATTAATTAACTTTTTACTGCAGCTATACAAACAATGCTACATGGAATGTTTTTGAATATGCCTTTTGGTATACACTGACAAGAGTTTCTGGAGGATATATATACACATCGAAGTAAATTTGTCGGGCCATAGGATTTTCACATCTTCTATTTTAATGGATAATGCCAAATTATTTTAATGAAACAGTTTTATGAATTTTCCTGTTTTTCCATGTGCTGGCTATCACATTTTACTGTGACACTTTATCTTTGCCAATTGTTTGATTTTTGCCAGTGAAGTTGAATGTCTATGTTTACTAATGTTTAGGTTCCTGCTTTTGTGAACTTCTTATGCGTTTTGCCCATTTTTCTACTATGTTGGTTGTGTTTTTCTTATGATTTATGTGAGTTCTTAATTTATTGTGGACAACAATATTTTTTTCTTAGTTATACGTGCTACAAATACCCTCTTCAACTTTCGGTTTCTCTTTCCATTTACTTTATAATGTCTTTTAATGATCAGATTTTCTTAATATTACTGTGGTCAAATTCATCCAACCTTTTTACGATTTGGAATTTTTGTGAACAGGCAACCTACAGAATGGAAGAAAATTTTTGCAATCTACTCATCTGACAAAGGGCTAATATCCAGAATCTACAATGAACTCAAACAAATTTACAAGAAAAAAACAAACAACCTCATCAAAAAGTGGGCGAAGGATATGAACAGACACTTCTCAAAAGAAGACATTTATGCAGCCAAAAGACACATGAAAAAATGCTCATCATCACTGGCCATCAGAGAAATGCAAATCAAAACCACAATGAGGTACCATCTCACACCAGTTAGAATGGTGATCATTAAAAAGTCAGGAAACAACAGGTGCTGGAGAGGATGTGGAGAAATAGGAACACTTTTACACTGTTGGTGGGACTGTAAACTAGTTCAACCATTGTGGAAGTCAGTGTGGCGATTCCTCAGGGATCTAGAACTAGAAATACCATTTGACCCAGCCATCCCATTACTGGGTATATACCCAAAGGATTATAAATCATGCTGCTATTAAGACACATGCACACATATGTTTATTGCAGCACTATTCACAATAGCAAAGACTTGGAACCAACCCAAATGTCCAACAATGATAGAGTGGATTAAGAAAATGTGGCACATATACACCAGGGAATACTATGCAGCCATAAAAAATGATGAGTTCATGTCCTTTGCAGGGACATGGATGAAGCTGGAAACCATCATTCTCAGCAAACTATGGCAAGGACAAAAAACCAAACACCGCATGTTCTCACTCATAGGTGAGAATTGAACAGTGAGAACACATGGACACAGGAAGGGGAACATCACACATAGGGGCCTGTTGTGGGGTGGGGGGAGCAGGGAGGGATAGCATTAGGAGATATACCTAATGTTAAATGACGAGTTAATGGGTGCAGCACACCAACATGGCACATGTATACATATGTAACAAACCTGCACATTGTGCACATGTACCCTAAAACTTAAAGCATAATAATAAAAAAAAAAAGAAATCATATGAAATCCCACATTTTCTTCTAAGAGTGTTAAGTATCGTCTTTCAAATTTGAGACTGTAATCCATTTGGAACTTATTTCATGAATAATGTGAGGTAGAATCCAATTCATTTTTTCCATATGGATGGTCAATTTTCCTAGCACCATTTATTAGTCCATCCTTTACCCACAGAACTGCAGTGTCTGCTCTGTATTATTCTCAAACTGACATAAATGTGTCAGTCTGCTTCTGGACTCTGTATTCTGCATATTAGACCACTTGACAATTGCTGGGACTATATCACGTGGTCTTAATCACTTTTACTTCATAATGAATCTCAGTATCTAGAAGAACAAGTTCCTCACCTTGTTCTTCCTCAGGAGAACCTGGCCCTATTCTGGGCCAAGCAATTCACCTTGGCCCTATTCTGGGCCAAGCAATTCATCCATATATATTTTAGAAACAACTTACCAAATTCTAAAGAAGTTAAAAGCCTTGTTTGAATTCTAATTAAAACTGCATGGGATATATAGATTAATTTTGCATAAAAAGCATTTTTATAATATTGAGGCTTCCTTTCTCTTTCAATTTATGTAAGTCTTCTTTCATGTCTTTCCATGGGTCTTGAGATCTTTTGTTAAATTCATCACTGACTACCTTATACATAGTTTTTGCTATTTTTATGGCATATTTTAGAAAATTACATTTTGTTTGTTGGAAATGATTGATGTCTGATGCTTCTTAAATCCATCTACCCTGTTAATTCTTATAACATCTAATAATCAGAAGACTCGAGTTTTTTAATGTATTCAATTTTATTATGAGTGAATAATGAAAATTTTGATTATTTTCACTCCTTAAATTTTTGATTTCTTTTGCTTATCTGGTAGTACTTACTAGGACCTCTAGGACAACACTGAATAGAAGCAGTAGTAATACACTTAGTGATGAAATATTAAAAGCATTCTTAATTTTAAAGGAAATTCTTGGAGTATAACATTTTTCCACTTCATATAATGTGTGACAGAGACTTTTGTTAGCCTCACAATATCAAGTTATGGAAGTTCCTCCATATTTTTAGTTTGATAAAACTTTTAAACTTGAAAAGGTATTAAACTTCATTAAATGTTTGTCTTCATTCATTGAAATAATTATATGTATTTTTCCTCTAGTTAATGTGTTGATTTTATATGAGTAGGTTTTCTAATGTTAAAACAATTTTGTGTTGTTTACATAGACTCAAGTTAGTCATATATATTTTAATTACATTTCTGGATTCAGGTTGCTAATATTAACAGGATATTTAATAGCTTTCAATGTCACTTTTTTTTTTTTTGAGACAGGATCTTGCTCTATCACTCAGGCTGGAGTATATTTTTTTCTTGCTCAGTTCTCATTAGAGCTAAGGAACAGTAAGTAACTAAGGGAACAAAGTATAAAATGCCTTATATAACCCTCCTTGTTCACACTTTTGGGAAGATAACATGCAGTATTACCTAACTGGTGGTCCACTCACTGAGTAGGTAGGTGTGAAAATGAAATGAAGCAGCACTTGGTAGCAATATTCAAATTTCACAGAAATCCTTGAATCACATTTACAAACCTACAAGTGACTAAGTTCCTGTTATGCTTCAAAACTGTGAATGGGTCACAATGCTTACAAGATTATGTACAAACCCTTCTGCAGTCAAAGCCCACTTCTACTCCAAGAACACACTATGTCATTTCAAATGGCTCTACCTTTTCAACATAAAGACCATGAATCAGAAAAAAAATTATGCTAATGTTATTCAATTTTCTCTTCTTTGAATTCCCTCTCATCTTTTGAGATGCTTACATAGTGCCTTAAATTCTATTTATTTGTCTCCTACCAAACTTTTCCTCTTTCATTCTTGATCCCACAAATCATATACCTTGCAGTATAATCGGCAGGACCTAGTACTTTCTTTCTGCCTAGTAGCCACTTTCTCTTACAAGTCAGTGTACCACCTAAGGCCTGCCTGGAAGCAGGTTTTCGGTGTTCAAAATAATTTTTTAAATGATATCACACTTACTCCTGATCTCTCACGGTAGAATAGTCAGAAATATGCCTTCATAGGTAACTTCCACCTACTGGCCCTAGTCTTTCTTTCAGTATCTCTATGGGATATGCACAATCCTTTAGCAAACCAGCCTTCAAAATATTTGAAGCAGCAAATGGTATCAACATAAGGATCCTGGAATATCTAGAAGCTCAGAATGTATTGCTTCTGTGACTTTTCTAGGAAATCCAATAAAACTAATATTACAAGCTTTTAGCCTACCAAGATCACTCTAACATACCTATTCTCTGTTTTTATCCTAATCCTGGCATTATTTAGGCACTAAGAAATGACAAGCATGAAACATAGCAGCAGGGCATAATTATCATTTTTCCTTTCCTGGAACACAAGGAAAATACTTGACCAGCACATTGATATAAACTAGAATGGATTTGGGGTCTGTTATGGCTCTTGGTGGAAAAAAATTTGTTACGTCTGCTTTATGTAATCATGATAAGATAAAAGTGTTACAATATATTAAATAACAAATTTGTACTGATGATTGTTATCAAAATTTTAATAATACTTGAGTTGGCTTAGGTTTTAGTGAGAAACATACAAATGGTGGTCAAACGTAATTTTAAATTTGTGCTAAATTTCTGTATGGTTTGGAAAAAGGTTTTACTCCTCAAAAATTTATAATTCAATATTAAGAGTCACATCATTTTGGAAGAGCATGAGTACACATGAAGAAACGGCTGCTCAGAGGCTCTTCCTTTCTTCCTCCTTAGCTTGCCTTCCCTTCCTTTTACTATTTCATTCTGACCATTTTCATTGACCTACACTTGATCATTCTTTTGCTTCATGAGCTACCTCAATGCCTAAAAACATGCTAAACCACTCATCCTACCACTCCAGTGCCTGAAAAGCAAATCAGAATTGGACAGTCAGTAGAAGGTCGGGAGGATAACACTTGCATCTAGGAACTTTGGGAACTACTGGAAGTGCTATACCTCTCCTGGTACAAAACGTTGGTGATGGATTTTTAAATGTGGAATGGCCTATGTTAGGTCTGCAGCCTTACTTTCCTTTCTAAACCTCTAGTATTTCAGCATTCCCTAGCAACAGAAGCAAGGGATCAATTTAGAAAAGTGCTTTCCAGAGCATTCCTATCTAGCTACTGACCACGCCATTTTAGTTTATGTGATCAAGCAACTGAAATTCAAAGAGATTTATCACTGACTGTCCTCACAGCAAAACTGGAAGAGCACTTGATATGTATGCTACTAATGTCTGAGATGACTGATTCTACCTCTACTGCACAAGCATGGATTGGCTTCAGTAAGAATTAGTAGTCTCCACATCTCACTGTGAACCAACAGTGTTGCTAGGGAAACTGATAATTATGTGGCAAAATGGAGGGTGTAGAATAGAAAAAGGGTTCAGATGAAATGTAAGGTTTTGATCCAAATCAGCATGTTAATAGTATAGTGTGTTGATCTTCTGTAGTCATATAATTTAATAAACACCATTAATTATATGTTTGAAAAGATACAGATTTCTAAACTGAAAGAAATGAATAGAAATGAAAAGCTACTAGATACTGCTCATACTTTGAGTATGCCACAGCAGGAATATGTATTTATTATATATAAACTATAATTTTTTAAAAATTAAAATATTCAAAAAGGTAAAAAATTTGGTTTGATTCCTGATGTTTTTCTTTAGATATCAATCTTATAGTGTTCCAGGTATAAAAATTATAATTCCATAAGAGCTCAAATAAATTACTTTTTTGGCTTCAAAGACTAAACCATATAGTTTCAAAACAGGCCTTAAAGTGGTGAAGAAGGAAATACTACTTTTAAAATAATATGCACAGTAATATCAACCCAGAGAAGCTAAATACTCTTCCTGAAGTCACACAGCTCCTCACTTAGTCGTAATGCTAATGCTAAATCCTCCTCTTTCAGCTGCCTAAGAGGCACTATTTATAAATTACATCCTATTTAGGGAAAACCCATTAGAAGGATATAAACCCAGTGAATGGATTCAAATCTCTAGATATCATTTTAATTTTAAATGAAGATTTCTAATCCTTTCCATTTTTAATGGCTAAGAGCTTAGTTCTAAAAGTTCATGATAGGATATAAACACTTGCTTATCAGGAAAACTTCACTGGAGACAGTTTAATATGTGAGAAAGATCACGAAAAAACTAAAAAGCCCATTATAACAGGGTTTTACTGCACGTCAAAGTGTTGCCTCTGAGTTGTCGGTCCTGTCATGACAACCCTGCTGCACCACATTCTTTTATTTTCATTTTCCAGGGACTACTATGTATATATTTAAAAAGATGAAGCCACACATTCCTGTGTATTTATCTTTATAATTATTATGTGTTTTCTAATTTGCAAATATACCACAGATATTAAAACAGTCATTCATGTTCATACACGTGCAATCTAAGAATGTTGTGTGTGTAAGAACATAAGTAATTTATTTATGGTTGGTGTATGAATGAAGATAATCATTTATAATACCAAATGTTTCCAGTGTTTTGGTCTTACTTGGTCTTTGACATGAAAGACCTAAGAAGTATACACAGTACACCATGGTAAAAGCACAAAACTATATGGACTTCGTTAACTACATGAATCTCAAGTGCTGAAAGCAGCAGTCTGCCTTCTGATATTATGAAAAAGATCTTTATTCTAGTGACTTAAACATTCTAAAGCTTGGCTGGGCGCGGTGGCTCATGCCTGTAATCCTAGCACTCTAGGAAGCCAAGGCAGGTGGATCACCTGAGGTCAGGAGTTCGAGACCAGCCTGGCCAACAAGGCAAAAGCCCACCTCTACTAAAAATACAAAAATTAGCCAGACGTGGTAGCACATGCCTATAGTCACAGCTACTGGGGAGGCTGAGGCATGAGAATCGCTTGAACCTGGGAGGCGAAGGTTGTAGTGAGCTGAGATTGCACCACTGTACTCCAGCCTGGATGACAGAGTGAGACTCTCAAAAAAAAAAAAAAAAAAAAAATCTAAACCTTAGTCATTAACACATAAGTAGTGTAGTTCATCCTAGATAGGATGAACTACAATTTGTAAGGCAGTTTATTAAATCTGTCAATTGTATGATGATTTTAAAATAGTATTTGGCTTATCTTTAGTTGTGATTTGTTAATGCTACATATTAAAGTATTTATTTTTGATAAGACGAGAGCTAAAATGATTGACTCCTATTTTGATAAGCCTTTTCTTCTTTCCCATAGTAGGAAGGTATTTCCAACTTTTAAATCTCTGGGTCAGAAAAAGAAAAATAAAAGGCCAAATTACACAGTCATCAAAAATGATTTTTGTGGTTGGGTTAAACAAACCTTGACTTAGGCCATCTTGGCAAGATGTCTGCTTGCCATCCAAGTTCTCCATGGTATCCCCTTTAGAGACTTCACCAAGAGATGTTCTTCTCTCAAAGATGTTGTTATTATTGTTAACTTGAGTCCCATTTTGCTTCAGTAGCCTGAATACCTCAGCTTCCAAATCTCTAATCTAGGAAAAACAAATCCATTTATAAAACTCTAAACTAGCGCTCCCCTCCAAGTACAGCAAAACCATCTTATTATTTAGTGTCTTAGGGAACACAACTTACCCGCACTTGGAGGCCTTGCACTTCCACAAGATGAGCTTTTTCCAAATCTTCTATTTTCTTTCTTTCTGCTTCCTGTCTTTTGATGAAATCAAGCTCTCTTAAGAAGAAAATAATAGTTCTGATTATATCATACACTCAATAAATGAAAGTTCTTATCTGAAACAATAAACTGCATAGTAGGATAAGCAACTGAACAGTTATTTAAATGGACAACATTCAATCAGTTAGAGGAAAAAGTATAGTAATGAAAGAAACTAAAACATCTTTAATGGGTCACAAGGCAAAGAAAAATGATTCGATTCTGCTTACTATAATTTTCTTTCGTAGCTCCTGATTCTAGAACACCCATACATATTTAGATAGGAAAGACTGCACTAATGACCCACATTGGGTAATTTAGTGGAGATAATTACTTGTCAGGTAGAAATAATTCCATTTTTCCAATGTCATAAGCATAGTATAGTAAACTGATGTAACTAGATAAGAGTTCGAAAAAGATAATTGTAAGATTTCTATGAATAACAGTGAAGAGGGGGCTGGGTGGGTCAGAAACATCGAGAGGGGCACTCACTTATAGACCTAAGGATAATATGGGGAGAAGAGAAACAGTTCCATTTTGAAAACCTGGAATAGAATATGCAAATTTAGCAAAATTTACTATAAAATTATTTCATGAAAAAGAGTTTGGCAAATAGTTAAAACAGTGATGTATTGAATTTATAGTCACAGAGAATAATTACTCCCCTTTTAACAAGAAACTTTTGATAGCAAAACTCTTTTAAATATTAAAAACATTCTTCCACATAATAGGAAATAAAAGAAATATGGTTAATCTTACATATATGCTTAGCTTCTGAGGCTTGGCATGGAAGACCAGAAAAGGTACTGGTACTACTTATTTGTTCTAACTAGCCAGAAGTAACTGATGAAAAAAATCTAGTAAAAATCTCCGTGGTCAGTCTCCGTGACATTACACCGAGATCCAAGAGATGGAAGCAAAGGAGCAGTAGCTCAGAAACAGCTGTTGAAAATCAAAAGCAGAATGTGGTAATGGTCTCTCTCCCTGCAGTGAAAGGAGGCCCTCCTGATTCTCTCAACAGCTGAGAAATGCAGAGTGGCAGGGCAGGGGGCCTTGCTAGTCGATATGTGCACTGTCTGTAGTGGGAAATTCTGTAGTTACTGATCTAAGAATAGAGAGGAGCAGCCTGATTCAGGCCCCAGCTGTGGCTTGCGTGCTCCACATCCAATAGTCAGTCATTCTACATGACTTTCCGCTGGGCTTCTTGTTTCTAAATCATAGAGGTGTTTCAAAAAGAATAAAGAAATTCAGATGTTTTAACAGTTATAAACAACGATTAATTATCAAAAATAGCAAAGAGGCCCTGGCAGCCAAAAACTATAAAATATACAAAACATAATCTCATGAAAAAGTGATAGAAGTGACTTCCAAAACTTAATGTGTATTTATGCTGTAACTATGCTCCTGGATAGGAAAGATATCTCTAAGGTCATCTTTTCTGTTCCACTAGATATTACAAAATTATTGGACATAAACCTTCTTTAGACAAACATAACTATTCTTTAGTTATTAGAAGCGGCTTACTTTTGTTGAAAATCCTTGATCAACTTCTTTGCCTTGTTGTATTTCTTTTCCAAGGCCTGATACTGGCTTTGAGTCTCTTTGAGATGCTCATTCACTGTGTGGCATAATGTTTGGGCCTCAATCCAGTAGCTTTCCAACTTCAACATTCTTTCCTTATTCTCTTCTATGTTTTGTTGGAGTTGGGTTTTTTCTAGTTCCCACCTCACTTTCTCATTTTCTGCTGCCTGCAGCTGGAGAAAGCAAACGTCAAGGCAAAGATAATTTGGCCACTTTTGTGGCAAAAATCTCTCATTTTTATAGCATGTTGTAGATCAAGTTCTATTATCATAAACAATCACTGAATCCACTTGAGATGAGAAAAGCAGGTATTATTTTTATAATTCCACAGATGATAAAATGGAAGCCTTGAAAAGTGAAATGATTTGTCCAAGGTCACACATTTGATAAGTGA
Source organism: Homo sapiens (assembly GCF_000001405.40). NCBI lineage: Eukaryota > Metazoa > Chordata > Mammalia > Primates > Hominidae > Homo > Homo sapiens. The sequence continues at coordinate 95,249,804 of NC_000007.14, read as the reverse complement.
TAAAACATGGATTGGATTCCACCTCACACGATATTTCCATCACACCAGGTGATCTGAAATTCTGTGAGCAGTAAAAGATGTTTCAGAGTTTGATATATCCAACGAATGTCAACATGTTTTGAGAGTTTTTAAAAAATATATAATTATATATAAAAAATTAACTAAAAAGGGAGTGGAGAGGGCCAGGGAGGAGAGAGGAGTTAGAAGCACAGTATGGCTTAATGGTTAAGAGGGGATCTCTGGAGTCATTCAGCATGGATTTGAATCCCAGTTCTGTCATTATTGGCCATTAAACCTTGGACATGTAATTGAAGTTCTCCAAGACTCAATTACATCATCCATACAACAGAATTGTGATATAACACATCAGAATGCTTGAAATAGCTCCTTGGGCATAAGAATCATCTGATAAACATTAACCACTTTCACTCTGCTTTTAACCCTTTTGGTGATCTTATTTCATTCTTTATTTCAAGGAACATGAACATATTCTATAGCTCATTATTTTACATGTAGTGTAATGAATTTCTCAAGCTTTATAAACCTCAATTCCCATAAAAATATAAAAGATAGTGTAAGTAAAAGTATAAATTTTTGCTTGGTTAATTTAATTCCCTCCCACGGAACAGAAAGCCATAACCAGCTTTTTGTTTTTCTGCTTCTAGGGACTCTTAGGAATAGATAGTAAACTAGTCTAATACCCTCATTTCTACAGAAATCCAATACTGATCATTTAGGTGAGGGCTCAAAAGTCATTCCCAATAACTCTCTGGCCTTCAAACTGGTACTTTATCTACTTTATATGCCTTCTTTAAAGTTCAAAAGGATGCAAAGTCATTATAAACTATCAATGTTCAAAATCATATAGCACTTAGCAAAAGTAAACATGTATTTATATACACACACATCTATGTTTTTGCAAATATTTTTAACTAAACACATTTGCAAAACAGTTTACAAAGTTAGAAAGCATCCAAAACAATGTCAAGATTAGGAATTCTATTATCAAAATGAATAATAAAGAATCATAATAAAGTGCTAATCTGTGGATATTACATGCCAATATAATGATGAAAAAATATAAAATGCTAATTTATAGTATTTTCTAAGTTAAATGTCTATAGTCTAATACATAAGCGCCATTAAAACACAATCACAGGGAAAAAGAGATCTTTTTAAAACAACAATTTAAAAAATCTTCAATTCTTTCTATGTCAAGAGACAATGACAATTTAAAACAGGAATAGGTTATTTACTGCATCTTTTATTAAGCAATGTTTTGTATCAAGTTGTTTATTTAGCAACCGCCACTAATTTAAAATTATTATTCACGGAGCTGGACTAACACCGTGAATGATGTATAGTCGTATTTTGACTAAAGAGCTGCAGAGTGAATTAGCTGAGAATAGCATTTAACCAAAATAGCCTTGCTAATTCATCTCCATTTAAAACACACGGAGAAACCAAAACAAGTGTTCAATGTGAACAACAAAAGAGATCATTAGTGGTAGTGGTGGTGGTGATTGGGGGCGGGGGAGGGTAATTATGTTTTAATTTTTAAAAGACCATTGAAACAATAAAGAATATTGCTTTAAAAGTAATTTAAAATATATTTTTAAATCTTTGAAATTGTATATTTGATAAAACTAAACAAAATTGCTAGAATTGTGTCTCATACGAGTGCCTTAAAGTTTGTCAATGAAAATATATAGACTAATAATACATACTCCCTTTTATCAAGACCTTTTCTCCCCCACAAATTTAAATTATGTGAACCAAACAACTAAAAATTTCCAGTAGTACCTGGCACTTAAATTATGCATGTATTAAGTTTATAAGATTTAATTATTAGAAATTAGAAATGGTTTATAAAACATTGATGTGCTATACTAAATTTGTTCCTACAAATGATTAAATCTATTTATAATAAGGTAAGTGAAGAGGAGATATAGTAGCTTTGCTTAAGGAATTAGTAATCAAAACATACTTTGCATACTTGAACCATTAAAAATATTACTTTTTAAGGAAATCTCAGAGGCCACATATGTGCAAATACATAAATATATATATCTAAAATATTGTGTTATTTGCACTGAGGGGGATGTGGGTGTTTGCTCTCACTGGCAGGTTTGTCTACGTACCTGACAGTGAAAATGAATCTATCACATTTGCATTCTTTCAAATATACAGGGACAAAACCTTTAGTCCTAGGATTGGATTTATTCATAGTATCTGAAGTTTAAAAAGTAAAATTCAAACACCATGTTTCGGTGCTTACCTTGGTCTTCAATTTTTGAATCTCTGCTTCTGTAACTGCATGTTTGATTTGCAACTGAAAATTGAAAAGAAAGAAAAAATCTGAACTAAGAAAGTGTATCTATATTTGTAAAGCCTCAGCAGCTACAAGAATGCCTTATTACATAGTAAAAGGCCTAGAAAAGTGCTGCAGTGCAGCAAGTTGTAAATTAAAGTGTCTACTGTGTGAAATGACACTGGGTGCAAACTAATTAAACACAGTTTATGGTCTATACTCCCTAACATCAGATTAGGTTACCAATTTAATTGCTCAGGGACCAAGAGAAGAAAACACTTTTTATTGCCCTCTTTGCAGCTCTTCCTTTATGATTTGAGCGTCAAGGAACTGTTTCCTTGCTAAGTCTAGCTAACTGAACGGCATACACAGGCAAGTGAGCTGATAGTGTGATTTAATTCCAAACCTGGACGTGTGAAGATTTATTCCAAATCTGCAAGAAAGGTGGCGCTATGGTCCTGTGAGTTGCAAGCACATTCTGATCAGCAGCTCCACTGCAAAGGGAGAGAGGAGGAGGACTGCAGTTGCACGGGGAAATCTCTGATACATATTTTTTTCTTTTAATTGCAGGAAAGGTACAGATCCAGATTTCTGTCCTCCAAAAGATCTGCTCCTTTTGAAGACTCAGACCCCCAACAGCTTCTGCCACAGCTTATTAGCAATAAGAGTCACAGTTTACATTTGTTTTGCTTGTCCCTCCCCCCGCTTTGTTTTCTTTGTAAGGGAAGAAGAAGGAACTGAACGAATCATTCGTTTCCTTAGGGGATCAATAAATACTCCCAAATTTAAGAAAAACAACTTATGGGTTCACAATTTCTTGTCTGAAATCCTTGGGGCCAGATGTTTTTGGAAGTCAGCATTCTTCCAACTTCAGAAAAGTAGTTACGATGTATCTTCTACAAATTGCTTATTATCCACAGCAGGGTCTTTGGAGGCACTCTATAGTCAAAAACACATGAATTATTTTTGCCACCAAACATGAATATTCCCACTAAGCGAGGTACATGAAGACTGTAAATAGCATCCTGTTAGGTCAGGTTGTACCACTAAATTAGTTTGACACAAAATTACAAAAAAGACTGGGAGCGTTTTGGATTTAAGACTGTACATGAGGGACCATAAACTTTTACTATTACTGTAATCAAGTAAGGCTAAGAGGTTTTCTTATCAGAAGTGAGTGAGTCTGACAGAAGGACAGAAATGTGGAGTTTTCAGACTAGCAATGTGAACCTGTGGAGACCACAGCACCTCATAAACCTCAGCCCTCTCTTGGGTTTGCAACCTGTATTCCCTTGGGTTTTTACCAAGTTCATGGGGACACATGGGAAGGATGATAAAGGGAAGATGGAAGAACCAAGGACAGGTCTATTCGACCCCCTTGGATGCCTGTGGCTAACTGCCCAGAACCTGAGGGTTCCTAAGTTCCTTGTAAAGTGCTCCTCCTGTTATGCAAAAGGCATGAGGTCTGCACTGCCACAGCTCTTGTTACTGCTCTTGGTGCTGAGAGTGATTTTGAAACTTTTCAGTTTGATTCTGCCGCACTCACACTGCTTACATTCTTCCTGACCTGGTCACTCTGGCCATCTTGCTGGTGTGGCTATTGCTCCTTGCACCCTCACCGGCTCCTAGGGGCTTCTATGCTTGAACAGTTTCTAGAGTAGGACCCTATGTGGAAATGTTATTTTTATAAGACACAAAATCTGGCTCTTTTAGTTTCTTACCACAGCACAAGTGGTACAATTCTTACTTACCTGCCTTTAGCAGATGCTCAGAGTATTAGTGCACCTGGCAAGGAACCTAATCACAAGTTTTCTCAATGACTAGATTGGAAGAAGGTGTAAAGACACAACAGTGCTGCTCAGAAATCCCTGCAATTCCTACCCCTTCACTGATGAGGTCTATACTCATCCTAAGTCCTAGTCTGGATGGATCTTTTGGAATCCTGACACACCAGGCTAGCCAGTCAGATAGGCTTGAATGCCCAGTGGACGCTCCAACTGTAGGCTCTTCTGAACTCATTTTAGACACGGGAAGACTAAAGATTGGAGAAGACAGCCAACCTGGTCTTTTCCTCACAGTGAATCACCATTAAAACCAGAACTAAAACCTGGATCTTCTCGTTCTGATCCATTGCCACTTTCCTTAGAAAATAAGGATGAATTCAATAGGCATTCGTTGAAGAGTTGCTATGTGCAGGATGCTGTAAAAATGACTTTTTCTCCCTCTAATAAATATTAGGGCTAATCTCCCCCACCAGTATAAACTAATAACGTAAAAAAGGGCAAAAGTACTTAGACATTAGACACATTATTTATATATAAATCTACAAAAACAAATAATGTATATGCACACAAACATACATGGCTATGTGCTAAGGCATCCAGAAAATCCATACACTTAGGTGATTTTATAGGATTTGCAATCGCTATTGACAAGATATACTTCTTGTTCTTTCAACCATGTGCCAAGCATGAAGAGTAGTTAACTTAGACTGCTTGAATTCATCTCTGGTCTACCATGTACTCTATGGAGCATTAGAAAATTACTTAACCTCTTTCATTTCACTTTCCTTGCCTGTAAAATTCAGTTCCTTATAAGTCATAACCTTCCTTATTGGATGATTAAGTGATAAAACCCATATAAAGCACTTAGCACAGTGGCTAGCATATAGTATGTCCTCAATAAACTCAGCTAGGACCAAGAAAGAATGATCTGAATAACTCAAATATGATTACCCCAGCTTCACCTCTCAGTTAAATGTGCTAACTGCTGTAAAATGTCACACCTGAAGTAAAATGAACACCTCTGATTCAATTTAAAGAGAAACAAGAAATCAAAAGGGCAGATTCCACAGTGAACACTGCACTATGGGCAAGTGACAGATTTTATTAACTCCTCGTAGGGTAACCAAATACGTGGCATGCAGCTTGTTGGCATTTTGGACTTTCTTTTCTCAGATCACTGTGTCTTCTATAAGTTGCTTCTCTGGGCCTCAGTTTCCCATATGAAAAATGCTAGATGTGAGGAACTCCAAGGGCCCTTTCACATACAACAGGTGTGACATTTATGAAACAAAGAACCTGAAGGTAGTTGTCAAGGTTGCAGAGCTTAGAAATTCTTGTCCTGAGCCAATATTTTCCTTCTTGTGAATAAATACACTAGATTAATCCACAAATTGTGGGACAAACCCAGGTAAAACTGTGAAACAGCCCATGTTGATCTATTCTACCCTTTCCATCTCACCAAAAATGGATAACAGGAGGGAACTGAACTAATTAGCAGTGAGGTGAGAACAACTGCGCAAAGTTTGGAGTGTTACTAAGTATAGCTAAATTCTTTACATATAGGAAAGCAGAATGAATTGTGTAAATTCACATTATTCAGAATGGACAAGATTTTCTTAGTACACATGAGGCCTAAAATTAAAAATATGCGATTATTTTAATTCTGTATGTACATTAAGAGAATTTCTACAAATCCATCACTTTTGACAAGAAAAGCATCAAAATACACTAACTGAACCCTTTTTGTTTTATATAGTATGGACCTGTGTCTAGTGAGCTTACCTTGGAAGGCTATTAGGTGCCAAAGCCAGGTTTTAGAAATCCCAGCCCATGGTTCTTTCCACTAATACTAAATTTCTTACATTTGTAGGCCCCTTTATTTTTAATCATCTCCCTTTATCATTGCAAATGACTGGGGGAGGCAGGGCAGGTGTTGTGAACCTCATGGTTCAGATGAGGAAAGAGGCTCAGGGAAGTCACACACCTTTTCAAGTTCCCACTAGAAACAGGTGATGGAGCGGAAACAAAACCAGATTTGACTCTTCCTACCTCTGTTCCTCCCTTAACCATGTATCTAACTGAACCAGTTGCTTTGGGATATATTTTTCATTTAATCTTCCCCCAAACCCCAAGCCATATGTCATCATCATAACCTCTCAGATGAGAAGTTATTACTCCAACTGGAAACCATGGATCACTTCTGGTAGTCTCTGAGCATTCTGACAGTGAATGCAAAATGGTGCTCAATCAGCTGCTGTTATTATTAATGAAGCTTAGAAAGCAGACCTCCACCTCCCTTAATAATCAATTGGCCTTTAGTGACTGAGACTACGTGCTAGGTACTATGCTAATCACTGAGGATACATGAACATGACATAGAATCTACTTTCAAGATACTTCAGGGAGATTAATAAAAACACCTTGTAAGAATTCTCCAGATCACCCTGTGAGAAAGGTCAGAGGCAACCTGCTGCTGGATGGCTTGTTTAGTCTTTTGTTCCTATAGCCAGATCAGATGTCATGTGTCTTTGGCCTGTTTGTCCAGACGTGGACCCTACTTTCCAAGCAAAGTGAGCAAGATGGACCCAAGTTATCTCCATTTCATGAGGAAAAGAAAATTGCTTTTCACAGGGGTGAAGGACCTCGACAAATGAAGCATAGTTGGTAAAAGGTTGAGTTTTCTTATTCTAGAGCAGTTCCCTTTCCACATGTTTAAGAGATTTATGTCAAGAATCAATAACCTTTTCAAAGTACAGGTCCAAGAGTTTGCAAGAATGGTCAGGCACGCTGACTGCAGGGATAGAAGGTTAACAGGGCTGGTTAATAGAAATAGAGCCTGAGATGCCTGTTGGAGTTTTTGGGCTTCAGAGAAGCTAGGTTTGGAGAAAAGAGTTGGGATTAGGAGGGCATAAATAAAAAGAAAAGGTTAAGGACTGCAGGTAAAAGTCTTTTAACTTACAAGACCATCATTTTCATCTCTTCAGTCATCTTTAATATGAAAGCCATAGATATGCACCTCAGGATTTCAGCACAAATAAACATACACATTCCTATGAGAACAGGAGCTTTCATTTAACATTCTGAAGGTGTACCTGCTGTGTATAATTTTTTTTTCAAAAAGATGAATACAGAACATGCACTCATATTACCGGATCGATATAATCCAAATATAACTGTGCTAGAAATAGAAACATCCTTTACACAGAAACTTAAATAGTGAGACTGAACTTTTGCCCTCTCTCTACTTATCCTGTGAGAGCATGGAAACATTTTTCTTTAAAAAGTGAAAAATATCTTTGCAGGAAATGTTTTAAGAGAGCTCTAGTTCTAGAAATATTACAATCAGATAAGGGCAACATTTTCTGCTGTTGCTTTACAAAAGCAAATCAATAACTAATATTTGCATAGAACTTTATAAAGTGCTTTCTAGATTGGGATCTAAATTTTTAGTTATCTTTGTGAGTATTTGAGTGATGTATGTCTTACCTACAACAATATAGCTTCACAAAAGAAATCAAAGCTGTTTTTAACTACATTTTGGTGTTAAGATGAAGCTTTGCCATATTTCTTTGTAATTTCTGCTGAAAAGTTTACATATGGTATCTATCCAGTATTAACGAAAGTGTTTTACTTAGGGAATCATGTATGCAAAATGAACTAAAACTGGCTGACTGAACAATATCACAATCTAATCTGAATGGTAACACTAATGGCAGCATATGTAGCATTGGGTGAGATTCTCTAACAAGGTCACTCCCTAAGTAGGTACTCATAAACTTGTTATTAATGATGCTGCTGCTGGATGTAGTTGATGGCCTGTAATTACAGCTCTTTTTTAAATAAGTAACTGTTTGCTATTAAGTAGGCAGCAATTTATAGCTTCCCTACATGGTAGTGGAAACTTCCATAAAGATAACTTAATGTTATTATCCCATGCATTTTATAACTTTTCTAGATTCTTTTTCATAGAATTAAATAAATAAAATAAACCAACTTTTAGACTCCATTTTTTCTTCAAGAGAAATGTCGAATTTTTTTAATTGTTGCAATTGCTGTGACTCCTGAGGAGGAATGGCAAGGGAGAAATTGGACAGTCACTTTAAATGGTACCTGGCTAACAGTTCCTGAGCCAGCCTCGCCGTACCTTCCATTAAACTGCCAGTGTAATCACATTAAAAACAAAAAAACTCACAATCAAAAATGAACACCACAACTAAAAACAACAGTTCATAGAATATAAAAGAGTCATGAAGTTGAATTAAGAAAAATCTATCCAAGATCCCCTCTGACATCAGGGAGACACTTTGTACCACCCTCACTGATGGCTTGAGATCCATTCTGTCCCAAGCAAAAAGTGGACAACCCCTACTGTCTTGCCCAGGAATGGGGCCTCAAACTGGGCTCTCTAACTTCCTCAGTATTCCATATTTGCTCAGAAAGCAACTGTTAGGGGGAAATGCAGGAAGGTGGCTGATGCATGGCACACTGCATACTTTCAGCTGCAGACCTATATAGACATGGGTGGCTTCAGTAAGTGCCTTGCTAGCAGTGAAGACTGGAAATTACCTTTTTTATCTCTTTAACTTAGAGAACTGTGTGGCAATACTTGGGAGTATCTGACCTTAGTACAGAGAATTGCCCTAGATGTCAGACTGCTAGAAAATAGCAACTGGGCTGGACACGAGGCACCTAAATATCCCTCCTGATCTAAGTCTAGAAATGAGATTCATAATCAAAAAGTGAATAATTACTGACTAACCTACTAAAAGATTTTTGTTTCATTTCAAGATAAGGAAAGAAAAAACAGGTCACCTTAGGTCTATTAACAAATACTGCAAATCAAGGTAAAGAAAATATCAACTTGAACACACAAATAAGTAAACTTGTGAAAATGATGTATCCCATAAGTAAAAAAATATTTTAAGATCACTTTTTGAAATTCTAGGCTGAAGAGAAAGTAAAGAAAAGCGAGAAAGAATGAAGAGTAAGAAGACTAAACATTTAATAAGAGAATTAAGTCATGTTAGAAGTGCTAAAAAGCATAAATGAATTTGAATTTAAAAGCATATTTAATTACAATTAAACTGTACACTTAAAATGGTAAAGACAGTAAACTATACATGTATATTTTACCCAATAAAAAATTAACAAAAAGCATAATTAATGCTATAAAAAATAAAATCACTGATATGACAAGACAAATTTAAGAAACAATCTCAGACACGAAAAAAAGACAAAATAAAACCATAAAAAAACGTAATAGATACTGATGACAGTATTTCTAGAAAAAAAACAGAAATAGGAAAAAACTGAAGGAAACATTAATGAACTAAAATGAAAACAAAACAAAAACAGAGCAATGAAAGCAAATTAAAAAGACAAATAATCAATGAAAGAAGGCCTACTTCAATAAATTGTGCTAAAGATTTTTAAAGTACAAGGTGAAAACAATACAAGCATCCAAATGCAAGCTTTATGTTAGACTTTTCCTTTAAAACACTCTTAAAACAATAAAACTTGCCCTACCACTTTTTCAGGGAAAAAGTTCATAAATGAATTAGAATGTCATTCTCAGTATGGGAAGCTCATGGAAACTATATCCTCCACAAATACTTAACAAATTACTTAAAGATATACTCTGAGAATGAGAAAAAATTCAGAATATAAGAATGAAGAAATTATTCTTTAAAAGGAATAATAGTGGATACTGATTAACCTGAGAGTATAACTATCTGTTGTAAATATCTTTAGAAAACTAACCAAAAACATAAGTTTTTAAAAAATGTAACAATTATATTTTAATAATCTCGCTTAGAACCCAAGAGTGTATCAAAATCTTCCATATGAAACATTCAAATGATTATTTGAATTCAAATTATATTTTGTTCTTAATTTTTAATTTTTAAATTAAATTTTAATTTCATTTTTAATATTTTAATTTTTATTTTGTCCTTAAATTTTTAAACACTTTTCAAAAACTTAAAGACAAGCCTTAGTGTGAAAGCCAATAAACATAAAAGAAACATATAGCATAAAATAAGGTGGGAACACCTATATCTTGCATAATTATAATTATAAACTTAAATTGGTTAAATTTTCTTGTAAAAAATACAGATTCCAATATTATATTTTTATTTGTTTATTTATTTTGAGACAAGGTCTCACTCTCTTGCAAAGATTGGGGTGCAATGGCACAATCACCACTCAACTGAAGCCTCTACCTCCCAGGCTAACGTGATCCTCCCACCTCAGCCCTCTGAATAGCTGGAACCACAGGTGATTATATTATTTTAAAGCTACTATAAAACAAAGTGCTACAATTATGTTTATGTTAAAAATAGGTACACACTTATACACTGGTGTTTATCCAGCAACTGCAAACAAAAGTAGCAGTAAGAATATTAACATCAAAGTATACTTAAAGGTTGATAAATCTTGAAGTCATATTTTATGTACTTTCAACATGCCATCAACATAGATAACCAAAGCTGTAAGACACAAAATACAACAATGAGGTATAATTTCAGTATATATAATTCTCAATTTCCTAGATTAAGGAAAAATGAATATGGATCCAGAAGGTCTAAAACACATCGTGTCACTTTTACCAAAAACACCAGTATTAGTCTACAATAAAAGCAACACATTCAAAAAAAGAAAAACTTGAAAAGACACTATTATCTGGCCTCAATGTAATAAAACATTAAATAGATTAAAAAGTTACAAATTAAAAAGTTTCCCCAATTGTTCAAGTCAAAGAGAAAATGAAAGTAAAAATAAAAAATATAGACTATTTATGAAGTGATGAAAATGAGAAGAATGCACGTTGAAACGAGATGTGGCCAAAGGCATAATAAGAGACAGGTTCATAATTTTAACTGCTCTCATATTTAAACAATCAAGTATGACAATAAATTCAGCATTGGTTTCAAGAAGTTAGAATATGAGTAATCAAACATTCCTAAGAGAAACAGGATGATGGAATAAATAAAAATACAAAGTTAGGGAGGGGGAAAGTGCCAGTGCAGTACAACATAGCAAACTAACATGAGCTATTCCCTGTCTCTCTTGAATTCAACTTCGGAGATGCCAAAAAAGAAAAATAGACTTTGTATGGGCTTCAGGGTCTTATTCATCAATTAATAAAACAGCTGATGAGAAACTCATACAGAACACAAGTAGTTGCAGATGTCTTTGGAAAACTGAGGATCTGAAGCAGGAGAGTACAGTAACCAGGAATGGGGGCCAGCAATTTAATCTTTAGTCTTCTCCACATAACCTGAGTAAGCCTGTATCTGGAGGTACATCAGGGATAGCCTATTTCAGGCCCTGAAGCTTAGACCTCCTAGACACTAACTTATTATCCTTTGGTGCCTTTGGTAGAAACCTTTGGTGTAATGTGGTAGGTAAGCTGCAGCACCAGAGATAATAGTGAATTAACACTAGGGCAGCACCAGAATCCCATTACAGTTGGACAGAAAGAAGTATAGGTGAGCTGGAACTAATTATTTTGTAAAAAGTACACTTACAAATATATGTAACTAAAACTCCTGAAATACAAAAAGTTGGCAACAAGAGGAGAGGTAGAGGATGGTATGCTATGGGTATTATTTTGTTAAACGATAAAGACATAGATATTGATCTGCTTTATATATTGCCAGGAAAAAATAACCTAAGACTAAGTCAAAATAAGTCAAGGTAATAAAATACAAATGTATAACTTTAAAGCAGCAGATGAAAATTTGATGTACCTAATGGCAAGTAGGTAGAAAGACTTAAAAAAGAAATAAGAAAAAAGAATGGACATTGTAAAATATGAAATAAGGTGGCATACATAAGTTGGAAAAAATACATACATAAGATGGAAAAAATAGATGCTGTGAAACAAATATAAAGCAAAAGAAAGCCAGAGTTAATTTTTTATTATGAGACAAAATATAATTTGGGACAAAGTGCACCATAAAGGACAAGAGAGATATTATAAATAAAGAAGTTGTAATAATCCTCAACATATATGCAGTTAACAACAAAGATGTAAAATATCTAAAACTACCACTGGTAGGATTACAGGAAGAAATAAATGATGGTAACTGGTGATTTTAATATATGCTTTTTCAGATTTGGTAGATCAAATAGACAAAATATAAGCCATAGTACAGAAAAAATGTGTATATGTGTTTGTATTATTAATCTTATTTATATATAAAAAAATATGGCTGGGCATGGTGGCTCATGCCTGTAATCCTAGCACTTTGGCAGGCCAAGGTGGGCAGATCACCTGAGGTCAGGAGTTTGAGAACAGCCTGGCCAACATGGCGAAACCACGTCTCTACTAAAAATACAAAAATTAGCTGGGTGTGGTGGCGCATACTTGTAATCCCAGCTACTTGGGAGGCCGAAGTAGGAGAATCACTTGAACCCAGGAGGCAGAGGTTGCAGTGAACTGAGACGGCACCACTGCTCTCCAGCCTGGGAGACAGAGTGAGACTCCATCTCAAAAAAAAAACAAAAAACCATAAAAAAAAAAAAATATATATATATATACACATACACACACATAAACTTCACATCTAAATATGGAACAAGGGTGCTTTTTGCATAAATGAGGATTATTAAATAAAAACTGTTTATGTATCAAGCTATTAATATAAAATATCTTAAAAAATTCTACACAATAGCTATTATATGGAATATGTTTTCTGATCAGAGTGCAATAAAGTTGCAACCCATAACACAATATAGCAAAATAAAGTTCTACATGTCTGGAAAATGAAAAAAAACACTATATCATTCTTTTGTTAAAAAGAAAATTGCAAGAAAAAATACATATAAATAACAATGGCATTCTATCTGTAAAAAATTGTGACATGTAGTTAAAGCAATATTCAGAAAAAAATCAGTACAGGTGTCAGAATGTAAGAGTTATTAAAAATAAATAAACTAAGTGCAATTAATCAACCAAGAAGAAAAAAAGAAGAAAGAAAAAAGAAATATTGGTCTTTGTTTTTTTTCTTTTTTTAATCAAAGAAGAAACAATTAGGAACTAAAAAGCTAGAATGACAGATAAAATTCTACAAAAAAACCTAAAAAAGTAAAAATATTCAAATAAAGAGAAGAAAGAATATAAAAGGGATAACTACTTATAAATATAAAATACTTCAATACTTAAAAATTATTTTATAAAAATATAAGTTAATAAGTATAATAGCCTAAAGGAAATATCTACATTTCTTGAAAAATGCAAAATACCAAAATCGTCCCCCTGAAATTGAAAACTTGAACAGAGTAATAATTATTATGAAAGGTACTTAAAATATTCCTCCACTAATGCACAGATGGTTTATATAAGGTTAGTGCAAAAGTAATTGTGGTTTCTGTCATTACCTTTAATATGCTGAATTAAAAGCTGAATAATAACAAACTTCCAGGAACGGAACTTTCTATCTTATCTACATCATTAAGTCTCTTTTATAAAAGTAATTTCTGAAAATAAAAAAATACGGAAAAACTTCCTAATTTATATTGAAGCAAATATAATCTTTGTGGCAGTTAAAATTTTTTTGTTGTTGTTATAATAGGTTTTTGGGGAACAGGTGGTGTTTGGTTACATTAAAAAATTCTTTAGTGGTGATTTCTGAGGTTTTGGTAAACCCATCACCTGAGCAGTGTACACTGTACCCAATGTGTAGTCTTTAACCTCTTGCCACCCCACCTTTTCACTTGAGTCTCCAAAGTCCAACTTATCACTCATGCCTTTGTGTACCCATAGCTTAGCTCCCACATTTAAGTGAGAACATACGATGTTTGGTTTTCCATTCCTGAGTTACTTCACTTAGAATAATAGTCTCCAATTCCATCCAGGTTGCTGTGAATGCCATTATTTCTTTCCTCTTTATGGCTGAGTAGTATTCCATGGTACATATAAACCACATTTTCTTTATCCACTTATTGATTGATGGGCATTTGGGCTGGTTCCATATTTTTGCAAATGCAAATTGTACTGCTATAAAAATGTATGTGCAAGTATCTTTTCCATACAATGAGTTCTTTTCCACTGGATCAAATGATAGATCTACTTTTAGTTCTTTAAGGAATCTCCACACTGTTTTCCATAGTGGTTGTACTAGTTTACATTCCCACCAACAGTGTAAAAGTTGTTCCCTTTTCACCATATCCATGCCAACATCAGTTATTTTTTGATTTTTTGATTATGGCCATTCTTGCAGGAGTGAGGTGGTATCACATTGTGATTTTGATTTACATTTCCCTGATAATTAGTGATGTTGAGCATTTTTCCATATGTTTGTTGGACATTTGTTTATCTTCTTTTGAGAACTGTCTATTCATTCATGTCCTTAGCCCACTTTTTGATGGGATTGTTTGTTTTGTCTTGCTGATTTGTTTGAGTTCTTTGTGGATTCTGGATATTCGTTCTTTGTCAGATGTATAGATGGCAAAGACTTTCTCCCAGTCTGTGGATTGTCTGTTTACTCTGCTGATTGTTTCTTTCACTGAACAGAAGCTTTTTAGTTTAATTACGTCCCATCTATTTACCTTTGTTTTTGTTGCATTTGCTTTTGGATTCTTGGTCATGAACTCTTTGCCTAAGCCAGTGTCTAGAAGAGTTTTTCTGATGTTATCGTCTAGAATTTTTATGGTTTCAGATCTTAGATTTAAGTCTTTGATCCATCTTGAGTTGATTTTTGTATAAGTTGAGAGATAAGCATCCAGTTTCAGTCTTCTACACCTGGCTTGCCAATTGTCCCAGCACCATTTGTTAGTAATGTGTCCTTTCCCCACTTCATGTTTTTGTTTGCTTTGTCGAACATCAGTTGGCTGTAAATATTTGGGTTTATTTCTGGGTTCTCTATTCTGCTCCATTGGTCTATGTGCTTAATTTTATACCAGTACCATGCTATATCGGTGACTGATAGTATAGTTTGAAGTTGGGTAATGTGATGCCTCCAAATTTGTTCTTCTTGCTTAGCCTTCCTTTGGCTATGTGGGCTCTTTTTTGGTTCCATATGAATTTTAGTCCTGAATGGTACTGTGAAGAATGATGGTGGTATTTTTATGGGAATTGCAAGGAATTTGTAGATTGCTTTTTGCAATATGGTCATTTTCACAATATTGATTCTACCCATCCATGAGCATGGAATGTGTTTCCATTTGTTTGTGTCGTCTATGATTTCTTTCAGCAGTGTTTTGTAGTTTTCCTTATAGAGGTCTTTTACCTTCTTGGTTAGGTATATTCCTAAGTATTTTATTTTTCTTTGCAGCTATTGTGAACGGCGTTGAGTTCTTGATTCGATTCTCAGCTTGGTCGCTGTTGGTGTATAGCAGAGCTACTGATTTGTGTACATTAATTTTGTATCCTGAAACTGTGCTGAATTCATTTACCAGTTCTAGGAACTTTTTGGATGAGTCTTTATAGTTTTTTAGGTATACAATCATATCAACAGCAAACAGTGACAGTTTGGCTTCCTCTTTACTGATTTGGATGCCCTTTCTTTCTTTTTCTTGTTTGCTCTGGCTAGGACTTCCAGTACTATGTTGAATGCAAGTACTGAAAGTGGGCATCCTTGTCTTGTTCCAGTTTTCACGGGGAATGCTTTCAACTTATCCCCACTCAGTATAATGTTGGTTGTGGGTCTGTCA